>NC_000018.10:78153795-78455151 GCF_000001405.40 Homo sapiens
ATTTCCCACAGTTCTGAGGGTTGGAAAGTCCAAGACTGAGGGTCCAGCAGATGCTGCTTGCTGCTTCCTAGATAGCATCTCTGCTGTGTTCTCACATGGCAGGAGGGGCCCGGGCCCACCACGGTACTCTCTTTGAGCTGCAAATGGTCACTAATCTTATTCCTGGGCTTTGCCCTCATGACTCACTTCCTAAAGGCCCCACCTGTTAGGGCTATCACACTGTAGATTCCATTTCAATACATGAATTTCAGGGGGATGCACGCCAATCATAGCAGTCACCAAGTCATTTCTTTAAGCTAAATAACACCAACAATGCAGGTGACTAGAGAGAGAACAGCAGAAGTGCTGTCGTGAAATAGACTAAGCATAAAAGTCCAGATTCCCTCTCTCTGATCACCCTCAGCCCCCTACCCTGACTCCAGCAGCCCCCGAGTGAAGGAGAAATCCTAATACCACAGGGGAGACAGCAGTCCAGCTGTATTAAGGCCCTTTCATTCCCAAGGAATGATCCCATGACTCTTTGGGGTTAACTGTTGTGTCATCATTCACAATATTAGAATGGATATTGGTACAGTCACACAGTGCGAACCACAGTAGAAGTTTCCAGCTCCAACAACATTTCCTGTGGACTGAACAGCACGGTGGAATTGCTTCTGGCAGGTTCTGATCCTGGAAAAGAAGGCCCTGAGGCGCTCAGCACTGACACTGATGTACCTGAGTGCCTGCGGTTCCTGGAACAACCTCGCACAGCATGACACAAGAGGGAAAAGCCTAGAGCAGGGTGTGGAACACAGGGCTGGGGGTGGCGAGGGCACTGCTGCACCTGAGTGCCTGCCAGGCCCCTGCTCTCTCTCACCTCTGGGTGACATAGCCCCGTGACTACTATGGCCAGTCCAGTGCCGCTGGCAGCAAGCTTGCATGTTTTGGGCATCTCAGCTGCCCTGACTCCGGCTGTGCCCCGCCATGAGGTGCGAAGAGCTCCCAGGCTCTCATATCCCTGTGTGATCAGCCTCAGAAGAACCTTGGAAGCACAGACATAGGGATGAATCAGGTTACCATGAATTACTAACTACACAATCTTGGCTCAATTTCTTTACCATAGTCAAGCTTTGTTTCATTTGCAAAACAGAGAAGTCACAAGTGCAATTTGAAAGGGCGGCAGGTGCAGTGTGTGGCTGGTGGCAGAGTCTTCATGAATGTGAGTCTCCTCCCTTCCTTACAGAAGTTCAGTGTTTCTTCTTCTTTTGTTCCGGTCAGAAGACAGGTCTGGTCTGGCTGTTGCTAAGCTCATGAAATAATCCCGAGAACTCTGGTGAGGGCACAGCCTCTCTCCAGGCACCCATGAGCCTGTGATGGGGCTTGCATTTTGCATCGCTTTTCCCAGCCTCTTGGGGATATGTGGAATAATCTTGCCACAGCCTGGAGTAGCTATGTCAATAACAGCAACATACAGACACAGCCCTGTGCAATTTACCAGCCGTGGATGGAGGACATGGGCCCCGTTCATTGTATTCACTTCGTACTTTATCCCCGTTGATCTACCCATGGGCTGTCCACCCACACATTCATATCAGCCAGCTTCCTTTGTGACGAGAGAGGACAAGTAATCACCCTTTTCCTGGACTCCTCAGACCCTTGCAGGTAGGGGCATTGCACACACCTCATGGGATTCAGCTCTTCCCTCTCTCTCCCCAGCACACTCTCTTCTGCACTATGGAGATCCCCTTTCATTAACACTCTTTACTGTTTGTTTGTTTTTAATCAATCATCCAGCTTCTAGAGACTTCCATGGTGACTTTGTACATTGATAACTGTATTAGTCCATGTTCACGCTGCTGATAAAGACATACCAGAGACAGGGTAATTTATAAGGAAAAAGAGATTTAATGGACTCATAGTTCCACGTGACTGGGGAGGCCTCACAATCATGGCAGAAGACGAAAGGTGTGTCTTACATGGCAGCAGGCAGGACAGAAAATGAGAGCCAAGCAAAAGGGGAAACCCCTCGTAAAACTATCAGATCTAGTGAGACTCAATCACTGCCATGAGAACAGTATGGGTGAAACTGCTCCCATGATTCAGTTATCTCCCACTGGGTCCCTCCCAACACCATGGGAATTATGGGAGCTACAATTCAAGATGAAATTTGGGTGGGGACACAGCCAAACCATATCAATAACCTCCAGGTTATTGATAGCAAACGCAGGTAATCTTTGAGCTGGGCTAAGAAATGAAGGTTATCAATAACCACCAGGTTCTTGATAGCAAATGCAGGTAATCTTTGAGCTGGGCTAAGAAATGAAGGTCGCTATCGATTTTTATCCTCAAAGGATCACTTTGGTAAATTTGGCACATACAAAAAAAAAATCACAAGTAAAAGAGCAGGTTGCTTTTCTGGTTAGTGTGTTTTGTTATTTTCCAATCCATTGTCAGTCCTTTCCTTGTGGATTTGTTAGCAGTGTGAAGAGGGCAGTGATCTGGGACTTGGGTTTATTGCTCTTCCCAAATCAATCTCGTTCTCCTCTGTAGTCAGCAGGTTAGTGATTTACTGGTATTTTTCTCTCCCACTCCATGGTTAGCTTGAAGTCCTCATATCAGAGCACCTGGTTTCTGGAAAGCTTGGTTCCTGTCCTCCGAGTGAATTCCATCTCTGCCCGTGTGTCCAACACTCTAGTAAAGTTAACCTGGAAGACACTCTGCAAGGCTGCCACTTCTGTCCTCAGATCCTGGTCTTATAAAGAGATTCTGACACATTTTACAGTGGAAAATATATTTATTCTAAAACTTCTGGTGTGTGTCTGGGGTATCAAAACTCTATTTTTGTTTGTTTTTTTCCAAACACCTTCAAAATTGAAGCAGACAAGTTGAGGGACTTAACAAATGTACCGTTTGATGTCTGTGGACAGAAAGTACAAAATGAATGCACTTTACAGTTGTGGTTATACAAGACATCTGAAATTTCTTACTATTCAACTTGACTTGGTGTGTTATACACAAATTAGAAACAAAACAGGCAATTTTCCAAGTGAAAATTCTGTTTAGCTAGTTTATAGCACATACTTTTTTTTGATTTTTGATTTTTAATACACATTTGCATACAAAGTATTTTCAAAATTGTATGGTTTCACTCTTCCAGAGTGTAATATTACAAAAACCAATCAGCTGCCAACAATTTGATACTGAAAATAAAACATTTGTGAAAAAAATGCATTCTTTAAATTGAATCAATTTACTTTTACAAAAATAGGAGTAGAGTTGTATCAAGAATACTTCATAATTTTTTTTTCATGTTCTGGCTCATTATTTAGTTCCATGGTTTATACTTAAACACTAAAATATATGTAGTTGAGTAACTTAAAAGGCACTTTAATTATACACTAACATACGAACAGGCACACTGATTATGTAGAAACCAGCTTATACATATGCAAATGAAAGGCTGGACCTTGCCCAGTTTGGAAAGATCATTTAGGAACACTCAGGACTTCCCTGGAAGGGAGATATCAGTGATTCAGGTATTGCTATTTCTGACTTAAGAGATAAAATGATAGTAACACATTGAACGATCGCTAGATACGAAATGACCCCTCCCAATCCATAAACTTTAAAAGATGTTATTTCTCCTTAAGTACAATGTTTTTTCTCCTTATATGATTTAATTGTTATGCATTTTGTGTGTTTAATCTTTAATTGATATAATTTAATTTTTATAAGTAGATTTATTTATCTTAGAAATATAAATTTGTATAAGTACATTTATCTTATAAATATATCTTTGTTATAAATACAAATTTTTATAAGTACATTTATTTATCTTATAAATAAATGTACTCTATTGATATCCCAGACACACACCAAAAGTTTATCTTATAAATAAATTGTACTTATAAAAATTAAATGATACAAATTATTTGAAGATTAAATATTATAAAATAGTAAAAGACATAAAAATATCATATTACATAATTCACTTGCCAAATATAACCATGAGTTTTGTTTTGGTGTGATCATATTTAATTTATCTTTATCATATGCCACATGGCGTGTGGTTCTTTTAATTTTTAAACACAACTTCGTATTTATTAACACGCAGATAATTGTAAACTACTTGGGCAGGGATTGTCATGAAACAGCAGGGCCGGCCCCATTCTGCTGCCATTTTCCACTGCCTAGGGTGGGACTTTCTGCCCCTTCGCCTGATCATCTCGTTCCCCTCTGGTCTCCACCTGACCTTGCTGTAGGGCTCCATCCTGACCCTCATGTTTGGGCGTTGCTATTCCTTCCCCTTCTGGGGTACAAGGTTTTGTTTTCATTCAGAATTCTCCGTCCATAAAGTTTCCCACCACCTCTGCCTCTAATTAGACTTACAATCTAATTTTAGATGGATACATTTTCAGTGCTTGTATCATTACGATAAATTATTACAAGTAAATGTTATTCACAATTGAGTCACATGATATGAAGTTAAATCATATAATATTCTATCTCCTTTTTCCCAAGCCTTTTTCTGTCCAGAGTCACCCAGTGAATGGAACAGAGTAGAAATAAATTTCAACTCTTTTTTAAATTAACAGTTCATGATATTAACATTTTGGAGTATTATTCTGTGAGTTTTAACACATGTATAGATGGGCATAACTACCAGCAAAACCAGGATGCAGAACAGCGCCACCACCCAAACAATTCCCCTTTGCTGTCCAATCTCCAGCCCAGTCCTGGTACCACTGACCCGTGCTCAGGTCCCACAGTTTTAACCTTCCCAGAATGTCGTAAAAACAGAACCATGCAGTACGTCACCCCTGGCTTCTCTCTTTCAGCAGAATGCTTTTAATTCTTTATATAAAAAATTTTAAGTTAACAAATAAAAATAGTACATATGGAGTAAAAATGATTATTTAAAATATGTATACGCCATGGAATAGCTAAATTGAGCTCATTAACATTTGCCTCAACCCACATAGTTGATTTTTTGTGGTGAGAAATTTCAAATGTACTCTTAGTGATTTTCAGGAACATAGTGCACTGTTATTAGCTGTAGTCACCATGTTATACAATAGGCCTCTTGAACTTTTGGGTTTGATCAGCTCCCAACTTTTGTCCTTTGCTTTCAAAGGCATGAAATTACTCCAAGAGATCCTTTGATGTGACATGTTTGCCTGCGCCACTTCCTTGGAGACATTTTCATCATTTTTGTCCCCGTGAGTGGCTTTGCTGTCCTGGAAATCCTCTGGCTGCAGGTCTATGACCCACCCCCTCCACAATGACTGCAGTCCGCCCCACTACCACCAACGACTGCAGTCCGCCCCACCGCCACCAACGACTGCAGTCCGCCCCACCACCAACGACTGCAGTCCGCCCCACCACCACCAACGACTGCAGTCCGCCCCACCGCCACCAACGACTGCAGTCCGTCCCACCACCACCAATGACTGCAGTGTTCACACCTCCAGGGTCTGTCTTTCTATTTTCTATAATTCCACTTACCTTGTTCAAATTGCACTTTCAATACGATCTTTTCATTTCACAAGCTATGTTTCTATCGTTTTAGGCCAATTTTCTCTTTCACTTATCTATTTTTGCAAAGCTTCACATACCTGTCCCTGGGAGTACCCTCCTATCTAACTAGAGTTGGTATCCTCTGACCTACACCTCCCCAAACTCCTGTCCCCAACCCTGGTAAACACCTTTGTCCCCAGCCCTGGTAATCACCACTGCCCCCCCAGCCCTGGTAACCGCCACCATCCCCATCCGTGGTAACCACCACCGGCCCCCCGCCCTGGTAACCACAACGGCCCCCAGACCCGATAACCACCACTGCCCCCAGCCCTGGTGATCACCACTGTCCCCAGACCTATTAACCACCACTGTACCCAGCCCTGGTAAACACCACTTTCCCCCAGCCCTAATAACCACCACCGTCGCCCAGCCCTAGAAACCTCCACTGCCCCCAGCCCTGGTAAACACCACTGTTCCCAGTCCTGGTAACCTCCATTCCATTCTCTCCAGCATGATGCTCTTGACACTCAACATCCATCCATGCTGCTGTGTGCATCAACAGTTTCTTTTTATTTTTTTGGCTGGTTAGTGTTGCACTGGGTATGTATTCATCTATTTAAGAAAATTTGTGTTGTTTCCAGTGTTTTGCAATTAGAAACAAAGATGCTATAAACATGTTTGTGAATATTGTTGTGAACATTTATTTAGGACAAATATCTAGGAGTGGTATGGATGGGTCACAAGGGAAGTACATGCTTGATTTTGTAAGAAACCACCCCACTGCTGGCCCGGGCGCGGTGGCTCACGCCTGTAATCCCAGCACTTTGGGAGGCTGAGGTGGGCAGATCACGAGGTCAGGAGATCGAGACCATCCTGGCTAACACATTGAAACCCCGTCTCTACTAAAAATACAAAAAAATTAGCCAGGCGTGGTGGCGGGTGCCTGTAGTCCCAGCTACTCGGGAGGCTGTGGCAGGAGAATGGCGTGAACCCGGGAGGCGGAGCTTGCAGTGAGCCGAGATCCCGCCACTGCACTCCAGCCTGGGTGACAGAGCGAGACTCCGTCTCAAAAAAAAAAAAGAAACCACCTTACTGCTTTGCAGAGTGACTGTGCCATTCTGCATTTCCACACGCGACTCTTGAGAGTTCCAAATTCTTCACATCCTCATCAACAGTGATGGTTCTTGCTTTACTTTGGCTACCGTGGCTTAATTAAATAGCACCAGTCCTCCAACGACATGGTTTCTATTTCACCTACCACGGTGTATTAATTGTGAGCATTCTAAAAAGGACAACTTTGCTCCGGAATCATCTGTCCACAAATCACTGGTGAATAACAGGTGGGCTTCGTGGTCAGCCTCCCATCACAGCGCATCTTGGGAACCTGTTGGTGACGGGTCCCTGCAGATCTCCCATTTGGTTCCCAGACAGCAGAGCATCTGGCCATGCTGGCTCCCTGTCTCCCAGGGGTACACACCTGAAGCTTTGCAAAAACAAATAAGAGAAAGAGAAAACTGGCCAAAAAAGTTACAAGTACAACTTTTGAAATGAAATAATATTCAAAGTGCAATTTCAATAGGAGGTAAGTGGAGTTACAGAAAATAGAAGGGCCAGCCACGGAGATGTGGCATTGCTGTCATCGGAAGCGTCACAGACTTGCAGGCAGAGGAGCCCTGGGACGGCAAGGTCACTGATGGGGACAAAAATAATGAACACATCTCCAAGGAAGGGGCACCAGCGAACACGTCACAGCAAGGACCTCTCAGAGAAATGGCATGTCACGGAAAGCAAACGATAAACGTTTGAGGCTGATCAAACCTAGAGCGGAGCTTGGCAATTCATCTCAGCATGGAAGAGAAGCCAGCTCTGTTTCGTAATTTTACAAAAAGAAGGGGCAAGTCCTGTTCAAAGTACTTTTAACACCCTTTTTACCAAGAAGCCAAACATTGTAGTTGTCAATGTCCTGTTTTAAATTGTAGTGTTCTGCATAAATATTAGCTTCGTTTTTTTCATGTTTTGATGCATTTAGTACCAACACCAATACAACACTAAGTTTTTAAGATTTTGAGAAAAAATATTTACAGGTCACTAAACAATCTTAATTTTCTCCGATGAGTAAGACTGCTTGGCTTAGTTCCAACTTGCACAGTCATTTTTTATGATCCTGTCTTATTAGGGAAGGTCAGACCTGCCTCTGCTTGCAAGTGCCAGATTTGATTTTTGGTGTTCTTTTAACTGTTGTCCTTCTAACAAGTGAGTAGTGTACCTCATTATGATTTTAGTTTGAATCTCTTAATGGCTAATATGGTAAGCACGTGTTCATGTGTTAATATGGTTTTCACAGGCTTATTTGCCAACTGTATATCTTCTTTGCTGAAGTGTCTGATTGATCTTTTTCTTATTGTTGAATTTTGAGTATTCTTTATATATTGTGGATATTCAAGTTCCTTGCCCGACATTGTAATTGTCAAGAACTACGAAGATATGCAAGCTTTTCTTCTTAACATGCTAACTAGTTAGCCTGCCAGTTGACAGATATTGGAAAGCAACTCATAAGTCAGAGACAAAGGACTTTTATTACAAAGGACTTTATTACTCACGACTCAGCAAGCAGCAAGAGCTTGTGTCCACGCCAGCTCCCTTGTTCCCCCAATCACACAGGGGTGATTACTGGGGTGTAGGTGGGTACTCATGCACAAGTGGGTTTGTGTCTGAGGAACTCCACCTTAACAAACTAGAATATTTTTTATAGTAGTAAGCTAGGAGACCCTCTCTTCCTCTCAGAGGAAGACATTGTTTTTATCATATTAGGAAGTAATCCTATCTGCCTTTTGCTCTGCAGGGAGCAATGTACTACATTCCAAAGCTGTTGGCTGAAAGGTACCTCTGCTTACAAGATATGCAGAATCGAGATCCATGACAGTCTCCCAACACTGTCAAACTTTAGAAAATTTTAATGCAGAGTTTAATTTGTCATTATTTTCTTTCTTATCATTTTATTTGTACAGTTGTCTAAAACTTTGTCATTTTATAAATCTTTTCAAAAATCAACTTTAAGTTACATTGATTTTTTCTAATAACTTTTTATTTTCAATTTCATTGATTTTTGCTCTTATCTGTATTCTTTGCTTTCTTCTGCTTGTTTTGGGTTTATTTCACTCACTTTGTGTAGTATCATAAGGTGGAAGCTTGTAGTATGGATTTGATAACTTCCTTTCGAATCTAGGCGTCCAATGATATAAAGTTCCCTTAAATCCCTGCTTTAGCTGCAAACCATTCTTTCTTTTAATTTTTTCCCACTTAGTTCAAAATATTTTACAATTTTTTCTCCACTTCAACCTATGAGTTATTTAGAAATACATTGTTTAATTTCCAAATATTTGTGTATTTTCTAGTTATCATTCTCATATTAATATCTAGTTTAATTTTACTATGATCAGAGAATACACTTGAAATAATTTCAATAATTTGTAGTTTGTGAAGGTTTGTTCTATGATCCAGAATATGATCTGTCCTGGTGAATGTTCTATGTGCATTTGGAAAGAACATGTGTTCTGCTGTTGGTGGTTGGAGTGTTCTACTAAAATCGAGTGGGTCCAGTTAGTTAATGGTGATTTTCTAGTATTCATCCTGATTTTCTGTCTACTTGTTCTATTGATTTCCGAGAAAGACCTATTAATGTCTCCAGTTGTAATTATGGACTTGTAATTCTCCTTGTATTCTAATTCTTCTTTAGCTCCATAAATGTTTACTTCATGTATTTGAGTCTCTTCTGTTAGGCACATACATATTTAGGATGGCTATATCTTCTTGGTGAACGGAGACTGCCACCACATTGTAAAATCTGCCTCTTTTCTTCTTTGTCCTGAAGTTTGCTTTTTCTGAAATTAATAGAGTAACCCCAGTTTTCTTCTGATACATGTTTGCATGGTGTATCTTCTTTTCATCCGTTTATTTTTATTACTAAAATAAATTATACTTTAAAGGTGGGTTTATTATAAACAGCGTGGAGTTAGATTATTAAAAATTCCAGATGTACTGAATTGTCAATATGACAATTTCTGTACATTTAGTTGATGTGTTTAGAACATTTCCATTTAATGTAAACATTGACATGTTTGCATCCAAGTCAATTATCATTTTTTATCTTTGTCCTCTCTACTTTTCATTCTTCTCTCCCTGTCTTTCTGCCTTCTTTTAAGTTTTTTGAATACGTTCAGTCTTTCATCTTATCTATTTAATTTTTGATAAAAATCTCTTTGAACACATTTTTTCAGCAAAGTTTCTCAACACTTATTAAGAAACTACCTAAGAAGGACAATATTTCAAGAAAGTTTGTTTAATTGGCTTACTGCTAATGAAAAATGGTTATATGAAAATTTTTATTTTGTTGAAAACAATTATTTTACTGAATAATAATTAAATTTAGTTGTCTATTATGTTTTCTAACTTTCAATGATATGATAAAAATATCATTGCATGTTTTTTGATTTGTTATTATGAACGTATATGCATAAAATAGACAATAATATGCCATTTTGTGGAAAAACTTGTTCTAATCTTAGATGTAAAACAATAAGCCTTTCCTTATTAAATAGGAGGTTAGCTGTAGGTTTTTCCCAGCTTCCCAAGTTGAGGTAATTCTCTTCTAGTCCGATCTCACTGAGGGCTCTTTTTAGCATGTTAGGTTTGGTCAAAACAAAATTGATGCAAAAAATCCTTTATTTCTGCATTGATTGATATAATTATGATCATATGACTTTTTTCTTTTGCCTCTTTTTATGGTGTGTTATGATAAAAATACTTTTATGATCAATTATTGATAATAATCAATTTATTGATTATTGAATATTCCACTAGCCTGGCATATCTGAAATAAAATCTATTTTGTCGTGTTACATAAGTTTTTCTTTTTCTTTTTGTCTTGCTGTTGAATTTAGCTTGCGAATATTTTGATGAGGAGTTTGCAGCTAAATTCATGACAGACAGCTATTGGTTTGTAGGAGGTTTTTTTGTACTGTATTTTTCTGGATTTGGCCTCAGTGTAATACCAGCTTCATAAAATGAGTTGGGAATTGTTCTCCCTTCTTGAATTTTTGGAACAGATTGTATTCCATATGTTACTTCTATAAGTGGTTGATAGAATTGTCCAGTGAAATCATCTGAGCCTGGGGATTTCTCTTCCAGGAGCTTTTAAAATATGAATTTAATTTCTTGAATAATGATTGGGCTGTTGTAGAGTGTCTCTCCGTCTGTAGTTTATGTCTGTGTATGTGGGTCACATGGAGAGTTCTGTGTATTTGGATCAGGTCCTGTTGGTTGGTCATGTTGTTCACGTCTTCTGTGTCCTGGATGCTGTCCTCGCCTGCCGTTCTCTCAGTTGCTGAGAGGGGCTTATTAAGTTCCCCAACTAAAACTGTGGATTTGTCTCTTTCTCCTTTCTAGTTCTACAGGTTTTAGCTTTATGTGTGTTTAGATTCTATTGTTTGGTGTATACAAAAAAGGACTGCTATGTCTTTGCAATGTCTTATGTAATTTCCCTTTCTCTGAAGTCTACTGTATCAGATCTTTATATACACACTCCTTTTTTTTAAAATTATCTTTTTCTATTATTTTCCTTCAATGTACTTATGTCGTTAAATTTTCAGTGAGTTTATTATAAACAGCATATTTTGGGGTCATGTTTTTTTGTACACTGTGCCAAATTCTGCTTTTGATTGGTGTATTTCAACCAGTTATATGTACAGTAATCATTTGTATTTTAGGGCTAAAGTCTGCCATATTGTGATATGTTATGTATTCCCCTGTTTCTCCTTTTTATGTTATTTTATTACATTTTTTCCTTTCTCCGGATTACGTGAATGCTATCTGGGGTTCCTAATTTACGGATTTATAGTGCTTGTGAGTTCATCTTCTCACTTAGCTTTCCCGGCGGTTTCTCTGGTATCCGTGTGTAGCTGTCCCAGCCTGCTGGCATCGACGTGCTGCCCTGAACTCGAGGCAGCTGCATCATTGCTGCTTGTCATTCTTCTGTCGGCTCACCACACGAGCCCAGCGTTTGTGCATCTCAGTGTTGGCATCAGCTGAATCTCTTTTTTCTTTCAAGTTGTGATTTTCTTGGTTCTTGGTGCAATGGAGCTTTTACGTGGTGTATTGGCTGCTTTTCATGGTGTCAGCTGACTCTGGGTCCTGGTTAACTTGTTTGGTGTAGCAGGAGACCCTCTGCCTTGGCTGGGTGCAGCTCCTGGCCTGCTCTGTGGACCGTGACTCTGTGTCTGGAAGCCTCACACTGATGCTTTGCTCTCCTTCGTTTTCCTCCTGCCACCGGGGCTTCCACACGTCAGGCCTGAGAGGGCCTCTGGAGCCTGCAGGCCCATGGGACATGATCAAACATACCATGTTGTCACAAGCCCCGAGCTATTGTCTAAGAAAGGGGAAGGCCTTGGCCATGGACACACCCTCAGCCCATCTCCACGGAGCAGTCACTCACACGTGTATCTCAAGCCTGGTCACTGTCAAGGCATCAGACCCTCCTGTAACCAGAAGCAGTTCTTACTCTTGCCAGAGACAGCAGCCTTGCCATTGATGTGAACTAATTTTCATTAAGTATTTAGTTATAAGAAATCATATTTATGGAAGTTACTATGAAAATCACACAATCCATTCACCCAAGCCCTGTCAGCCTCACTATGTATCTGTAACCTATCTGTATTTCTGCTTTGTACACAAATTTAAGAGTAAGGAGCAAGGCAAAAGAACTCATCCTACAAAATCCTGAAACTTTATAATAGTATTTTATTGTAATAATGGAAAGCTCACATTTATCACTCAATTTATAATATACTGTAAGCATATTATTTCCTGACACCTCCCTAAAACTTATGGGGTCATTATCATAATCACAATTTTATCAAAAAGAAAGTGAAGATTAAGTGGTTAAATACCAGTTATAGGGTTCTAGGTAAATTAGGAGTTTTAATCCTGGCTCTCTGAATCCAAACTCTGCATCTGTAACCACTATACTACACTGTGGAAACAAATTATTTTTCTTTTATTTCTTAAAATAATGTTTGTTCTCTCTACGACTAAAAATAATGTCTACACTTTAACCAAAACATAGTGTTACGATGCTTATTTATATAAATGATTTCACCACAAAAACGGCTAAAATAAACAAAAGGATGTTAAAATGTGTAAATCTAAAAGTATCCATTCTGAAACTATGGAATGACCCATCTTTGACAAATATCTTGTTCTGGGTAGAAATATTTATTACATAATTGGTTTGCAAATAGGCAACATCCTTTGAAATGGGGGAAACGAGACAGGTGTTTACTCCTGCTCTCTTCTCCCCTGACAGTGAGGCCTGGGCCGTGGAGAGCACCATCCAGGGACCCCCCGGGGCCCCAGACTTCTAGGAGCAGTATATGTAGATGGAGAGGGGGAAAAGAGACAGTGGAGGAGTAACACTAAGTGAGCGAAGTAAAAGTGGCAGAGAAAATCAGTTTTATGTAAAACACAATAAACATGCTTAGAAGAAACAAAAAGCAGTTCTATTGGCCTCAGAAGCAAAATGAGTTTTCCCCCTTCTTTTACTATTTTAACTTTCTTGTGGAGGTGCTGGCCAATGAAATCCTTTAAAAGTACTAAGGTCATAAATATTACTAAAAGAGAATCATTAGGTAATTTTTCAGATATTTTCAATAGAAAATCATCAGATACTTTTTCAAATATATGTAGAAGAAAATACTTGATTACCAGTAGGAAATCATATGTGTGTATGATGCCACACACAAACATATTTATATACATGAGTTCAGTAGTGATGGTGTCAAAAATGGACAGGCAATAAAAGTTATATACAAAAACAGACAGAAGGATAGTAAAGAGTCAGCATATAATATTACACAAAGAGATTATATAATTGTGTTTATGTAATACATATTGTATATACAGTATTACATAGGGAAAAACACGCACAAGTAAAAACCACCAGAAACATATTTTATATGGAAAAATGAACACAATTTTAAAGTATGTAAAATAAATATTGAATCAATAAAATGAATACCTTATTTTTGGCTAGGAAGGCTTAATGTGAAAAGGACCTCAGTTTTTAATTATTCCTATATGAATTAATATCCTTAACATCCTACCAAAGAAAATTCCAACTCATTCACAATGAATTAACTTAGAAACTTTATAAAACTGCTTCTGAAATTTTCCTGGAAGAAACGTGTTTGAAGAACCGGGAGATGCAATGTCTCTGACCCCTGGAAGAGCTGGCTGTGCACTGGCCCGCCACTGTGCCTTTCACTTTCCAGGTCAATCCGTCTTCAGGGAAATGCGGCCCTGTGGGGTAGCCACAGTTATTATGTCCACTGTAGGGACTAAGAAGTGGAAGTTATAAGGGTTAAGTAACTTGTCAAGGTCATGCAACTAGTAAGAGTCCAATCAGGAAGTTGAAGCCAAGTCCATGAATCCATTATGTTTCCTCAAGAAGGACAAAGGAAGGGCACATAAAGGGACAATGCTCACTTCCGGGTGTGAATGTTCATAGGAGGCTGATGTGATGATGGTGTGAATAATAATGATGATGGTGTCAGTAATGAAGACGGTGTGACAGTGTGGAGAAAGCAACGTGCTCAGATACAGGCTGAAGCAGAAAGAGAAACTTCCTAGATGAAATAATTGCATCTGAAATCATCAGGAAAAAATACTGGTCGATCAATGATGGTGTGAAACATAAAGCTGCAACTCTGCATCACTTTTCATACTAAAACACATTTGGTGTCAGAGAAGATTGTAATGTAAACAGCAATATATAAATCAGACAACCAAAAAGCTGTTGATATTAATAAACAGAGATCAACAATCTAATTTCATAGCATGTGAAAGTCAAATTTATAGATAATTCACAGAAGAAGAAATATAAATGACCAGCAAAGTATGAAAGACATTTGACTTCATTAGCAAATGATTACAAATTAAAATGACCTTGAAATTTTGTTTGCCCTTAGTTTTCCTAGAAGAAAAGACCCCCCGACCAAAAAAAAAAAAAAAAAAAAAAACATGATAACCTTTCCCATATTTGTCAGAATGGGAATGAACACTGATAGCTTCTGGATGATTTGACAAAACGTATTAAAATGATCAAAATTTAAAATAAGTTGACCTTCTTTAACATTCAAGTTTGACTCTGCTATGTCTAATGGAAAGAATTAGATAAGTCAAAAAAAGATATAAGCACAATGATGTTCATTACAACATTATTTATATTAGAGGAAATTGGAATCGACCTAAATGTTCATCAAAGGAAATCTGTTAAATAAATTAGAGGACATCCATAGTGCTCAGCTATTAAAAAGAATGATGTAAATCCACATTTGCTGACTTGGAAAAATGTCCATGAGCAAACAAAGCAGGTTGCAAAATGGTCTGCAATACACAGTCCCACAGTCACACTGGGTGTGAGAGAGAAACACTAAGAATAAAATCTCCCATGCATTGCCTTTAGCTTTTAACAATAAAGAAAATTAAACTTGAGTCTTACCAGTTGGCTCCTTTGATAATTATGAGCTCTGATACTTCCCTAATGCTGTCAGCCAAACCCTAGTGCTTTTGATGTAAGAAGTTTATTATATTTCTTTATCTTGGTAAGATGTATTGTTTTCATCTATTTTTAAAATATACATTTTATTCTTGTTTAAAATATGAAAGTAATATACTATTTAGTGCAATTCACTTGAAGTTGGCATAGTAACCAAAAACTACAGTCCAACTGTAAACAAATACTCTATTGATATGGAAATTACAACTTTAATACGTATCATGATAATTTATATAGACATGAAATTCTTTTCATAAAACCTACCGTTTTTCTGGTGGAATAATAAATGTGCATAACATGATGATAGCATTTGAAAAATTAAATATGTTCCCTGGGATGCAAATATTGTATGTGCTGGAGTGAAATGATAGCCTGAAAATCAAATCTTTACCGTGGGCCCAAGGTGGAGAAAAGACGTGGACTTAGGCCCTGACCATCCGTACTTTGCACACGTAGAGAGACAGCTGGGATGCATGTTTATAGCTTTGCTTGTGCAAACAGAGAAGCATGCCAGTCTTCTCATGCAGCAAATCTTATTTCCGATACAAATTTGAAAATCCGTGAAGCATGATAATATTCACTCTAGGATCTATGACCTCCCATAAAACACAAGGAGGATGAGGAGTGGGTTAAATGGATTCTAATGATGCCTGTGGACTCGTGCACTCCCGTAATGACTGGGGAAGATTTATACGCTCTCTCTAGGTATAATTAGACACCCACAAACCCGTCTGACCCTGCTGTGGTGAAGAGCCCTTCTGCTTTTTGTTTCAGCAGATGAATCAATACTCGCACGTTCTACCACTGTGGAGTGAAATTGAGGAAATGAAAATCTGATAATTTTGCTCCCAGTGCCGTCTAGACAGAGGAGAGCAGTGTTAGTCTTTGACAGGAAGATCTATTTCCAGTTTCTCAAAAGGCTAGTGTCAATTTTGAAACTTCTCTTGTTATTGATTTTCAGTTTTGTTAAAAAGGATGCTTTATTAGGAATATTAGTCCCAGCGACCGTGTAGGCTCATATCTAGTCCACCAGCAGGTGAACGCGCATTTTAATTTGGGGTCTGGGTGGGTTTGAATTGCAGATCCTTGTGTGCAGTTCTCGTCAGCCTGTCGCCCCATGTCGGCAGTCAGCTGCACTCCTACCTATTAAAGGGGAGAGCCAAAGTCGCCCTCTGTGTCTCCATGGATAGGCCTCGATTTTACCAATTCATTGAATTATACGTCTCTCCTAAATATCTTAGAATGCATTTGCTGACGTTTTGTAAATGTATATTTGCCTGACCACACACCGTTGACACTGGGGCTTGCAAGCTTTTAGATTTTAACATCGTCAAAACAAATTGTATTGAATCAGTGAAGATATTCCAAGCAAACACCACCAATGCTCTGTTGGCATTCACTAACAAGCCACGCCATCATACCTGCTCTGAAACGCTCTGTCTTCTGGGTCCCTCCGTGACCCCGCCACACATCCTAGACATCCCTTTTCCTGTGGTCTTTTTTGGCTCTCTGTGCCCCTTCCCCCAATACTTATTGGAATATTTACTTATTTTTGCCTCTTCCCTAAACTGTACATTCCTTGAGAGAAGAAGTGTTTTGATTCTTCTAAGTTCCCTGGACTTGGCAAAGTGCCCACTACAGAGTGGGAACTCGGGGCCATTAAGCAGGGGCAAAATGCCCTCCGCCCTCCACTGTGGTCTGAGCTGTTCAGCTTAAAGCATGTATCTGGGTTCTTACTGAATCATGTTTGTACTTTCTGTTCCTGAGAAATAAAATGTTTCAGGATCACATGAATTTTTAATAGCCAGTTAGACATCATTGTGGAGAAGAATTTTGTGTCTGGTATAATTTTGTATCATGGCCATTATGGAATAAAAAAAGATAATGATCCTCATACTATTAATACTGTAGACCACTGAAAGCGTAAAGCAAGATGTTTCTTTTCTCCATTTCTTTCATTTCACTTTTTAATAAGTGGTGAATTCTATGAACCAATTCCCCAGGGTCACGGGATCACCTAGAATGAGGTTTCACACAGAACATTGTGAGTGCACTTGAGAAGAAAGATTTATGCAAACCACCCTGCACTTCCTTCTGAAGGAGACACGATTTTGGTTTCTGCAGAAATTTGCATGAAATATGGACCACAAGAAAACTCCATTTGTGGCTTACAGTGGTACTTCTTGAAAGTGGAATTTTATTCCCCAGCGAATGAATGAAACCTCGGAAGCGCACTGCCTCCTTGCACAAAACCACTCAGGGCGGCGTCATCTCATTCATCTCTTGCCACCGGATCCACCGTAGACTGAACAACTTCTGGACACCATGAAAGCTGAAGGAGAAAATGGGTGTGGGATCCCCGGATCACTCCCATTTGCATCCACTTGAAATCAGAATCATGGTATGAAGCCTTTGCTAAAATGCAGTTACTGACAAGCTGTTGTGAGTTTTTGTTCATTAAAAACTCCAGACTTTGCCCCTTTAATCACTTCCATCGATTGACCTAACATGGTGGCTAGTGAAGATGCTTTCTCTGACGTCCTGAGGTGAACCAAAATCTAATCCGCATTTTTGTTTTCTTTTCTATTTTTCTATTCTGCTGCCTGCAACCACGTCCAAATCGCGGCGAAATCATTGTGCACATATCAGCTGTTGAAGGTGAGGACCTGGTGCCTGCACCCGACGTGGACTTGCTTCCTCACCTGTAAGCCATGGCGGTGCAGCAGGTGAAGCACTCCAGGGACACTTTCAATGGTGTGCCACGCCTCATTTTACAAAACAAGGATGTTCTTGCAATCTGTTTTCATTGCACCTTTTAAACATCAAAAGTTCTGATGAGCCCCGTGGTTAGGAAGTATATTTACTGCATGAGAGTCATGTTCTTTCAGCACATTGCTCTCTAGCAATTCAAAATACAATTTTATTATTGCTCTTGTCTTATTTCAGAATGAAAATCTTCCTTTCATGGCGGGGGTGGGGGGTCATCTCGAGGACATGTCTCACAAAGCAAGTGGAAAGATGGTAAGAAACTACTTGATTTATCTGAGGAAAAACCTGACTCACTTTTTAAAACTCCACAATACAATATTTTAATTTGGTACCAGACACTTTTTCCTCTATGGTCTGAGGTCCTAAAAGAATAAAAGGAGAATTACGGATTTGTGTGTGTGTTTGTGTGTATGTGTGTATCTGTGTGTGTATGTGTGTATGTGTGTGTGCATGTGTGTATACGTGTGTGCATTTGTGTGTATGTTTGCATACGTGTGTGTACGTGTGTGCACGTGTGCACATGTGTGTATGTGCGTGTGTGTGTGTGTGTGTGTGTTGGGGGTGGGGAATTCTCTTTCTTCCCCCCAAAGCCACTGAATTTAGACAATGGTGGGTGTTGGGGAAATGCTGTCCTGGTGTGGTGTAGGTTTTAACTTAGTTGAATCCTCATGCTTGCAGAATGTCTCCTAACCACAGTCTTCCATGAGATGATGCCAGCACTTAGCACAGAGACACAGGCAACCAGACCTGGACAAATGAAAATCACACTGGCGGGAGGCCAGTGTAAGTGACGACTGATGGAGAGAGATGGGTAGGTACCTTGTCATCCCAGTAACCCACTTGCAGATAGAATGACCTGTAGCAAGTCCTGGGACCTCTCCAGATAGAATGACCTGTAGCAAATCCTAGGACCTCACCAGCCTTTTTGGAAACAAAAGGTTTCCACTAAGTAAATCCTTCCCTTTCGCCTGTGGCTGGTCTTCTGAGGGCATGTCGTCTTTGCTACAGAAATGATGTAAAATGCAACATCCACTAACCTAGGACCAGATCGCTTTGTATATGACGAGCAGCATTTCTGTATTTAAAAATTTTCTTTAAAATGACTTCCAATTATAGGACATGTCTACCACTTCAGCCCCCTAAGTTCAACCAAAATTCCTGGACAGCCATGAAGGAGTTTATTTTTTAAATAGGTTTACACTCATCAGTGGTTGTGTTCAGTTACCATCCTAACAACAGTGGCTTCTGTTTTCAGCGCTTCATCTTAACCCTTTCTTGGAGCAACACGTATATTACCTTAAAAATAAAATATATTTCTTCTCAGATAGTTCAACTAAATGACTTTGGGATAAAAATATGGGTTATAGCCCAAAATGTTCTTTTTTTTTTTTTTTTTTTTTTTTTTTTTGAGACGGAGTCTCGCTCTGTCGCCCAGGCCGGACTGCGGACTGCAGTGGCGCAATCTCGGCTCACTGCAAGCTCCGCTTCCCGGGTTCACGCCATTCTCCTGCCTCAGCCTCCCGAGTAGCTGGGACTACAGGCGCCCGCCACCGCGCCCGGCTAATTTTTTGTATTTTTAGTAGAGACGGGGTTTCACCTTGTTAGCCAGGATGGTCTCGATCTCCTGACCTCATGATCCACCCGCCTCGGCCTCCCAAAGTGCTGGGATTACAGGCGTGAGCCACCGCGCCCGGCCTGTTCTTAAAGATGAATCATGTTCATACTAATAGTCCTGTTTTTGTGGGTTCCATTTACAAACACTTACTGTGGTTGCATATTCCCCACCAGGGCCCAGGACAATGGTGATTCCAAGGACGCCCCTGTTTTCCAGCAGACGGGTGGTTCAGGAACCAGAATATTCTTTGAGGAGAGCTTGACATGACAGACTATAATGGCTCAAACTACTATTGAATAAATAACATGCACTTTATAACATCCCTAATTATACAATTGCACAATAGTCCATAACAGCTCCTTACGGACTACGGAGTAAATACTAAGCATTTCTAGAAGTCCATAATTATGTAATTACTTGGTAGTCTATAATTAAGGACTATTGGATAAATATATAATTGGGCAGTTTTTAAAATCTATCATAAAGTACTTTAAAAAATGTGACTGCAATAAAAGAAGGAAAAAAGAGAAACTCAGTCTCAGAAAGCCATATTTGAATCTTTTATTTTTAATAGGTCTCACTAAATCTGAATCTAAGCAATTAATGCTGAAAAAATGTTTCCCATCTCCCTTCCTGTCTTTGTCTGTTTGTAGCAGTCCCTGTTTCCTGAGGCTTGAAAAACCCGAGGGCACCCTGGCCACACACTGTGGGAGCGCGGGAACAGGAGTGCGCTATCCAGCGCGCCACAATTTCTGGAGTCAGGTGAGAGAAGTGCATTGAGTTTGGGGTGGGTGGGGGGGTGGGGGGAGGACACCTCTGTCCTGCCCATTCCCCCAGCAGCCTTCCTGCCAGTTACCCAACATTACAATGAGCAGCCACGTAGCTCGGGAATGAAGAGAAAGTGACCAGCGTTTTTCTAAGCTTTCGGCCAGAATTTGAAAAAAGCACCGGGAATGGAATGTCTAAGGTGAGGGTTTCTGAAAAGACGGACGCCTCCACGGCGTTTGCTGCCCACACTGCGAGCTCTGAATGAGGGAGGAAACTGAGATGTATATGCGAGAGGAAACACCAAACTTGTGAAATTCAACCACCTTCTGTGGCTTCTCTTTAAATCCCCCAATTTTCATCCCCATTGTGTGACCACCCACTCCGCTGGACCTGCCTGGAAGCTCCTCTCCAGCCTGGTCTTCCTTCCTGCCTGCCTTTCTGTGATTTTGCCTTGAACACTCAGACGGAGAGACACGAGGTGGCCGGCACCTGGTGGAGGAGGGGACCTGGGCATGGCTGTCCGCGCTGCTACTGGGGTCTGAGCCTGAAGCTCAATGCAGGGGATCCAGGGGGCCGGGACAGCCTGGGTCAGTGACCAGCAGCTCGAGCGACACACGGGAATCACAGAGCAGTTACTTCAGGATGATTGCTGCTGGGTTTAGTTGTGCATATTTTAAACTCTTTGCTGAAAATCTCACACTCTTGGCTCCTGCTGACCTACCTGAAACTGCACTGACTGTGACCCACTTCCTTAATTACTCCAATGTGCCCAGCTACACAAATAGCTTCTCAGCCAGACCCTGAGCACTCATCTTGCGTGCTCTGTGCCGCCGGCGTCCCCCATCGCAAATCACCCCAGGGGGCTTGAACTTAGGATTCTGTCATGGCCCCGAATCCGCCGCAGCCGGAGGGGACGGAGTCGCCGTACTGGGCACCTCTCAGGAGGAGGGAGTCAGGTCACCTGGGTGGGCAGGTGACTCACAGCTGGGTCCTCAGTCAGCGGCTGTGTGGTCAGTCAGATGCCTGAGATACAATTTCTCCGTGTAAAAAGTTTAGGAAGAGCTTCTGGAACAGGACTGTAAAATCCAATCAATAGTAGATAAGAAGAAGGGTTTGTAAAAGAAAAAAAGGAGCAACAGCAGATAAGCGTCCAGTTAGAGCATATGTGCTCTCCTCCCTTCCCGGATGCATGGGAACCACTGTGTTCCCAACACGGGCACCTGGGCTCTTACTCAGCAGATTTGGGAAACTGGAAATTGGCATTGTAATAAGCACACAGGTTCTCCTGATGCACAGAAGCTCTGAAGGTGGCCAAAGTTCTTAAACAAGTGGCTTTCCTGAGAACTTATGAAAGAAAAAAACACATAAAATGTGAGAAACAGCTGGGCACAGTGGCTCACACCTGTAATCCCAGCACTTTGGGAGGCCAAGGCTGTTGGATCACCTGAGGTCAGTAGTTCGAGACCAGCCTGGCCAACATGATGGAACCCCGTCTCTACTAAAAATACAAAAATTAGCTGAGTGTGGTGGCACGCACCTGTAATCCCAGCTACTTGGGAGGCTGAGGCAGGGGAATCACTTTAACCCAGGAGACGGCAGTTGCAGTGTGCAGAGATCACACCATTGCATTCCAGCTTGGGTGACAGAGCGAGACTCTGTCTCAAAAAAAAAAAAAGTGAGAAAGACAAGTGTATGAAAATCTGTTAATGATAAGAAGTATCCACTTTTTATGCTCTTAGGAGAAATTAAAGAGGAAGAAACTAACATTTGTGACAGGCAGAAAGCGCTCTGCCTGACTGTGCTTGAGATAACTGGGGGGTGTGTCCTAGAAGAGCGGCTGCAGGTGTGTTAAGAAGTTTTTTTTTTTTTTTTGTAGTTCATACGTTCCCTCTTCCAGGTAGGAATCTGGAAGGCCTGATGAAGAGTATTATTTAGAAAATCCTTTGAATAATCTCATGAATCACTAAATATCTATTCAAGTATTTGTTCTACTCTCTTCCCGTCTTGTATTGATCTTTTTATTATATGACCAGGGAATCACTGTTCTCCATATACTGAAGAGTCCTGTAAGAAAAAGGACAGTGCCATCCCCAAGTCAGACATTTGTGTAAGTAAGTGTTCCCTCCAAAATCACAGTCAGGCAGAACATTAGACATGCTCTTGAAATCTCTGGTCTGAGGCTCCGTAAAGAAAGAGATCAACATTAATGACTCCACCCACAACCACTTTGTCATACCTGAAGAGCCCTTGGCTTTTTAAATTCTTTTTACAGGTGTCTTAGCTCAACAGATGCCGTATTAGGAACAAACATTATGGCTCCACTATCTAGATGAGGCTGCTGCGGCTGAAGGAGTTTCAGTGACCGTGCCAACCCACGCAGTGGCAGAGGTGAGACCAGAACCCACAGGGTGACCTGCCAGAGGAGGATGTGTCTGAGAGGGAGTAGGTGTCATTAGTCATTTCACTGAAGTCAGAGGTAAAACTGGGATTGCTAGGCAAGGTGGGACATGGGGGTAACGTAAATGTCCAGGGGCTCCGGCCTTGAGACCAGAGTGCCCCGGGTAGCACAGGGACCTGCAGGAGCTGCCTCATGACACGTAACTCCAGGATCAAGCAGCTGGGCTGAGAGGGACATTTGGGGGAGTATCGGAGAATGGGGAAAAGTGTCCAGTGTCTAAAATCTTCCCACAGCTTTGACTTAACACCTCAGTGGCCAAGCCAAAGTCAAAAAAGAAAAGAGAGAGAGAGAAAGAAAAGATGCAGAGTGCAAACTTGAAAAGCCATTTGTTTCTAGATGAATTTCCTGGGCTGCAGTAACAAGTTCCTACAAACAGGGTGGTAAAAACAACAGAAATGGGTTTTCTCCAGTTCTGGAAACCAGAGTCCAAGATCAAGCTGTTGGCAGCATTGGTTCCTCCCCAGGGCACTCGGGGGAGAACCGTTCCCTGCCTGTCTTCCAGCCTCTGGTCTCTGCCTGCAGGCGCTGGTGCTGCTCGGCTTGTAAACAGGTCATTCCCATCTCTCCCTCCGTCTTCACGTGGCCTTCTTCCTTCGGTGCCTCTGGGTCGCTGTGTCTAAACTATAAGGACATCAGTCACTGTATGAGGAACCACCCTAATCCATAGAACCTCATCATAACTTGGTTGCATCTGCAAAGACATTTTTTCAAGTAAGGCCACACTCACAGTTTGCAGGTGGGCATGTGTGCTTGGGAAACAACGCCCAATGCATTACAGTTTCCCAAGAAACAAATTCTATGTGATCCACAGCAGATTCCGGACTAGTTGCCAAGTCTTCTGGGCTTGAGTCTAATTCAGGGTGAACTCAAGATTCTGATTTAATCCAGAATCATTTAAGAACCCTTTTGTAGCAAAAAAAAAAAAAAAAAATTTAGAAAAAGATTAATTTCAATATCAGGGACAATAGTGGAATTTTCCTGACTAGGTAAATCTGAGACAATGGTGGGGTTTTCCTGACTAGGGTAAGGCTAAGGCCAAACCAACTCTTTAGAGCTTCCTCAATGAATTTCCTCTTGGCTGCATCACCTAGAGCCTCCCAGAACAGAGCCCCATTTGGGGATAGACTTCAACTCCACAACCTTTGGTGGGAATTCACTGTGTGACAAGGACCATGGTGCACTGCAAAACCAACTGGCTCTGTTGATGTGATGGTGACTGGTGGACGACAATACTATGACTTATAATTGACTCAAGGCAAAACATGTTAAGCCTTCTAACTTCCAGCAGTCTTCTGTCTGCTAGCCATTTTTAAACCAATGCTATTTTGATCCAGGAAAAACAAACGTTGTAATTATTCAAAGGATGGATATAAGCCCTTCAACTTGGGGATTGGTTGCTAGTGAAGTTGTTAGGGAATCCATCTAGACCACCCATAGCCTGCTCCCCATCTACAGTGAGTGCTACCTCTAGAGGCGTCCCTGGGTGAGACCTTCCCTTCAGCACCAGTTGTGTCGTTCGTGGTCCCCTGAACACCCCAATGCCAGGGATACTCCCAATTTACTTTATTACTCATTCATTCAACCCACAGATATTATCATTTCTGTGATCAGATGCATTGTATACATATTGCAAAATTTATGCTCAAAATTAATTTCTGGAGTTTTCCAAGCCCAACTCAGTTTAAAATTACCTCTCAGTTCTCTGAGAAATAATTAAGTGCAGCAAATTCTGTTCATACGGGAGAATTATTCTGGATTTAACAGGTAAATTTTACTTAGGTAAATTAAAAACTAAAGACAGATTTTTGTGCCAGTTGCGGTGGCTCACACCTGTAATCCCAGCACTTTGGGAGGCTGAGGTGGTTGGATCACCTGAGGTCAGGAGTTCGAGACCAGCCTGACCGACGTGATGAAACCCTGTCTCTACTAAAACTACAAAAATTAGCTGGCCGTGGTGGTGTGCACCTGTAATTCCAGCTACTAGGGAGGCTGAGGCATGAGAATTGCTTGAACCCGAGAGAGAGAGGTTGCAGTGAGCCGAGATTGTGCCACCGCACTCCAGTCTGGGCAACAAGAGCGAAACTCCATCTCAAAAAACAAAACAAAACAAAAAAACAAAAACTAAAGAAAGATTTTGATATTCATCAGGTAGAATGACAGAGAAAGCTATTGATCTCTGAACTACTCTAGAAGATACAGAAGATCCTTCACAGGTTTCTGCAAGCACCCACTTCATTGTCCCACCCAACTCCTTCTCTCCTGGCTTCCCCAACCCTTGGCAGCTGCTAATCCACTCCCATCTCTAAAGACTTGTAATTTTGAGGACGTTATACAAATAAAATTGTACAGCATGTTCTCTTTTGTGACTGGCTTTTTTCACTCAGTATAATGCCCTTGAGATCTGCCCAAGTTGTTGTAGGTATCCATAGTCCATTCATGTGGATTGTTGCGCACAATTTCATGGTATGGGTGTGTCACAATTTGTTAATTATTGACATTCGACTGCAGAAGGACACCTGGGTTGTTTCCAGCTTAGGCTTGTTATGCATAAGTCTTCTCTGAACAGTCATATATAGGTTTCTGTGTGAACACGTTTCCACTACTCTGGGATAGAAGCCCAGGACTGCAGAGCTGGGTCATATAGTGAGTGGCTCTATGTTTAGTTTTTTAAGAAACTTCCAATCTATTTTCTAGAGTGTGTGCAACATTTTGTATTCCCATCATCATGAAAACCAACTCCTGCTTGCTTCTCTGAATGCTTTTTAACACTTCCACAATTATTAGGTTGCTTCCGCCGTATTTATGCTGAGCTGTGTATATCTATTTCAACCAGCTAAACCCATAGAAAACTTACAATCCATTTTAATTGAGAAGGACAGTTTCTAAATGTGAAGAAAACACATATCTGGATATGTTTTTGTGAATAGCACACTTCAAAAATTTATATTTTTGAATATGAAAGAATATTTTTATTGTGAAAGAAGGCTATATTAGTCAGTAATGTACACTGAAAGCCTTTTTATCTTTCAAAATTGTGACTTGTTTGTAGGTAAAAATGACATGAATTACAATGGGTGACTAAAATATAAAATTAAAAATTCTTAATTTAAAACAAATGCATGTGTATTATTCTTTCAACCTTAGTTGTAGAGCTAATTTTTTTTTCTATTTTTAAGTACGGGATCAGTATGTTTATTTGCATAAATAACCCCATAGGGCATCATCTACAGTTCAGAAGTTGAGTTTACTTATGGTGGAATTAAAATATGAAGATGCTGGCAGAGCAATCACAGAGCAGGTTCTTCTAGGTTTTAATGCAAATTTGTAAGTCTTTTACAATTTTTAGCACACTCAATACTTTTTTAGTGAACCAATTAAAAATGCTCAGTTATCAAGTGTTTATAGAAGAATAAACTATGTTTTCGTAGATATAAAACACTTTTTTTACTCCTTTTTAAAGGTTTATATAATATTATTTCAATAAAACTTTCACTATTAAATCATGTAAATAACCGGCATAATGAATATTGGGGCTGAAAATACTAAATGTCACCCAGTCAGTCTGAAACCCCAGTGGTGGGGTCAAGTGTGCCTGGGAGTTGGGGTGGGCCCATGGCTGCTGATGCCAGCCTGCGTTTTGCGTGTCCAGACTAAAGTTTAGAGAAGGACTGGAGCATATTGGCTAATCGTGTAAGGCAGTTAAATGGAGATGCACGAAGGAGTTCATCTATCATGTGCTTTGAAAACAACAAAACATGATTCCACTGATACCTTTAAATATTTAAAAATCGCACAAAACACTTAGCTTTGCATAATTACAATAAAGGAAGTTAATCTTATTAACTATCTTTTCTTTCTTAATGTAAAACCATTCTCCAATATCTGTGATTTGCCAATAATTTTCTGAAGACAATGATTAAATTTTTATAAGGAGATAAAAACGTGTGAGGTATGTATGTGTGCGTGTGCAATTATGTTTCATACTTGATTCTATTTCTTTAGTATGTGAAGAAGATGATTTAGTCAATATTTACATGCTTTTCAGCAATACAGTAGAACTTCAATTGATTTTTTAAATATAAATTTAAATAATTAAGTTCATTTTGAAATGTAAGTTACAACATTTTTAAAAGAGGTGATGGTTTGTTCTCTGTTGGCTTTGTAACAAAGTGCAATCTAGTGTGGTTTCCAGCCTTGCTCTTGCTCGCAATGCCCCGTCCCCCTGCTGCCCGGGGTGCCTCTCTCAGCGCTCTCTCCTCTTGGTTCTTCTCAGCATCAAGAGCTCAGAGTTCAAATGTTAAATAACTGTATTACCACACTGCCACCACTCAACAGAAGCACCAGCATCCCAACAGGCATTCCCATTCAAAGAGCTTAGATCCAATTTCTTTTTCATTCCAATAAAACCGTTCTGTGTGTTATTTGGAGGCTCAGATCTGCCTCATGCTGCTTTTCCTCTTCCTCCGTTTTTGATCGCAGTGGCTGGGCCGTCGTTCATGCTGAATGTACAGGGAACTGTCATTTGCTAGCCGAGTCGCTCCTCATTGTCTCCCAGGACCGCGTAGATGATTTTATTCTTTACCACCTGTTTTCAAAGCAGCCAGGTACTTCAATGAAGACGTCCCATCAAAAATCATTTAAACAGAGAAAATATAGCTGGGTAATTGGCTACTTATTTATCTATATATATTTCTGTTCCTGTGTTCTTTTCTCATTCATCAAAGGATTTTAAGCAACATACAAAAATGTGAAAATTATAGGAATGTGAAAATGAGTGAGAAATTGAAAAGGAAGAGAAAAAACGTTAGGGAAGTTAAATGAAACCAAGGAAAAGATCAGTACCCAATACAAATGCCCTAAGATCCAGATCCAAATCCAATTTCATAATGCTTTTACTCTAAATGCCCTAGCAAAGTAAAGAACAAAATACGATAGTTAGGACATTACCAATATCCAAATGACAAAGACACATCCGTTGCTCTAGGGAAGGAAGTGTTCATGATGCTGAGACTAGAGAGAACCTTCCTCATGTATTCATTTAATATGTCCAGCTCTCTTCCGCTAATACAATAGTGTATTTGTTAAGGCTTATTTTTAAAAGCATCTCCTAAAATCTTATATGAAACCAGAAATATGGGGATCATTGGGCCTTTTAAAGGTCTCTTGAACATTTTTAAATATAAATAAATTCTGGCTTTAAAAAATAAAATAAGATAAAAGTTTAAAAAAATCTCCTAAAACAAACAAAAAACTATATTCCAACAACAACAAAATAAGAGGAGTTCCGTAAAGACAAAATATTTTAAAGTGTCAAATGCATGCAGTCTAGGCACGTGACTTTTGGCCATCTTGGATTGTTCTAAGAGGAAAATTGAGGATAATTTTCAGGAAATCAACAAAAATAATATTTTTTTCACCATTGATAAACAGCATTCTGCATTTTCTCAGTACAAAGGGGATAATATATGCTCAGAAAACAATCTAGGATCCTCTCCAAAAACAAGCAAATGAGAAATAAGAGGTTCCTATTTCTATATTTAGAGAAGACCTCAATAAGTTCAGTTCAGGAAAATATTAAGAAGATGCAGGTAATGTGCTTCCTTGACTTCAATATGCACATAGTCTCAGATTTTGAATAGTCTATAAGCAGGGGAAAACTTCATAGTGTCAGAAGAAACTTGTCTGCTTCTAGGCAAGGAAGTCAGTATGAAATAGTTTATAGTGTTCATTGCTCTTTGTAGCCTGGGGCCGACACTGTCTGTTCATCTGATTTTCACCCCATTTGTGTTATTTTCATTGGAAACACTACATGTGATTGAATTCTAAATCAGGTTTGAATCGCTAATTGTTGCTTAAAATGGCTTCAGAAATACTTCACGATGATGCATCCGTTAATAAAAAGACAGTGTGTATGAAGCAAACTGTTATTGTGAACGGGCAATGGTGAGAGAATTCTCTTAGGCATAATGTCTTTGGCTTCTTCTTTAGAAATGTATCATTGGACTGCAAAATACAGTCATCACTAGACTATTTGACTCCATCAAAGTAGAAACTGTGTCTGTTTTTATTCATTATTATAGCCTCAGAATTTTTAAATGTGCCAGACTCATAGGGGATGCCTAGGAATATATAGTTTTTATTTCCTGTAACAATTCAATCAAACACGTGCATTTTTTTGTTCCAAGTGTAGTATATAATTTCTATTCCCTCCTCCTGCTTTGATTTTTTTTTCAAACACCTGGGGTGTAGGTTTCAGTTAAAATGGAGGACAATAGGTGTCTACCCACAGGCCCACATAAACAGAGAGAGGATCAGTGATCTACTATTAACATTAGATCTCATTGCTACATTGTGTTGAAGAGCTGTTCTCCAGGGTTTGACACATAATGTTCATCTCAAGAGATAGTAATATCTCGCTAATCTAGTTCCTAATGCAGGAACGGTTTTCATAGATAATTATGTCTACCTCAGTATTAAACTTATTATCCCAAAATTATGTCCCAGTATTGGACTTCCAATCTTATGCTAGGCTCCTTTAGCCTTTAGTCTTGCTTAAAAATTTTTATAGTTACAACATTCTATTTTGAGCTGATGACAACTGAACTTCAATTGCACACAAAAACTCTACACTCTTCCTCCCACCCACACACATACTATTTCTTTGATGTCAGAGTTTACTTATTTTTATGTTGTGTATTCATTAGCCAATTTTTGAAGTTAAACTGATTTTTAATAATTTTGTCTTTTAATTTTATGCTGTGGTTAAAAGTGATTGACACACTATTATAGCATTCCATTTTTCTATATTTGTCTATGTATTTACCTCTACCAATGAGCTTTACACTTTCTGCTTTCATGTTGCTGTTGAGCATTCTTTTGCTTCAAAGTGATGATGCCCTTTAGAACCTCTTATAAGGTAGTTCTAGTCATAACAACATTCTTCAGTCTTTGTCTGGGAAAGTCTTTATCTCTCCTTCATTTGTAAAGGACAGTTTTTCCAGAGGTAGTATTCGTGGTTCGTAGTTTCTCTTTTAGCTCTCTGAATACTTTATCCCATTTTTTTTCTGGCCTGCTAGGTTTCTGCAGGAAATGCACTGATACTGCAATTAAGGCCCCTTTCTATGTGACAAGTCCCTTTTCTCTTGCTGATTTCAAAATGCTCTTTTATTTGACTTTGGATAATTTAGTTGTAACATGTCTTTGTATAACTCTCTTTAGATTCAATTTATTTGGGGTCTTTAAGGGTTTATAAATTTGGATGTCTATTTCCCTCCTCAGGTTTGAGAAGTTTTCGGTCGTTATTTCTTTACATAAGCTTTCCTTTCTTTTCTCTCTCTCTTCTCTTTCTAAAACTTATATTGTTTTCCTTGATAGTGTTCTGTAAGTTCTGTAAGTTTTCTTCATTCTTTTTATTCTTTCTTTCTTTTATTCCTCTGGCTGAGTAATTTCAACTAACTTGTCTTTGGGTTTGCTGATTATTTCTTCTGCTTGATCAAGTCTGCTATTGAAGCTCTCTTTTGAACTTTTTAGTTCAGACTTTGTGTTTCTCAGTTCCAGAATTTTTGGTTTGTTGTTTTTATAATTTATATCTCTTTGAAGAATTTTTAAAATTTTAAAAATTTTATTCATGTATTGTTTTTCTTATTGTATTTTATCTGCAATATCTTATATTCATTGAGATTCTTTAAGATGATTATTTTGGATTCTTCATCAGGTAGTTCATAGATTTCAATTTCTTTAGTATCAGTTACTGGAGTGCTATTTGGTTCATTTGATGGTGCCATGTTTCCTGGATTGTTTGTGATCTTTGGAGCCTTGTATTGGTGTCTGTGAATTTGAAGAAGTAGACACCTCTTTTAGTTTTTACAAACTGGCCCTGCCAGGGAAAGCCCTTCACTAGTCACTTAGTCTAGAGATTCAGGGTGGGCCAAGTGGTGGGACCTTTGGCAGAGCCTGCTGCTAAAATGTATGAGTGGGCAGGCCCAGCCCTTGGGTCTGCAGTGAGTCTGGATGCTCATTTACTCTTTCTTTTCACCATGGAAAAATTTTCATGCCAAAGGAATTACTCTCAGAGCTACACTAAGCAGTCTTGGGAGAGGAATGATGTGAGTAAAGTGAAACTGTTTTTATGCTCCTAATGCATTTTTTTTTTCCTATTTCTGAACTCCACCCAGGAACTATAAACTTCCAACTGGATTCCAGAATTCCTATGAAGAAGTTCTCATCCATACTTTGTTTTTAAATTGGTGTTTCTGTAGAGGGGATGAGGACAAGAACCTCTTTTTTTTTAATTATTATTATTATACTTTAAGCTTTAGGGTACATGTGCACAATGTGTAGGTTTGTTACATATGTATACATGTGCCATGTTGGTGTGCTGCACCCATTAACTCGTCATTTAGCATTAGGTATACCTCCTAATGCTATCCCTCCCCTCTCCCCCAACCCCACAACAGTCCCCAGTGTGTGATGTTCTGCTTCCTGTGTCCATATGTTCTCATTGTTCAATTCCCACCTATGAGTGAGAACATGCAGTGTTTGGTTTTTTTGTCTTTGCGATAGTTTGCTGAGAATGATGGTTTCCAGCTTCATCCATGTCCCCACAAAGGACATGAACTCATCATTTTTTCTGGCTGCATAGTATTCCATGATGTATATGTGCCACATTTTCTCTTATTTAATCACACTGCTGACATTGCTCTCCTCACAATTTTCAAAGACCAGAGTTTTGTTTTTTTTAACAAAAATTATTAAAATAACAAACATTGAACAAAACTAATTAGGAAAAATAAAATGGTAAAAATAAATAAGAAATATCAGAAACATAAAAGAAACAATACCCTAAATTAATCATTAAAACAATGAGAGAATATTTGAACAAATTTTATGTCAATACATTTAACAATTTAAATAAAGTTGACATGTAAACAAATCCAATTTATCAAAACAGACATGAGATAAAAATAGAAAATTTTCAGAGTTTTAGACCAATCAAATAAATAGTTTGTAATTTAAGACCGTCTCACAGAATCTCTAGCTCCAAATAGCTTCACTGTAAATTCTTATAAATATTTAGAAACATTTAATACCAATCTTACAAAATTCACTTCAGAGTATACAAATGTAAAAAATACTTTACAATTTGTTTTATGAAGCCAATACAAACTTGAAACCAAAATTGAATAAAGGGAAATTACAAGCCAAACTCTCTGTGAGCATAGACCCAATATCCTAAACAAAATATTAGCAAATCTACCTTATCAATAAATACAGAGTTTAATATATCATAATCAAGAGTTATATTTCATGAACACAAAGTTGGTTTAACATTGAAAATTCAGTCTATGTAATTTGCCACTTCAATGGAATAAAGGAAAACAAAAACACATGATCTCAGAATTATGAGAAAAATATTTCATAAAACTCAATACTGATTCATGGTAAATTCTCAGAAAACTAGAGTGTAGAAGGAAACTTTAAAAATCTTATTAAAAATATTGCCTACAGCTAAGAATGTGCTTAATAATTTTTTCCTTGAGTTTGGGAACAAGACAAAAATGTCTGCCATCAACCTGTGCAATCTTGTATAAGAGGACTTATTCTGTACAATAGGCATGAAAAAAGGATAGAAGGCATAATATTGGAAGAGACAGAAAAAAATCTATTAATTTCAGGCATAATTTTGTAAACAGAAAATATACAAATTACATATTGTACTTAATAATTTAAATTAAAGAGTTAACTGGATATAATTTTTATGTAAAATAGTTGAAATTTTATATAATGGAAACAAAACATTATATCCCAGAAATGGAAATTTCAAAAATACTTTTAAATAACATTAAAAATAAGTCAGTTATCTACAAACTATTTAACAAAAGAAGTCAAATACCTCTATACTAAAAACTGCAAAACATTGCTGAAAGAAATTAAATATCAGTGAAACAAATGGAGGTACATACTGTAACTTGGAAAATTCCACAGTGTTAAAGTGTTCATTTTCCTCAGAATGAGTCATCAATTTAATGTAATCTCACTAAAATCCTAGCATTTGTTTGATAATTGATAAGCTAATTATAAAATGTATATAAATGTAAAATTACAGGCCAGGAGTGGTGGCTCATACCTGTAATCCCAGCACTTTGGGAGGCTGAGGCAGGTGGATCACTTGAGGTCAGGAGTTTGAGACCAGCCTGGGCAACATGGTGAAACCCCGTCTCTACTAAAAATACAAAAATTACCCACGTGTGGTGGTGCACACTGGTAATCCCAGCTACATGAGAGACTGAGGTGGGAGAATCACTTGAACCTGGGAGGTGAAGATTCCACTGAGTTGAAATCATGCCACTGCACTCCAGCCTTGCTTGGAGAGCAAGACTCCATCTCAAAATAAATAAAAATAAATAAATAAATAAAATTTTATAAAAAGGAAAGGACCTATGTTAGAAAATATCATACTGGGGAAGAACAATGAAGTCAGAGGACTTATATTACCAAATATTAATATATAATAAAATTGCAGTAATTAAAACAGTGTGGTATTGACATAATTACGGAAAAGTAGACCAGAGTTACAAACTATAAATTCCGGAAAGTAACTTACACATTTATAGTAGTCTAATTTATAACAAAGATATTGGAGCAATTAGTAGAAAAGAGTACTCTTTTTAGTAAATGGTGCTAGGTCAATGTCTTTGTTTGTTTTCTTTTGTTTATAATAGATTATTTGAAACTTGGTGATTTATAAAGAAGAGGAATATGTGTCTTACATTTGTGGAAGCTGAGAAGCCCAAGGTCAAGGGGCCACATCTGGTGAGGGCCTTCTTGCTAGTGAGGTGGCTCTGGGTATCTACTTTTTTTTTTTCTTTTTTTTTTTTGAGGTGGAGCCTTGCTCTGTTTCCCAGGCTAGAGTGCAGTGGTGCGATCTCGGCTCACTGCAACCTCCACCTCCTGGGTTCAAGCGATTCTCCTTCCCCAGCCTCCTGAGTAGCTGGGATTACAGGTGACCGCCACCATGCCCAGCTAACTGTTGTATTTTTAGTAGAGACAGGGTTTCACCATCTTGGCCAGGCTGGTCTCTAGCTCATGACCTTGATCCACCTGCCTCAGCATTCCAAAGAGCTGGGATTACAGGTGTGAGCCACCGCACCCGGCTGGCTTGGGTGTTGTATGATGAGGGACTGAGTTTGCCAGCTCAGGTCTCTCTTTTGCTTCCTATAAAGCCGCTGCCCCCATTCTTATGATAACCCATTAATCCATGAATTGATGTCCCAATCACCCCTTAAGGGATCTACCTCTCATAACTGCTTCAGTGGGGATTAAATTTCAACATGAGCTTTGGAGGAGACAAATAGTCAAACCATAGCGTCAATTAGTTAGCTATCTATGTGAAAAAAACAAACCTTGACACCAACCTCATACCTATGTAAAACTTAAACCAAAAAAACATGATAAAACTAAAAGCAAATTTTAATCTATAAGTCTTCTAGAAGAAAACAGAAAAATATCTTCTCAACCCTGGGATGGGCAGAAATCACTTTATGACCGTATTTTAGACTTCATTACATTTTAAAATTTATGCATATTAAATTACACTATTTTGACAGTAAAATGGCAAGCTATACTCTAGAATATGTGTATGATGCTGTTATCTGGCAAAGGCCTTATTTCAGAATATGTAAAAAAAAAAAAGAACTCCTTCAAATTAAAAAAAAGGACAGATAACTTGCTTTTGAAAACAGTCAAAAAACTTGAGTAGTCAGTCTACAATAGGAGCTACCTAAATTAATAATTAGTGTATCATTACTCATTAGGGCACTTGCTCCCATGGTGAGCTATCACTCTAGTACCACTGGAATAGCTAAAATTAAATAGACTGGTGATATAGTGCTGGCAGGCATGCAGAATGGAACGCTCATATGGTACTGGTGAAACTTTAAGCTAGCACAGCTACTTTGGAAAGCTTTTGAATAATATCTACTAAATCTAAACGTATGTTTACTCCATGATCAAGTACTTCCTTAACTGGGCCAACCTGAACCGAATTAGATACTATATTCACCAAAAATCATGTACTCAAATGTTTATAGAAGCTTTGTTAATAATATTGCAACAGCACAGACAATTCAAATGCACGTTGACAATAATAGGGCTAAATAAATTGTAGTATAAGTGTACACTGAGTATATCACAACAGTAAGAAAAAACCAAAACAATAGATATAATTTAACATAGAAGAAGCCAGACATAAAAGTGTACACTCTGAATAATTCCATTTACATGATTTTCAGGGACTGGTAAAACAAATTTATGGCAACAGGGGCCATCATGGAAATCGGCCCACCCACATATGGCCCCTGTTACCATAGATTACACATGTGTGTAAACAGGGGCCATATGTGGGTGGGTATTAACCATGAGAAGGCAAGATGAAGCTTTTTGGGTGGTTAAAATGGTCTCTGCCTTGACTGAGGTAGTGTTGGAATAAAATATTTTGTGGATTTTTCATGTTCCTGCACATCTTCCTTACAGAGGAATGCCGCTCTTTGTTCTAGACTAGAGTTACAAGGATGTTTATGGAGTGAACAGGTTCTAAAACCAAAGATAATATCTCCCTCTGGAACAAACAGTAGGTATGCTTACTGTTCATTATGAAAGTTTCAGATCCGCTAAGATCAGAATTTCTCTCAACACAGCCCAGGTGTGTGCAGGTATCACCTGGCCCCTTCACATTGCCCAGGAAGAATTGGGGCTCAGCAGATCACATGCATGCAGATGCCCTGGATGGTGCTATCGCTGTGGGTAATAAAGTGTCCTTCATCTCTGACCCCAGAACGTTCTGCCAGTGTTCCTGGAACGGAGGCAGGCAAATCTGTGAGTCTGCACATGGGGTGGCATCCCAGACTCTCTGCAGTTCTCCACAGTGGTAGTTTCTGGCTGTATAAATATAGGCAATTAGAATTTGTGTCCTTTGTATAAACTGTACCTCAACAAAATTCAACTTTAAAACACTTAGATACCATCTCACACCAGTAAGAATGGCGATCATTAAAAAGTCAGGAAACAACAGGTGCTGGAGAGGATGTGGAGAAATAGGAACGGTTTTACACTGTTGGTGGGAGTGTAAACTAGTTCAACCATTGTGGAAGACAGTGTGATTCCTCAGGGATCTAAAACTAGAAATACCATTTGACCCAGCCATCCCATTACTGGGTATATACCCAAAGGATTATCAATCATGCTACTATAAAGACACATCCACACGTATGTTTATTGCAGCACTATTCACAATAGCAAAGACTTGGAACAAACCCAAATGTCCATCAATGATAGACTGGATTAAGAAAATGTGGCACATATACACCATGGAATACTATGCAGCCAGAAAAAAGGATGAGTTCATGTCCTTTGTAGGGACATGGACGAAGCTGGAAACCATCATTCTGAGCAAACTATTGCAAGGACAGAAAACCAAACGACGCATGTTCTCACTCATAAGTGGGAATTGAACGAGAACACATGGACACAGGAAGGGGAACATCACACACCAGGGCCTGTCATGGGGTGGGGGGAGCAGGGAGGGATAGCATTAGGAGATATACCTAATATAAATGATGAGTTAATGGGTGCAGCACAACAACATGGCACATGTATACATATGTAACAAACCTGCAAGTTGTGCACATGTACCCTAGAACCAGGTGGGAATTGAACAATGAGAACACTGGGACACAGGAAGGGGAATATCAGACACCAGGGCCTGTTGTGGAGTGGGGGGAGGGGATAGGGATAGCATTAGGAGATATACCTAATGTAAATGACAAGTTAATGGGTGCAGCACACCAACATGGCACATGTATACGTATGTAACAAACCTGCACATTGTGCACATGTACCCTAGAACTTAAAGTATAATAATAAAAAAACACAAAAAATAAATAAAAATAAAGCGTAATAAATTTAAAAAACAAAACAAAACAAAAACAGTTAGGGCCTCATTAAATCCCTCTCTCCTAGGAAATCTAGGCTCCTCATTCAAATGTGTAAACAAGATTCCCTAAGTAATTACGTGGTCTACATCTACCATTTGGGGGTCTGAGCACTGGTGGATGCTTTTCGCTGTTCTGGAGATTTTCTGGCTCTCTTATACACAGAGAACAAAATGAAATTAAATATACACGCACATATATCATGTATATATAATTATACATACATATGAATATATATACACAAAGGTTTTCATTTCTATATTTCTGAGGTTACATATATAAATATCTATGTGGGTGTATATATTCATATATATGTAGGTGTATATGTATAATTTTATATATATATTAATTGATTCAACTCCAAAGTCGTTACAAAATTCTGTTGTTTGTGCACTTTTCTATTTTAGAAGAAATGAATATATAATAACAAACATACTACTACTATACAGGTGGGGAAAATGTGAAACCTTGTTTATATAGATAGCTGAGTAAGCAATAGTATTATTTTCTCTTATTGTACATGTTATTCAGGAAATTAAGATCATGTTAACGTTTTCATAATATTAAAGTAATGATTTGAGAATCTAAGCCAAAGGGAAGGATTACTTTGGGGTTGCAATGGAGATAATGTTCCCTTTCTCTTTAGATCAGATTAAGGCAGCCGGCAATGAAAAAACTGAGATTGTTTGCAGGGAAATACAGCGTTAGAATTCCAGTTTCATAATTTGAAAGCTTGGCTTAAACAGATAAATGATTTTAAAGCTTTTAGGCTATGTTAAGTTTGTTGTCAAAATTGCAACATCCTTGCTGATATTCTTCAGAAATTTGAGTGAGCACAGCTCACTGATTTGCTCTTGTAATCATTAGCCACAAATTGTTTCTCACCATAAAAAACATAAATCAAATGTATTTCCTTTTTCATTTGGAAACATACTTGCGTGAATCCCTAGTAACATATTACAAAGCAAGAGCTCACAAAACATGCGGGGAGCATTTAAACTACGCTGAGCAGTGGAGCATTTGCTTTTTAAATGTCTTGAATAGCAAGATTCTTCCCAGCAGTATCACTGTGTCTGTAAGTTTCCTGTTTGATGTCAAAAACGTTTCCATTTCTATATATCTGCAAAAAAAGGTTTGCATTTCTGTATTTCTGAGATCAAAGGACACACTTTTATAGTTTCTTTCTTCCTTAGTTATATGTGATACTAATACAAATCATAGCAGCTGAAATAGGTGGTACATTTTACCTTTTTAAAGCAATTTTATAGCATCTCTTCTTTATTCATTAACTCCTTTTAAAGTTAACTGTAGATGAAAACAGGGTATTATTCCTCTTCTATAGACAGACACACTGAAGTTCATGAACCTTAAGCAACGTGGCCAAGGTCATGAAGCTGGTAAACCTCATCATCAGATCCATACCTCCTGCCTGCCCATGCCATTCCAGAAGGCCTCATTCTGAATCAGTCACTTGTCCTTCAGCTTCCAAAGCACAACTCTCTCTCTTAGTTTCTTTACCTTACAGTACTTTTTAAAATGTGTCCAGCATTTTATTAATGTTAAGTATATTTTTCAATTATACAAGTTTTATGTGAATGAATTTCCTTTGTAAGGCAGATAAATGTTGTAAGTGATGCTGAAATTCTCTTTAGTGACTATCACAATTAGCCATCACTGACCTGTGGGTGTCCTTCTAGACTGTTTTCAGTGTGGAAGCCTCAGGTGCTGCCTCAGCACTCAGGGGCCCTGGCTGCATGCCTGGGTACTGCCTCATCTCTATTTTCTGCCCGGCTGCATGCTACTGCCTGAATAAACAAGGAAGTGGCCTCTTACCCTGCACTTGAGCATTTCACAGCTTGAAAAATGGTGACATGAGTCCAAATGAAACTAAAATACTAGGCCAGGTAACATCTGGAATCATATGAATTTAAGATTGTCACACTCTGTCATTAGCTTTGTAAGTGTAGTCCTGAGCCCTAGTAAAATATCCAGCTATTGTTATCATCCTCATCATCATTAGTATTGGTTTAATAAGACATTTTCTGTATAATTCTGTGATTGCTTCAGTTTACTATGTAGTATTAGGAAAGGACAGTCAGCCACAAGAATTAGAAAATCCAAAATGAAAGAGTTTCATTTGTTTGTTTTAAGATAAGCAGATTTCTCTGCAACATAAAGCAGTCTTAAAGGAAAGCCCCTCGCGGATGGGGCAGCGTGGCTCCTGAGGACCCAGTGTTTTTAAAGGGTCTGGTGCTCCGCCGCTGTCAGCACATGGCTCTCTCCCCATGACCCATCCGGTTTTCTGTAATATAGACATGGTGAGTGCAGACTTAGTTCATCAGGAAGATGGTTGATTTTTTTTTCCTTATTGCTACCATGCATTCTTTTTTGCTTGAATCCTCAAATAATTATAATTTAGGAAAGCTAAGAGAAAGAGGAGAGAGAGAGATGAGAACGCTTAACAATCAGGAGGGTATAGTATTCAATCGAGAAGGTATAACCTTCAATAAGGAAGATATAGTGTTCAATCGGGAAGGGATAGTATTCAATCAATGAGGTATAATGTTAAATAGGGAAGGTATAGCGTTCAATCGGGAAGGTATAGAGTTCAATCGGGAAGGTATAGTGTTCAGTCAGGAAGGTATAGTGTTCAGTCAGGAAGGGATAGTGTCCAATCAGGAAGGGATAGTGTTCAATCCAGGAAGTATAGTGTTTGGTCCCTTCCTTTAATGGAGAAAAATAGACACTGCCTTGCTGGGTGTAGACCCCAGATGAGTAGATCAAGTGTGTTTACTCAGAGGTCATGGCAGGTAGAAGTGAGGAGAGCCAAGCTTCGACCAGAAGAGGACGGATGGAGAAGAACAAGGTCATCAGACCCCCAAAATGGATCGAGATGGTCCAATCATGTCAGTAAAGCCGGGAAGAGTAGATCTTACTGGAGCATGAAAAGGACAAGAAATGCAATGAATAGAGGAGCAGGAAAGAACGGGCCTGGCTGTATCCCCTAGCCGTCCCCAAACCACTGCAGTGTCCTGGTTCCATCCAGGTTTCCTCTGAGAATGGCCTCTTCCCCCTGCATGGATTGCATTGCAGGATAAACTCATGTACCTGCTTCCTGCTGTGAAGCTGAATGCATTAACTACCCCCTCCCCTTTTTACCAAGTGCAGTCAGAAGAAAGGCCCATTACTCAACCCAAGCAAACCGGCTGGTTTCTCCCAGGCCTTTGAGTCTTCAGAAAAGGTCTCGAGGAGGCGGGAGACTGGAGGGAGCTTGCTGACGGGGCACTCCTGATCTGAGACATTTTCTGTGCTTCCTGCCCTCGCATCCATCACTCAACCCTTCCCAAGTTGGGCTTCCATCCTATTGAAGTCTGCATGTCCCTAATAACTCCCCAAAATGACTTTTTGCTTAAATTAACCAAAGCTACTTCTGTTCCTTTCAACCGAGGAGTCCAGGCAGCACAGGCGTCTTTGAGGATGCCAAAAACATGAGATCTCTGCTCAGTGTGACTCGCCTGTCCCCCGGCGGCCTCTGCTCCCCTCAAGACCCCAGTCCCATTCCTTTCATCTCTGTAGGTTGTTCCCAAATACGGAACATGCTGCATGTCAGTATGGGATTAGAAATCAAAGGATAAAAGCTACTTATCTTAGGAAAATCCTACCTTGGTGCTATCCCTGCCACGGACAAACAAAGTATTTTAATGCAGAAATCTGGCCTTTAGCTGTGCTGTGTCTACTCCATCAGCTTGCTTTGAGGAGCATCACAGAACACAAATATGATCATATACAATTTGTCATTATTTTTATTTTTATTAATTTGGACATATTTATGAGGTCATTATAGTTGCATTCTAGGATTGTCTGCTAAACAGAAGATCATGGAGAAAATTCATTCTGGTTTAATGCTTGAAAGTGTGAAATGCCTTTTGAACAACGGTTCGTTCTATGTTGAGAAGCCTGTAAATCTTATCGCTGAACATATTTTTCCCCTCTATCTTGGTTGAATAGAAACCAAGAGAACAAAGTCCAATGTACCTTGATGAATTCCACCAGATATTTTGTTCTGGATTTGCAGGATAACCTTAACCCTCTTTATTTCTTTTGCTGTGTGCGCTTTTGTGTACTTGCCACATCCCCATCCTCCCTACCACCAGAGTTACCCGCGAACGCATGCCTGCCCTTGCCAGTTTCCTCCTGAGCTTCATGTTGATTCCACCCTAGTGTGGCTTGCATGGGTTGACAGATGCGATAGAGTCCAGAGCTTGCTCATGAGTGGGAGGGACAGCTGGGGAAAGACTGGTTCTTTGCCAGGCTGATTTTCCAACTTTCTCTGTATCATGCTGCACCAACTTTCATTCTCATGTCTTTCCTGGCTGTTTTCCCTGAGTTCAAATCTCCTCAAGCATCTTTGCCGAGTCCTCCTCTGTTCATGAAGGCTACTTCAGATCCCAGGGTTGTGTGACGGGTGCTGAGACGGGTGAATCCACAGTGACCCAGGGTTGTGTGATGGGTGCTGAGACGGGTGAATCCACAGTGACCTCTCCAATGGCTGATTGCTTGTGTCAGAGCGTCGCCTGCCACACAACGGACATTTTGCCATTAGGCACTGCCTTGTTTTTGTGAATTTATTTTTTATTTTTATATGCACTCTCTTGACTCCCTGAGCACATTGCATTTCTCACCTGTCAATCACAGTGTCTGGTGCAGTGCATGTGGTGGTTCAAGCTCACCTCTGGAATCAGGGTCATATTCCGGGCCCATCACTTCCAAGCTGTGTGAAATTGAGCAAATCATGTGACCTTCTAAATTGGGTGTCCTCATCTGCAAAGTAGTGATCATGGAAGCATTTCCCATTTGCGATCACTGTAAAGGCGCCATGGGGTAATCCATCCGAGGCACACAGGGCATGTGTGACGCAGTGAGCATGTCATCAGGGCGAGCTGCTGCCATCAGTCACTCTGTTGCAGGTCAGTACAGGAGCCCATGGCCACCGAGGGCATGAGAGCTCATCCCCTTCATGCACTGAGTCTTGCTCTAAGTCACATGAAGAGTTTGTGGCAGGCTGAGGTGAGAATTGTTTTCCATGTATTTCCCAATTCTCAAGCCAGTTTTTCTTTTACTATAAACAACATGAAGTTTGCCTTCATTCCTACAGCCAATCTGGGGGAAAGAAATATGTCATTCTTTTAAATTTTCCCTTGTGCTCTTGGAAAATGAACGTTTGGCTTGATTAAGCTCGAGGGCTTTTTTTTCAGGTTATGACAATTCAAGTTTTATGCCGCTCTTCTTGGTATGAAAGTTGCCAATGTTGCCTTTCTCTTATGGAACTCAAACTCTGTATGTGTCTCCACCCAAATTAGTAACTTGCTTGGATATTGATATAAAGTCAATTTATGAATCTCATTCATGCTTTTGTGGAAGTGAAGTTTCTTTCAAATCAAATGAAGTCTCCTTCTATTTCAGGCAGGATGATGAGTGTTTGAAAATTAAGAAATGCATAGATGGTAAGCAAAAGAGTCTCTCACCTTTCTCGGAGGGTCACCAAGTGTGTTGCTGGAAATGGGGAGATGGGACATGTATTTCATCTACTCATTGTTTACAAAGAGTTTATTTCTATCAAAAAGGGTACACCACATTCCCATAGTAGAAAACAACAAAATTGTAAGTATTGATATTTTGTTTTGGAAGACTAAAATATATTTTATCTTTTGGCATGATTCATTAAAATACCATGATAAATATTGAAAATATTAACATATTATCCATTTACCAATAGCTGCATTTGAATTGAAATAAAGAATCTTCAAAGTGATCTTAAGGTATGTTTAATGCACATGGAAACTTAAAGGTGCTTTCTTTTGCATTTTTATTTTGACACGTCTAGCTGTTACCATCCTGGGAAGAAGAGGCCTCTTATAGAAACTCTTTACAGCAAACAATAAGATCTGTTGTACTCCGTGTGCTTTTTTGGAGGAGGAACTGAAACTCCATGAGCCTCAGACATGGGCAGAGGTGTGCTCCTCCTCTAGGTCACAGCATCTGCATGGCTCAGATATCCATGTATTTTGACAGCAACCTCAAATGTACACTGGAATAAATTATTTTTAAAAAGTGTGGAAGGCATTGCAGATGTATATGTTTTAACAATTTCATATTGCTTATGAATTATCTTTTACAAATGTAGAATCTAAATAACAAAGCCTGGAAATTGAATAAAATGACTGAATTCACCATGGCGACAGGGTAATGTCCAAAATGGCAAACCTCCAGGCCTTTGAGTTAGAGCTTAGGTTCTCCTTCACTCACCCGGCGTGCCCAGGTGCACACAAGGAAAGGCAGCCACACGTTTCCCCATGGGACCGCATTCCGATAGGAGCTGGGAGGGATTCCTTTACTGTGAAGCCAGCCTCTGGCCAAATAGTTTTTCACAATCATATTTTAAGATAGGTTTGAAATATGACTGCTATCATTTCCCCACTGGTTTGCAGAAAGCAGCCCCTTCTTCCCACCTGCACTGTGGAAAGTAGTTGAACCTGAGGGGAGGGAGAAGGAGAAGAAAGGCTGCAATTTTCCTGGAGGTAAGCAGTCCAGCCGTTTATTTAATAAATTTATATGAGATTTTCCTCCCAAAGAACTAAAAAGAGGAGAACCAGCAGTAATCAAGATGTCTTAATTCCTTGACATAAACATACACACAGATTAATGAAGCTTGCAGAGATTCTTTATAAAGGAAAGATTGCTTATCGATCCATATCAAAATTTTCATGCTAATCCCAGTGAAGAGATAGAGTATCTGGTATCAGAGTTAATAATCTGATGGCTGAGCTGTCCGAGACAATTCCACCCAATGTGAACTCTAATCAGTCCACGTCGCCTCATTTCAGCGCGCCTGGCGTCTCCAGCCCCGTGTCCCCGCACCGCGGCACTACCTCGACAGTGATGGAAGATATGATGTAAACATGTTGACAAATTAAATTTTTACATTTCAGAGGCGATTTGCTGAGGACGCTTGTGTCTAGAATATGGGTCTGATTATAGGATTCCATAGGTGCCCCAGGATCAATTTCTTTGTTAGGTTTTGTCTTTTCTTTGACCTCAGACTTTGAGCTGCTGCTAATGGCAATTCGTTCTGTAACTTCAGAGGGTGGGAAAGAAAAAGGAAAAAAAAAATGTTTATGTGTTGAAGAATAGTGAGGTAGCCCCATTTCTTATTCACAGACTTTTTTTTTTTTTTTTTTTTTTTTTTTTGCCAGGGACAAAGCACTGCAATTAAAAAAAATGCCTAATATTATAAAATACTATACCTCACATATATGACATGCATTCATTAAAGGCTAAATGATTATTCCCAAAAGTTAAATGAAATAGAAAAATATCTTTCAGCTCATTTGTTTCACTATATGATTTCTTTCACCAGAAAGTGAAGAGCAAAACCTTCCTCAAATGAGCTCAGTTTTTGCTCTTCAATATTTTGAGAAGCTCCAAAGTTTAATTTGATGGTGTTTATTCTACTTAAGTGAACCATTAATGGGAGACTAATTCTGAATTTGTTCTGGGTGGTGCAATGATTAAATTCCATCAGTTCAAAACTGCAAATGCTGCCAATTAGGTATTATACCTTCCCTCATGCTCATGACTATCTGTAGTGAGTTTTTAATTGTCTTAGTTCTATTTTTAAACCAAAGGAATAAAGAAAAAAGTCTTTTCATGTAAAGAATAAAAATACAAATATGTGGAAAGACAGCTTAAAACCTGTGTGGAAAGTATTTACATCTTTGGCTTGATCTGCTGAATTTCCCCAAAGATTTTAAATAAAAGATTTGCCTGGTTTCCTGGGAGAATCAAAGGAGTGTGACCTTCCAGCTCCAAGTTACCAAAGGTCAAGTGAAAGGTCGCACTCCGTTTCTCAGGCTGCTCTCTTCCTGCTTCTATCCGCTGAGCTGCGATTCTGATAAACTACCTGAAAGTCAACAGTCTTCTTTGGTAAAATAGTAATAGCAATTAAAATGCATGTATTTTGTAATTATGCTTAAGTGTATTCTTTTTTTAGCACCAAGTCTCCTTGGCAACATTTCAAAAAGAGACTGTTTTTAATGAATCCATTTGTCCAAACAGTGGAACACCAATAAGTCATTTCTAGGTACCTGAATGGGAAAAATAACAAAACAAAGAACCAAAACAAAATAAAGAAGTATTTAATGATTCACTAGGTTCTGCTAATTTAAATTAAGAAAGACTGTTTAGAATGGTGACTACAAATTCTGGTATTCCATATTTTGACTCTGGCTTGAATGAATAAGAATTTATGCATTGCATTAAAATTTAACGTGTACTTGAGAAAGGAAAGATACAGAAAGTAAAAGAAGAAAAGGTGAAGTTAATCCTATTCTCTTTGTTGAAACTGAGAATTTCAGTAACTTTTGCAAATGCTTCTGATTATGTTGACATAGTTGTAGTACTTACCTAAGGTTGCCACAACAAACTGCCCCAAGCTGGGTGGCTTCAAACAACAGAACGTGACTCTCTCATAGTTCTGGAGCTGCAAGTCCAACACTGATGGTGTTGGCAGGGCCCTTCTCCCTCTGAGAGGTCTTGGGGAGGGTCCTTCTTTGTTTCTTCCACTTTCCGGTGGCTGCCAGCACCCCCTGATGTCCCTTGGCTTGCAGACTTACCCCTCCCATCTCTGCCTCGGTGGTCACGTGATCTTCTTCCCTTATTAAATGTCTCTGTATCCAAATTCCTCCAGTCATTGGATTAGGGCTCACCCTAACCTAGTAGGACCTCATTTTAAACTGACTACAGCTGTACACATTCGACTTCCAAACAAGGTCACTCACATGTTCTGGGGACATGGAGCTATATTTTGGACAGATGCAATTCAACCCATAAGAATAGTAATAAGATAATTTGTTCCAGGGTGTCTTGTCTCAAGTGTCATGATTCATACTGTCTCATACTTTATAAGGTAATCTGGGAGTTCTTTTTGTTTCTATACACACTTTTGAATGTCAATGTTTTGAGAGTTTGCAGAAACACCAAGAGAACCACTATTCTTGAGCAAAAGGATTCTACAATATACCACTTCAATGTCAAAAGATCAACAATTATTTCAATTGTTTCTTTACTTCCTGGAGAAAAGAACAAGTATTTGTTCCAACTTCTTATCAAATATTTGTTCCTACTTAAGACTACCTTAAAGTTGTGAATGTTGATTACTGACTGATCTTGTAAGTTTTCCATAATCTTGTGAGGAAAACATTCTGTGTTAAATGCCACACAGATTTTTTTCTATATCAATGTTAATATTATGGTTTATATAAGCAAAAGATTAAACACAGCTTTGGGGTTTTACGCACACTTCACATATGCAGCCTCTTGGAGTTCGTCCACCACAGATAAAATAAAAGAGAGTGTGATGACCTGCAGAGGATGGAAGGAGGGTAGGGGATGCGTCAGATGGGTCATGGCTAATTGTACCCTGCAGATGAGTGGAGTTAGGCTGGATAGCGGCATAGTGAAAATGGTTATGGAATTTAGGAAAATGGAATTACTTCTACTTTTATCTCAGAAAGTGAATTACTTGGAAACTGTTCTGTACGTTTGGTCTTCCCGGCTGTCTGAGTGTCCATATGTGTTAAGTTAGTTGTGGCTTGGTACTGGACCAGCAGTGATGTGCAGGTGAATATTCAACAATCAATTCACCTAGGAGGTGAGGGAAAGGCCCGATTTATAGTGTCTGCCAATTTCTGTGTGTGAATGCCCAGCCACGGCTGATTTCAAGCACCTGGTGTGAAGCCGCAGGGCAAATAGGAAGCGGTGTGTGCTAGCACACCATCATTTTTGCCACACAAATTCCATACACCAAAGCAGCCCGAAGGGCAGAGATAATAACAAAATGTCTAGGGAAAAGTAGAAAATGATGAGTTTTGAGTATTTGGCACACTTCGTTTTGATGTGGCTTAATTATAATCTTATATAATTTAATATTTAATAATGGCTGTGTTGAACTACCAGCCACAAGGCTCTTGAGAGTCCAATAATTGTCTTGACAATTTCAGAGTTTGCCAATTCCACAAATGTCCGGGGACAGGCCTCAGTACACCACACCTGCTCTTTCCATCCTTCCTGCTGTGTAGTCTGTCCCCAAGATCCTCATCTTCCCTGGCTGGATTAAAAGGAAGAAGTCCGTATACTGATAGTGTATTAGTCAGTTTTTATGCTGCTGATAAAGACATACCCAAGACTGGTAAGAAAAAGAGGTTTAATTTGGCTTAAAGTTCCACATGGCTGGGGAGGTCTCATACTCTTGGCAGAGGGTGAAAGGCACTTCTCACATGGCGGCAGCAAGAGAGAATGAGGACGAAGCCAAAGGGGAAACCTCTAATAAACCCATCAGCTCTCATGACTTATTCACTATCACAAGAATAGCATGGGAAAGACCAGTCCTCATGATTTAGTTACCTCCCCCTGGGTTTCTCTCACAACATGCGGGAGTTCTGGGAGATAAAATTCAAGTTGAGATTTGAATAGGGACACAGCCAAACCATATTAGATAATTACCATGTAAATCTTCATCCCGGACCCCTCTCCTGTTTACAGTGGCCAGTGGCCCCTGGGTCTTTGCCGGTATCTCAGAGACAGCGAGTTGAACCTGCCCAAAGCTCTACTCCTCATCTTCCCTTCCTTCCTAATATCCCCTCCTTGCCAGTTCCCTTCTCAACAGCGGTGCTTCAGCCATCTAGCGGTGCTCATCCCAAATCTTGGGGTCACTGTGTACATGCCTCCTTCATCACCCCTGTGCATGCAACACCAAATCTTGCCAATTTCACTTCCAATTTATTTAATTTTAGATGCCCAATCATATCTGTCTACAGCACCGCCAGTGAAAACCAAGCTTTTGCCCATTCCTGCCAGGGCCACCGCAACAGCTTTGGAAGCAGACTCTGCTTCCTCTCTTCTCCAAAGAGAAGCTGCTATTCTTCTAGTGATGGAGATGTGATCCCATCCCTCCCCAGCTGATGTGGTTTCACTGTGTCCCCATCCAAATCTCATCTTGAATTGTAGTTCCCATAATCCCCATGTGTGGTGGGAAGTAATTGGATCATGGGGGCAGATTTCCCCCATGCTATTCTCATGATAGTGATTGAGTTCTCATGAGATCTGATGGTTTTATAAAGGACTTCCCTCTTCGCTCACCTACCATTGTCCTCCTTCCTGCTGCCATGTGAAGAAGGACATGTTTGCTTCCCCTTCCACCATGATTATAAGTTTCCTGAGGCCTCCTCATCCCTGTGGAACTGTGAGTCAACGAAACCTCTTTCCTTCGTAAATTGCCCAGTCTTGGGCAGTTCTTTATAGCAGCATGAGAATGGATGCATACGCTGACCGACATCCTTTAGTGCATTTCTCATTTCAATCCCTGGATGGGGCCTCCATGCTCCTACAGAGCCCCATGCTGCTCTCCCAGCTGACTCGCCCTCCTCCTCCCCACTCCCTCAGTTCTCTCCACCTTGACTTTCTTGCCCAGGTCTCCTCCATCTCAGGGCCTTTAAATATTTTCTTTCTTTCTTTCTGTCAGCCTTTGTGATGATTTGAATATCTAGGATTTGAATATCCATTCATTCCAACGTAAAGTTCATACAGTGTTGGGCGTGTCTCTCGCTGCTAGCTGTGTGGTGGGCCGTGTGGGGTATGAAGCCTTGTAATGCCTGTACTGACTGATTGTGCCTGAGCTGCTGATTGTCCGACCTCCTTCTCTGTCCCACTACATGGATGAATACAGGTAAGCTGTGAACTTTGTAGTCTTCAGAACAAGCCCAATATATAATGAAATCTTCGCTGCTATCAAATGTGGTCTAAACATCTTAACTCTTCAATGAACACTGATGAGTTCTGTGATTAATATTCTTGAGAGCAACACTAGGACACTTGATGTAAGCTGGTTTTTTCTAAGAGTTTTCCACAATTCTTTGATATGCTAATAAGAATTGTGAAACTCCATAGTATTTGATCGGGCTACTCTTTTTTTAATAGACTATCTATCTTATGTATGTATGTATATAAATGAGTACTTGGGTCATCAACATCTCACAAAAAACATTGGGACATACTGATTCAGAGCATTTGATGAGCATATTCTGATCTTTACTAAAAGCACAAAATCGGCTGGTGGGACCAGATGGACGTGGACATACCTATTTATTAACTATCAATTGTTTAAATTATGTGCTCTGTAGCTATCATAGGATTGAAAATTTTTGATAATATCATCTGAATCAGTTATTACTGAGATAGGTATGTTGATTCTTAAAAGGAGAAAATATGCTTAAGATTACAGATGAAACATGGGCGCATTAAACGGTGTGAGGCAAAAGGAAGGTTTGCCTAAAAAGATACTGGTGAATATTGGAGGAACTTGCAAGGTCAGCTTTGAAGAAATAAACGAAAACCTACAGACTCAAAAGTCATACTTTCAACTCACGTATAGTTCATGTGGCATAGAAACTGTGAGCCCAGTAATTCAAATTAGATAGGTTTCACATACTTGCCACACACTAAAGGTTACATGTACAGGAGCACGTGAGTGTATGTGTGTGAGGGTGTGTCAGCCTGTAATATATGTGCACGTGCATGTATTTTGGAAGAGACACTGATTTATTTTTGGTTTTTAAGAGTTCACTGCATGCGAATTTCCCATTTAAAAGAGTCATCCGAGGAAGGCATTCTCATGCCAAACCTCAGAGCCTGAAGCAAACGACTGAGCGCGGTGCAGGAGAAACAGAGATTTCTAGTCTGCTCACTCTGTCCACAAGGGCCCGGTCTCTACTGAGAGCATGCAGGAGACACGGAGACTTCCCCTGCTCACTCTGTCCACAGGGGCCTGGCCTCTTATCTGGGCAAGTGGTGTCTACAAGCCACGGCCCTGCCATGTGCCTTTTGTTATGTTCATTGTATTCTGGACTGATTCAAACAGAAAAACAATATTTCTCTATGTTTACACATATCAAAACATCATGATATATACCTTAAATATATATTATAAAAATAAATGAATAAATAAGTAAAACCTAAAATTAAAAAACTTTGTATTTAAGGAGAAAAAGAGGAACCTGAGCTGCCACTTATTTTCTTCTTCCTTGTCATCATTGTTGTTTTGAACGCCAACAAAGAAAAATGGGCTGAAATCTGAATGAAAGATAATTTGGAAAGAATTTAAATGTTACAATAAATAGGAAACATGCTAAAACTCAAGATTATTTTTGGCAAACTCATAGCAGTTGGAATTTACACATTTTAAAAATGTTTTAATACTCTGCTTTGTATATCTGATTTCACATAGCATTCCATTCTTGCAAATGATTAATACAGAATAATTTTTTGGTAAATGAAGCAAGGGTTTCATAAACACCTTCTCATTTCCTTTTGCTATTTTTCCCCCTTTAGTTGCACATTACATCTGGTTCTCTTCTTCTTCTACAATCAAGTTATTCACAATGATTACATAGAAAATGTGTAACAAACACCATATCCTTTTGCATAACAGAGCAGGGGAAGGATGGGGCATAGAAGTCTTCAGTGCAGTTTGTTGATGAAAAAAAGCCAAACTCTGTAAAATATTTGAAGAGATATATTTTGAGCCAAATGACAGAACTGTGACCCATGATACAGCCCCAGGAGTTTCCGAAAAACTCCTGTGCCCAAAGTGGTTGGTTTGCAGCTTGATTTTACACATTTTAAGCGAGACAGACATCAGTGAATACTTGTAAGGTGTATATTGCTTTGGTCCAGAAAGGTGGGACAATTGGAAGTAGGGGGCAGGGAGAGTCCTTCCAGGTCATAGGTGGATTCAAAGATTTTCTGATTGGTAATTGGTTGAAAGAATTATTATCCAAAGACCTGGAATCAATAGGAAGGAGTGTCTGGGTTAAAATAAGGGGCAGTGGAGACCAAGGTTCTTATTATGTAGATGAAGTCTCACAGGTGGCCACCCTTAGAGGCAATGGATGGCAAATGTTTTCTGTTCAGAACCTTAAAAGGTGCTAGACTCTCAGCCAGTCTCTTCAGGATCAGAGAAAGACCTGGAATGGAAAGGAGATTCTCTACAGAATGTAAATTTCCCCAAGAGAAAGTGTTGCAGAGTCATTTAAAAATATGTCAAAAATATATTTTGGGGTACAATATTTGGATATGTCCAGAGTCTGCTCTCTGTCATGTGAGAGCATGACATACTAGAGTCAGGTGAGAATGTGGTGTCTTATATTGCTACAAATAGCCTGAGGGACTGGGGAAGGGCATGCTGGCCTGCCTGAACCAGGGAACCCACTCTTCCCCTGCCAGACTCTGACACTCTGGACCCGTAGTGGGAATGCAGCTCTGATCATCTCCAAATCACTGGTGGGGGGAGGACCTTCCTTCTTTATTTTGAATAATAATGCCTAGCTTGTTAAACTGGCTGATAAACTTGTGGTTCACACCCATACTAATGTCCTTATCAAAGTTATTTAGCCATACCATTAGTGTGCTTTTCTAATCATGCCTTTTCATTTTTTGCAATATGGATAGTCTGAGAATTATTAAAATCCTTAAGTTCTGGTTCCTTTTGCTTAATAATTTTATTTGCAAGTCACTTCTGTCTTCTTACATTTTATATAAGCTGTCAAGAGGAACAAAGCTTATCCGCTAAATATACAATTTCATCACTCAAAATCTCTGCCTTTCATAAAACTCTAGAACACACAATTCAGCCAAGTTCTCTGCCACTTGATGACAAAGATGGCCTTTCCTCCAGGTTCTAGTAACGTGTTCCTCATTTTCATCTGAGGACTCATCAAAATGGCCTTTACTGTTCATGTTTCTACCAACATTCTGTTCTTGTCTATTTAGATGTTCTCTAAGAAGATGGAAGGTTTTCTACAGTTCTCCTCTTTTTTTTTTCTGCAGTTTCACCAGACTTACCTTTAGGAGTCCATTCATGGCCTTCCAGGCTTTTTCTAACACGCATCTCAAAATGCTTCCAGCCTCTACCCATTACCACTGCAAAGCTGCTTCCACGTTTTTGGGTATTTGGTATAGCAGTACCTCTACTTCTTGGGATTTATTTCTGTCGTAGTCTTTGTGGGCTGCTGAATCCCATAGATTGAGTGGCTTATAAACAATAGACATGTATTTCTTACAGTCTGGAGGCAGAACGTCTAAAAGCAGAGTGCCACAATGGTCAGGTTCTGGTGACCATTGTGGGCTGCAGACAGCTGACTTTGTGTAGTATCCCTGCATGGTGGAAGGAGGGCTTACTGGCTCTCTGGGGTCCCATTTATAAAGGCTTGAATTCCATTAATGAAGGCTTCAACTTTATGACTTACCTTCCAAAGGCCCCTAATAGCATCTTCCTGATAACAACATATTGGGGTTTTTAATTTCAATGTATAAATTTTAAGGGAACACAAAAATCTAGTTCATAATAGATAGTTAATTTAATGTTATGTATATTTTATCACAATTAAAAATTTTGAAATAACTTTGCATAAAGCAGATAATTAACACTAAAATCTCTCCATCTACTTACACTCATATGCATATAAGTTCTCTCATAATAAAGTCTGGCCTTAACCCGGTTTAAATCTAGGGCAGTTGGGACAGGTAAGAGGCTTGCCATTGTGCTCTTTTGACACTGGCATTGTGTGAAGGTTGCTATAGCAAAGGCATCATAATTTAGGAAAGTCAAGGTTAAGTTCTTAGGTCAAAACCAAACCAAGAGTAAACCAACTGTCAAAGGTGCTTGAATCACAAGTTAAGAATCTTGAATCACAATATTCGAAGACTGATCCTACAGAGAGAACTCACATTTCTGATAAGGCACTGCTGTAAAGTGATAGGTAGCTGGATCTAACCACTATCGAATGCAGACCACAACCGGCATGGCAACTCTTCGTTGTTCAAAGATAAGGGCTTTATTTTCCAGAAAGAGACAACTGCAATGCCATACAGAGTTAATAAGCAAAGACCAAGAAATACAAAATCCTATCATAGTAGACGAATGGGTCCAAAACATGCAATTGTGTCACTTAAGGTTCATCTCATTGTGGGCTTTGTGAAATGCCTCTGCAGGTAGCTAGTGGACACATGACATCCAGCTGCACTGACGCTTGGGGTGAACTGTTAGCTGATGTCACTATAAGATTTAAATAATGATGGGGACATTTCTGGGCCCTAGAGCTGGCTGGTGCCTCTAGGACAGTAGCAGCAAACTTGGGAAATCTCACAGTGACATGGTACTCGTTTTCCTAATGCAATGCAAGAAAATGGTGGTGGTTGTTTTGGGGAGCCCTGGAGATGTGGGTATCCATTCTCTGCCAGAGTCATCTGCCTTCTCCTACCAAGCTTCCACCTGCCCTCCATGTTCCCCTGCACCCAGCACCCCTGCCCCAGAATGAGAGCCTTAGCCTCCCCATATTCCACAAAGGGCCTGAGAGGAATATAGGAGTCCGTTGCTGTTTATGTCATACAAAACTTCCCATTCCTACAGAGACCTACAGTATCTCTGATTGGTAACATGTAATCTGAAGGAAAAGATGAAAGGCACAACCCAGACGAGATCCTGTTTAAAACACACACACACACACACACACACACACACACACACACACACCCAGCACATTAGGGCATAAAAGAGAACGCAGGCATAGCAAATTTACTTCTTATGTTTACTCCTTACAACCAGTTCTTCCATTAGAAGGAGACTCCTGCAAGCATGAGTGCTCAGTGTGCAACTTTGGTAATTCTAAACAAATACAGCTTTGGTTGCAGAAAACGTTCTAAAAAATGAACAGGTTCAGGCACTCCCTTTACAAATCCTGACCTCTCATTTTTAAGCTTTTGCCATTTATTGATCCAATTGGATCTTTGTAAAATCACACTTTTGGACCCTTGACTTTATCTTTGTTTTTCTCAGATCTAACTAATTTCACATGAGAAAAGAAATTGTGACATCATCCCATCACTGCTCAGACATGAAACTTTCACTCCCAGCATGGACAATGTTTCCCTTTAAGGAAAACAGGACCCTTGACTTCGCTGGGCGCTGCTGATGGAAGAGGTTCGTTCAAGCAACCCTGGACAGCATCTTCCATATGGGAAGCACCTCCTTGACGAAAATGAGAGATGAATATGACTGCAAACCCATGCATTCCGGTCTTTGTTGTGTAAATAAACATACTTCTCAATCTCAACTGTTTGCCATTAAAAGGGAGGTTCTTAATTTAGTACCATGTTTTTAAAATTCTTACCCACACAGACTCATTTTCTCTGTGTTTCTGTCTGTCTCTTCCTTTGCTATATTTTGCACTGCAAGTGCTAAACTAAAGAAATTGAGAAATAGGGTAAACACTGATAAACGTTTAAACATTTAAACACAGACACGTACAATGCTGCTCTCATTCCCCTCATCGTGGGCCCTCATCTTCCTGTGGTCCTGGCAGGAGGAGAGACATGCGTGTAAAGGGGGGATGTTGAAGCAAGTTCGTGTTACCCCACCTGTGAGCGCCTGCGCTTCAACACAGCACAGCTGTGGAACCCGGGAAAAACATGTACACTCTACCCGCAAGAACCAAACCCTTTGAACTCATTAGAAACAGATCTACCACTAGTAAGCAACTGATTATCAGACATGTTACTGACCCATTGTATAACAACCTTGGAAGCAGGCTCGCTGCAGCTGGAAAATTTAAAGCAGCTTAGAATCAAAGACAATTCAGATGACGGCAGATTGAACAACAAAGCCCTCCTAGGCGTTTGCCAGCCTCTCCATTACTGTTTCCATTCACCCTTTTCTTTTTGTGGATTGTTATTTTCTAAGATTGATTCACTGCTTATGCATTTGCAAAACATCTTTACAGCACTCTCTATAAAAATAATTTTGAAAATGTATTTCTGTTAGCTGCACGTCTATTAGTAAAAACATCTCCAAATGACTGACTTAATTCACTAATCTTTTAATGTTCACCACATTTTACTAAAATTTCAATCTGTGAATTATGAGTTTTGAAAGATATTAAAGAAGAAATGTGCTGAAAATATCGTGTGATGGTTTTACCTATGATGTGTGTGGATAGCAACTGCCGTTTGCAGATATTTAAACAGTCATGATTTTCTGCTGGTGTTTCTAGTAGCCCACAAATGAACATTTACTCTCACCTTTGTGAACTCTGTCCTATAAATCTCTCCACTTTGAAAGGACTCCCTGTCTCTTCTTTTGTGTCTTTTAAAACCAAATCCATTTAATTTCTTGTGAAGGTTTCTTGAGTATATTTTCCACATGAACTCCAAACCCCTTGAATTATGACAATTGAAGACTGATTCAATGCTTTTTTGAATCCCCAGGACCCTGGAAACTTTGGCCTCCGCAGGTGCCTGTAAGTGAGCTGTTTCTTGGGAGTGTGCAGAGGCTGCCTTCTCCTGTCTTGATCTCAGTCCCCATCTCCTTTCCCAAATCTCAAGATTCACTCTGTGACATGGTTAGGCTTTGTGTCCCCACCCAAATCTCATCTTGAATTGTAATCCCCATAGTCCCCACGTGTCAAGGGATAGACCAGGTGGAGGTCATTGAATCATGGGGGCGGTTTCCCCGGTGCTGTTCTCCTAAGAGTGAGTGAGTTCCCATGAGAGCTGATTGGTTTTATAAGGGGCTCTTCCTCCTTTGCTCAGCACTTCTCTTTCCTGCTGCTTGTGAAGAAGATGCCTTGCTTCCCCTTTGCCTTCCACCATGATTGTAAGTTTCCTGAGTCATCCCAGCCATGCTGAATTGTGAGTAAATTAAACATCTTTCCTTTATAAATTACTAGTCTATGGCAGTCAGTCCTTTTTTTTTTTTTTTTTGGAGACAGAGTCTCACTTTGTTGCTCGGGCTGGAGTACAGTGGCATGATCTCTACCTCCCAGATTCAAGCAATTCTCCTCCCTCAGCCCACCTAGTACCTGGGATTATAGGCACGAGCCACAACGATCAGCAAATTTGTGAATTTTTAGTAGAGATGGGGTTTCACCATGTTGGCCAGGCTGGTCTTGAACTCCTGATCTCAGGTGATCCACCCACCCTGGCCTCCCAAAGTGCTGGGATTACAGGCATGAACCACCACACCCAGCACGGGCAGTTCTTTATAGCATTATGAACATGGACTAATGCACTGTGCAAATAGCTTTTCAACACAGCACTTTTGGAGAATGCAGATCAGCTATGTTCTTGCCAATTCAAGCCCAGCTCCTACAGGAGCCTTCTGGAGCAGGCACGCTGAGTTCCTTTGATCTCCAGGAATGAAGATGACAAAGAGGGTCACAGACACAACTGGGAATGTTTACTTTCTTTCTTTCATATTGCAAGTGTCCACAGTGTCACCACTCACTAAGAACCGATCTCTCTCTCAAAACAAAATCTGGAGAGCACGCATGTGAAGGTCGGTTTTGTTTACCATCCCACTTCTGCTTCACTCCAACCTTTGAATCCAGAGCCACAGCCTAGGACGGTGGGGCTCTAACAGGTTGTCTTCTCTCTGCCCTGAGTCCTTCCATCAGTTGCTCTTTGTCGACCCTGCCTTACTTCACCAGCTTGCCGCATCTTAACTGCGGGTGAGACTCAACCAGAGACCCAGACTAGCGCCCGCTGTACAAGTATTGATTATGAAACAAGATGTGTGCATTAACACTCATAGTATCTGCTAGATAGCCCTCAGGGGCTCAATCATTGATTATATATTATATATGTAATGTTCTATATTAGAAATGGAAATAGATATATAACACACTATATAGAATTGAATATAAGAACTGGTATATAACAATTGCTATAATTGTAAAAATGTATACATAGCATGATATAGCGTATGTGTGTATGTACATATATAACGATGTAGATACGTATACACACAGATATGAACGATATTATGTTTATACATCTCTGTGGCGGGCAGGGGGTCTCATGATTCAAAAGCCTAGGTTGTCTTGGCTTTAGGAACTCTGCAAGATGTCAAATAATGTCCTCAAGGCATTTTCTGAGAGTAGAGCCAAGCTTGTCTTATCAGAATACTCTCTCCCCTCAGCTAGAGCCATGGCAAGGTGAGTGTGGGATCTGTGGGACCAGGATCTGCAATGAGATTCCAACACCTGAAGCATGCAGTTCCCATCTTCTGAGACGGGGATGCATGCCGGAGACACAGGTGAAGGCGCGGGCCGAGGGGGTGGAGTCTCACACATGCCAAGTGGGATGTGTCTCGCAGACACCCAGGCCTCAAGCCAAGGAGACACGTGGGTCTTGCTGTATTGCCCAGGCCGGAGTGCAGTGGTGTGATCCCAGCTTACTGCAGCTTCGAACTCCTAGACTCAAGTGATCCTCTCGCCTCAGCCTCTTGAGTAGCTGGGACTTCAGGCACACCCCTCCATGCCATGCTAAGTTTTAAAATCTTTGTAGAGATAGGGTCTCACCATGTTGCCCAGGCTGGTTGTGAATTCTAGGCTCAAGTGATCCTCCCACCTTGGCCTCCCAAAGTACTGAGATTACAGGCATGAGCCACCACACCTGCCCACTAATGCAGTTTCTCTACATCCTTGCCAGAATTTGATGTTGTCACAATTTTTTTCGTTTTAGCCATTTTATGTGGTGATGTCTCATTGTGCTTTAATTTGCACCTCCCAAATGGCTAACAATGATGAATAGAATATCTATAATGATCATAAACATGCTTTTTTGCTAGCTGTGCAGTATATTTTCATGGCGAAAGGTCTGCTCATGTCTTCTGTGCATTTTCTGCCTGGATTTTTCTTTTATTCTGTTGGGTTTGGGAAGTTCTTTTTATATAACTAAAATAACAGTCATTTGTCAGATTTGTGGTTTGCAATATTTTCTCTCAGGTCCTATTTTCTCCCAACTTGTAACTTGCATTTTCATTATCTTACAATATTCTTTCAGAGAACAAGGTTTACATTTTTGAGGTCCAACTTATCATTTTTAAATACATCTTGCCTTGGTGTTAGCACCTAAGAAAACAGAGCAGAAAAGTTTGGAATCCATCTTTACCTAAGCCTAGATCCAGAGGTTCTCAGCTATGATTTTTCCTCAACTTTTAATAGTTTTATATTTCACCTTTAAGTCCAGGATCCATTGTGAGTTAACTGTTGTATGAGGTATAATAAAGCTAGGTGAAAGTGGCTGATTGTTTGTTTTGCCTATGGATAACCTGTTGCTCCAGCACCATTTGTTGAAAAGCGAATCTTTTTTCTAATGAATTGCTTGTGCACCTTGTGAAAAATCAGTTGCATGTATTTGTGTGTGTTTGTTCTGGCTTCTGTGTTCTGGTCCATTGACCTGCTCTCCACCCCTCTGTCAGTACCACGCTGTCTTTATCACAGCAGATGCACAGTAAGCCACAAGGAACGGTATTTCTCCAACCTTATTCTCCTTTTTCGAGATCATTTTAGTTATTCCTTGGCCTGTGCTTATTCATAAAATATTTAGAATAAGTATATCTATTTTAGAATATTCCTTGCTGGAATTTTGAAAGGGATTACATGAACTATGTATCAGTTTGAGGAGACGATCATTTCTTAGTAATTCAATTATTTGGCACAATCGTAGAAGATACTGTGTTTTGTATGTTGGTTTCTGCATGTCTTTGTTAGTGTATAGGACTACTAGTGGTTTTTATGGATTGATCTTCCATTTTGCAAACTCGATGAACTCACTTATTAGAGCTGGGGGTTTGTAGAGTGCTTGAAATTTTCTACATAGGCCAACTTATCTGCAAATGCAGACAGTTATATTGTTCTTTCTACATCTGTGTGCCTTTTCTTTGTCTTGCCTTATTGCAGTAGCTACACCTTCCAGTACTATTTGAAAAAGAATGTTCATTGTATCTATTCTTTCCTTGTTTCCAATCTTAGGGAGAAAACATTCATGATTTTGCCGTTAAGCATGATGTTAGCTGTAGATTTTGCTTTTATTTTGTTTTCTTGTTTTCTTTACTTTTAAATGAACTTTGTCTTTTAGAACAATTTTGGATTTGCAGAAACCTTATGAAGATAGTACAAAGACTTCCTGTGTATACCTCTCACAGTTTTCCCTATGATTGACATCTTACATGATTGCGTGACATGTGTTACAAATAAGAAACTCATATTGATACACGTTTATTAAACAAAGTTCACACTTTATTCCAATTTCTTTAGTTTCCCCCGATGTCCTATTTCTGACTGAGGAGCCTGTCCAGGACACCATGTGGCATCCAATCCTCAGGCCTCCCTGGGATCCTCCTGGCTGTGACAACTTCTCAGACCCTCCCTGTTTATGCTGACCTCACAGTCTTGAGGAGCACTCTCTTGGTATTTTGTAGAATGTCCCTCACTTTGGATTCGTCTGATGATTTTCTTACAATTAGACTGGGCTTGTGGTGTTTGGGGGAGAAGACCACATACATGAATGCTGTTCATATCACATCACGCCAAGGGCACTTTCCAGCCACGTAAGCGGTCAATGATGCTGCTGACCTCAGTGCCCTGCTGGGGCAACGCCTGTCAGGTGTCTCCATGGGAAAGTTATTTTTTTAAGCCTTCTCCATATCATTCTTTTCAGAAGGGATTTCTCCATGCACAGCCCACTCTTAAGGAATGGGAAGTTAATGCTCCAATTTTGAGGACAGAATGTAATATCTGCATAAACTATTGGAATTCCCGTACACGGAAGATTTGCATTTTCTCCCCCCACCATTTACTTATTTTCTCAGTTTTTATGTCAGCTTTGGACGGGTGGACACTTATTTGGTGATCTGTGTTATCATGCAGTGCTTACGTTCTTCATGCCTTGGCTGACAGGGCTCTACCCTTGGCTGTGGGAAGTTCGTTCAGTTCCCTCCTGTGTCTCTTCACATACCCACATCTTTTTTTTTTTTTCTAATTTTTTGAGCATTTCCTGACTTTTTTGGCACAACAATATGCTCCAGGCTCATTGTGACTATTTCCTGCTCCCTCAGTCCTAGGCTCAGGCCTGTCTCTGACAAGCTTAGGTTGCTTTTCTTGGAGCCTGGTCCTGGCAGCCACACTGGTCTCCAGCTGTGCTTACGGCTGCTTGGCTGGCCCTGCCTCGAGGCCCCTCTGCCGCCAGAGCAAGGAGAGCAAGGAGAGCTGTGGGTTCACCAAAGCCATATGCATGCATGTCTGAGTGTGTGCATGCATGCGTATCTGAGTGCGTGCACGTGTGTCTGTGTGTATGTGTGTCTGAGTGTGTGCATGTGTGTCTGTGTGTGCATGCGTGTGTCTCAGTGTGAGCATGCATGTGTGTCTGAGTGTGTGCACGTGTCTGTGTGTGTGCACAGGTGTCTGTATTGTCTGCATCTGTATTTATTATTGGAAACCATGAGTCCACGCCAATGTCTCCAAACCTGACCCATCGCCACGTGGGCCATCCCCGCCACCACTTCCGTGGCTTCTCTGTCACCCCTTTTCACGTGGAGCCTGAAGTGCTTGCCCCCTAATTCCTTGTTCGTTCTGAGTTAAATGTAGAAACTAAATTTAAATACGATTTGTTGTGGGCAAGCTGTCCGGCCTCACCCATTATGCTCTAGGCTCAGAGAAGACACCTCATTTATGAGTGTGTTTCCCCAGGACACAGCATATGTCTTGTACGTGAAAACATTCAGGAACGAATGTTGACTATTTTAGATCACCAAAGGCTGCTGTGTGGCCAAGCACCATCACACTGCATCTTTCATTTTGTGTCCTCGTGTCATGGGAAGATAGGATTTTTCAGGGTGTAAAGGCTCTGCCACATGCACCAGGCTGTGGCCGAAAGAGAGGCTCCCTTTGGGAATGAAAACTGTGGCCGGAGGCAGGAGCTCTGGAAGCAGACCTCTTGAGGGAAGGCATCAGGACAGAGCCAGTCCCCGACGAAGGCAGTAACTCTGCTAAGAGCCACAAGACAGCACCCGTGTGTGTCGCGCAGGTGCCTTTTCCATGAGAATTCCGGACTTAAACCATGGCCTTTGTTAGGCAGGATGGATGCTGCCTGGGTCAGGGCTTAGTGCTTAGGAGTCCAGGAAGCACTCGAGTCGTGCAGGAGTAGGAAAGACCAGCTGAGAGGCAAACCAGACTCCAGGACTCCTAAAGCTCTCCTAAAGCTCTCCTTCCACATTTTTTCCTCATCTCTTGTTAATTGTAGCCTAAAGCTGCCTAGTTACATATTTTAGGTTCGGCCTAAGGGTTCCTCTGTACATAGTGAACTGCCCCTTAGATGGATCTGTGAACAGAGGTGACTTACTCCACACCAATCATAGAGTTGCAGCCAATCACAGGCAACCATGGGTTCCAACCCTGCTGAAGTGGGTTGAAAGCTAGGCGGGAGCCAAGCCCGCTGTTTCTGGGCCTCACCTTCCTTGCAAGTCCTTCTTTGCCCAATTAAGCTCTATTAAATTTAATGTGTCTTAGGTTTTCCCTTTAATGCTCTTCATCTTTTTTCTCCTTCTCTTTTATTTCATTTTCCAGTTCTTGTCAGATAATGACTTCATTGCATCGAAAGATGCATTTAGTACTACAACCGTGGTTTATTCCCTTCCAGAGAAAGCATGATCCATAAAAAACTTGATTTTTAGAAATTTGGGGAGAAGTGACCAGCCCTCACCTCCATTCTTCATTTTTTTTGCATTTTAAAATAAAAAATAAGAAAGGCCGCAGTAGAAATTAGAAGAAAATGTTGACAATAGTACTGCCCTTAAATGAATGATTTCTGGTTCTGTGTATAAACATTCTGAGGTTCATTTAATTACAAAGCATTAATTTGTGGAAGAAACGGAAGGAATTAAATTATATACTCCCCAGTATATACTAGCTCCGCTTGGTGTAGATGATTGATTAAATTTTCTACATTTATCATTTGTAGTTGGAATTTCTCATAAGATTATGTTGATTTTCTAAAGATCCCAATGGTCATCACTATATGTTCTGTTGCATGAAAACTATGACCCTTAAGATCAATTGTGATTTGCAGTAAAACAAAGTTCCTGTAATAAAGTCTGTTAGGAGTTTCTAGCTTTGCTCTGGCTCTGGCCCTGTGCTGACTTTGTCCTCAAGCTACTCTCACGGAGTTGTGAGATGCCCTGACGTTTTTCAGGCCTCACACAACAACCCCACCCATTTCCTTCTGCAGAGCCCCCCCAGAAGCCTCAGGCTGTCTCCTTCGGGCCTCACTGGCCGTGACTGCACGGCATGCCAGCAATGGACAGGAGCTTGGCCTGACCTTCCAGGACCCGCCAGTGGAGATGGGGTCATCCTCATGGACACCTTGAAGCTGCAAGTGGAGGGTGGGCCCAGACAACATCAGGACCCTCTAAGAAGGAAGCAGGGACATGGGTGTTGGCCGGACACCAACAGTTTGTGTTATAAATATCTCCCCAAATGCAAAAGAGAATGGAGACTAATGCTGTAAAGTGCAGGGCACCTGCTGACACTTTGGGGCCATCCATGTTCACTCTCCAGGTGCAGCGGCAACACGGCCTCTCCTCCTCCAGTGTCAGTGGGGACAGGAACAGGCCAACAAGGAGACGCGGCCCTGGGCTGTGGCTCTGCTCCTGACACAGCTTCCCCTGCGGGCCCCTGCGGGCTCCTGTGGGCTGCCAGGAAGCTTCTTCTCTGGGAATGAGGCAGTCGCATCTCTGTCTTTCAGCTCCTGCACTGGGAGACAATGGAGTCAAAAACCTTAACTCAAACTTGAGGTCAAAGTCTGTGCTCCAGTCCAACTGATGAACATTGGCAGCAGAATCAGCTTGAACAGATCTGGGGGAATCCGAGCCAAAGCCCCCACACCTGAGTGTTCAATGGCTCGCAGAGAGAGCACACAGCATTCACGGCTCCAGGGCCGCCTGAACATTTGTGGATAACATCTGTGGGCTACACAGCCCAGGACTCCTCCTTCCTTTTTCTTTCTAGGGACAGTCCCTGCTGGCTTCTTTTGAGGCACTGCTCCATCTCAGTAACTTGAGATTGGTGTTGGCACCAAGGCTAGCAGGTGATCCTGTCCCCACTGGGCCAGGAGGTGGGCACAGGACCGAGCCCTGGGTGTCACGGTCACTTGGATCCATGGGTGTGGAGGTGTGTCAGCATGGACAAGTCACTAAAACGGGGCCTTTCTTTATTCATCAAAATCTTCTCTTTTCTCTGAGGTTGTTGTCTGGGAAGGAAAGACTGTCAAGAGGTGGATATAGCAGTAAAGCATCATTTCTTCCCCACGTGGAGGGAGGCTGCCTGCCTGGGGAAGGGGGCGGCCAATGTACAAGAAGAATAGGGGGAAGCAGAGGCAGAAACATGAGCACAGCATTGGTGCAGCAGACGGCGGCCCCAAGAGCCTGGCCTCTCCCGCTCCCATGCTCAGTTCCAGTGACCACTACATGGCCTTTGTTTTTTCATTCGTTCGAGCTAATTTGAGTTTTTGTTTGTTTGTTTTCTTTATAACAAGCCAGAGTCTCCTATGCTGTCAGTTTTATAGAAAGAATGCTAATGGCAGATGGAAAAATGAAAATATCTGTAACAGATGCTAAAACCTAAATGTCTCCCCGTATAGAGGTGTGGAAGACATTGGTAGATGGGGTGACCCACTAGGCACATTTGTCTGGGACATCACCAGTTTTAAAACCAAAAGACCTGTGTCCTGAGAACTCCTTTATTCCCAGACAAACCACACTGTTGCTCACCGGGGAAGTACAATAAAAACAAGGCTTTCAAGCTGATAAAGGCTTCTTTCCCACTCATAGAGGAAATTCTTTAAAGTATCCCCAAAATTGCTTTCCTGAGGTGTTCCTCTTGGTTAACCGTCTAGTGATTGGGGACCTTTGAAAACACTCAGGATTGAAGATAATGGTCTTTTCTCACTATTGGTGATGTAATCAGTGTTCTGAAAATAAAATACTATTTTAGCTAGAGCGTTATAGAAGTCAGTAGAATATTCAGAATTTCATTTGCATTTCTGATCATCAAGGTGACCACCACTGCCAGCATGTGCAGGGTACCTGCATTGTGTCTCTTGGCCACAGCGGGTCCTTCTGCAGGTGGAGCTGTGGTCTTTGCAGTTGGGCGCAGCTAGCATGGCAGGTACATGAGCATTTGGAAGAGCAGTCAGGACCCATGTGCTCAGCACATGTGTTTTCTTGGGCAGTTGGCAGAAACCATAAGTCTTTTCCCAACTTTTATGTTTGGGAAGAGAGAGAAAGAAGCCAAATTTGCTATACGTTTGATGTTATTAAGGTTGTCATTTGAATAAGTTTTTAAAAAATGTATAACATAATAACTGGATTGATACAAGCATGCTGAAAGATAAACTAATAACTGAACATATCCGTTAATTTTTTTGGTATTTGTAGTGAAAACATAATTGTAATTGAAAACAACATTACTGAAGAAGGAAAAATGATTTTTATGCCTCAAGCAAAACACACACATATACACAAAAAATTAAAGACTTAAGCTTTTTTTTTTCTTTCCAAGAACATCTGGTTTACAGTATGCTAAAAGCAAATTTGGATTAACCTAGAAATTAAGTGTGTGTCATATACAAGCCATTGATTAAACCATATTAAAATATTTAGACCTCATGGAAAGGTATAAAACTCTCCACCATGTACAGATTTTTATTTTTTGTAAGGAAAGTAAACAAAACTATTTCAATGAATCCTGTGTCAAAAAAATTAAAATAAATCTGTGTGATGTCATCTGCGTCTGCCAACCTGCCCTTCCAAAGAGACGCAAGATGGAAGCTTTCAGTGCTTGTCCTGACCACCCAGCAACAGGTCTTTAAGCCTGAGGACAGTCATTCCTTACACTTTTATTCTCCAATTTCTTTGCTTTGTGTAGGACTTTACGGGCATCTATGTTCATTCTTAAAATATTTCGTACTAATATAAAAATCGTGGACCTGAGTCCAAGCCACAAACCCTGAAGCAAGAATTTGGTCCTGATCTTGAGTCTTCTTTCACCTGCAGAGCCCTCCCCGGACTCTCAGGACCATAGGCTGTCCAGGCACTCCTGATTCTGAAGCCACGGGAAGTCCCAATTTCAGCCATTGTTGGTGAGAACCAATCCCTCTTTAAGAGCTGCCCATAAGGGCAACCTGTCCCAAGAGGCTTCCGATAGCATCTGCGTCCTCTTCTGCATGTTGTCACCCACGAAGGAGGCCTGCGTGGCACAGAGCCCACAGTGCCATATTTCTGAAGCAGTGGAAGGAATTGCTCTGGGTGACGCCGGTGGAAGGAATTGCTCTCCGCTGACCCTAGCAATGGATGCTGAGCCAGGAGCAAGTGAGAACAAGGTCCCACGAGATCAGCCGGAGGGCATGGGGAATAAGCTTCTGTCCCTTCAAGGAGGCCAAGTAAGATAAGTTTCTAGTTCTGTCACATTCACAGACATCTAGTTCATGACACAGAGCCTTGCTTTTTCCACCAGGAATAAAATACCCCGATCAGCAGCTTGTGATAAGTTCTTCCCACCTGCTCCCTCCAGCATCCCAGGAGAGAACGTTAACTACACACCTTGTTTAATGCAAAGTCTTATAATATCCATGTGTCTTAGAAAATAAAATTGTAGAGACCAAGAAGTGCAAATAATCAAATTATTTAATAGGAAATTTGTGTTAGGACCCAGGACCTAACTACGAAAGCAGTTTTACGTCTAAAACACAGAGATGTTTTGTTACTCAAGCTATACGGCATGTTGCCTTTCCCTGACAAGGCAGTGTGCCTGAGAATGGATGGGATATAATTATTTTTTTTAATTCCAGAAAATTTGCTTGATGTTCATAAATAATCGATTCAATCACTTTAGCAAAAGGGAAATGTTAAAATGATGGAAAATTCTGTTCACCTAGACTTGTCTGCAGTCTTTAAATCATTCTCCACTCCATCCCTCTTGCTGACATTCGGAGATGATTTCAATTAAGGGCCTTTGACAAAGTACTATAGTCATTTAAAAGATGGCTTTAAAGAGTTCAGAAATCCCAATAGTTCTCCATATCAAGAGGGTGCACTATAAAATTGTAAATGAGTGCATGCACTGGCTGGGGTTATAAAGTGCCGTTGTTTTTCTGGTTTGACATTTCATGGATTCCAAGTGGGCCTAGCTTAGTGGTGCAACATAAATCACGGAACGGATCTGGATATTGTAAAACTTGAATATAGAAGCATTTTAGAGGCTGTGAAGTTAACAGTAATCAGTAAGTATTCTAATAGTATGAGTTACTGCTAACATTATAATTATAGAGTAAAATAATAATTTTTATAGGCAAGGAGCACTGAAAACTAATGGTCAGGATGATTATAATAGCTATGAATTAATAGATCAGTTGAAATTGTGATGACTATTTTAATAATGAGACTGAAATATCGTTTGTGTTAAAACAGTGAGTCTAAGAGCATAATCAACCCTCTTTTGTCAGGAAGAAACAATTCCTTTTAACTCCAAGGTCACCAGAATGATCCTAGAGTTGTATTGTGGTTACTCTTTCTCCTTGGAAATGATTCTTCCGTTCTCCTTTGCTCTGTAGAGTCCTATTCCTCTACCTCATCAGGTAGGTCTGTGTGTGTGAGAATGTTTGTTCTCCTTTGCCCTGTAGAGTCCTATTCGTCTACCTTGTCGTGTAGGTTTGTGTGTGGGCGAGTATTTGTTCTCCTTTGCCCTGTAGAGTCCTATTCCTCTACCTCGTCGTGTAGGTTTCCGTGTGGGGGAATGTTGCTCCCATATCAGAACAGAAGCACCTTGCAGGGGGAAGGCTTGTTTCCTTAAGGTCTCCGTATCCTAAATTACCACAAAGGTGCTGAAAATCAGCAATCAAGGCTTGAGTTGCATGAACTGAGCTAGTTACACTGCATTACAGTGACTCTGCAGACACCACTGGACACAGCAAAGGGCCAGAAGACAGCAAGCCTTGGCCATAGCCGCTGTCATCATTCACTCCCCACCTCCTAGGAGAAGGAAGATGGAAACAAGTCAATGAGTTCATAAAACAGAAACCCAGGAGTCATTGCATCACTCCTTATGGCTCAGTGGCTCAGATTCACTTTATAAAAACATACTAATTTCAATTTCACATGGTATGATTCAAAGAGTCAGAAATTCATCGTCTATCAAGTGGTCTGAATGTTATCCTGCAGAATTTTCTCTGAAGATGAACTGGTTCATCCCTAGGGCTGTGCAATAGTGTCTCAATATCCAATCACTCCCCACTATGTGAATTAGGCCATATGTTCTTCACCGGAACATTTGAAGAACTCTTGTTGAGATTGTGCAGTTTTAGACACTGGGTCATCAAGATAAAAGACACAGAAGCTCTGAGAACACACAACTTATTTTCACTTGTCCAAAATAATCATCGGCTAGTAAGCTTTTATTCATTCATTTTTTAAATTGTCATTGAAAAATGTATCAACTTAGTTTTAGAGGAAAATCAGTCATGTTTGTTAAATTGATCATCTACTTGAAAACTGTCTTTCTGGAAAGAAGAAAAGATGTTGCTCTCTGTGCCTGCATCCTTTGGTGAGGCCTGGAGATGACCTGGGAAAAACACTTGGTGACTGGGCTTCTCCAACCTGGCAGGAAGCGGAGAGAAGACACTCGTGGTGTGGGGGCACTGAGGCTCATCGGGAACTGGAGTGCCCGTATCCATCACGCTGGCACCTGTGGATGAGGAGGGAGCGATTGGGTGGAGAGCAGCAGGGTCTGACTGTACCAAGCTCACAGCCTCGTCGCAGGCCTTGGTGCCCACACGATGGCAGGTGGGCGGCAGCTGCTGACCCACTGTCTTCTTCAGATGGAAGCTGTGTCCGCCCTGCGAGGAACTCGAGTCCCTGAGGTGACCGTAGGGCTTGCTGTCCTTCCCACAGTGGACATCAGCCTTCCCAGAAACTCGGGCCACAGACAGGATGCATCATACAAGGGTGCACTCAGGGAGAGAAAAGAATAAAGCATGAAGTGTGTGACCGGGTCCTCCCGCCCTTGCAATTCCTCTGCAGTGATCGTCTTCACAAACTCTGTAAAAATAAGCACACATGTGCCTTCATGTTCTGAATGTTTCCTTCACTTCCTGTCTGTCAATCGGACCTCTTCAAAAACGCCTCTGCCCCCCTCCCTCCTTCCTCATCTGGATTTGCCATCCGGTTTCTTTTCTTCACATTCCTCAAATAGCACAAGGCCACCTTCTGAAGGGCACTGAAGTATGTGTTTTACATCAAAGCTCACGGCGCCCACTCGGTTTGGAACTTCCTTCTTTGTTCCACTTGTGGTCCCGGAGTCATTCGATTGCTCAAAGAGTCATACAATCATAAAGCTCACAGGAAATCTGTGACATTCCACTCAGACCCTCATTTCACAGATCTCTTAAACTCCATGACTTGCTCAGAGCCACATAGCTGCGGAAGGGGAGGTGAGGACCCAGACCAGGGGCCCCTACTCTTCTCCAGGCCTCTCCCCTGCACCGCGAGAAGAGACTGACCTAGTAGTGTCTACTAAGGCTCCAACACCACTCACCACCAGTCAGAACGGGAGCAGAGCAGAGCTACCCTTTTGCCTCCACCTTATTAAAGGTAGTAGAAAATAAAAGGTCTCCAGGACTCAGAAGTACTGTTAATGCCACACCAATAGAGCAAATGCAAAACTATTAGATTTATACTGAAGCTGTGCTTTGGCTCGGATGTGATTCACTTGCTTGCCTTTGGGCAAACAGGCTGCTAATATCCTCCTAATCTCTAACAGGCGTCCTACATTGTTCTACAGGGAGTAGTCGTCTGATTTTCAGCATTGTAATGAATTTCTCCAAATATGGTTTAGTGTCAAAGAAAATTCCAGCTTTACTTTTTTAGAACAGGAGAGTTGATATGACACAAACTCAGAGACAAAGAGTTTATGCTCATGGACCTGCCTGTCTGTACTGTACCATTTTCCCGTAGCTTTTAACTGATATCAAAACTGAACGTGAGGCATGACTTAGAAACCACAGGGGGCAAGGACAAAGGTCTACTGTGCATATACACATCTCACACCAGTATTCCCAGCATGGCCAGCATTGCTCTGATCTTGAATTAATATATCACATTGAAAGGAAGAGTGTGATAACACTATAAGTGTAATTTTACCACAAGATGGGCTGATGTGACGAATGTTTTCAAAAGACACCCCTGTATGAAAGTATCTGTGCTACTATATCCTTGGTGGCATTGTTCTTGCCCTGATTTGGCATATTTGGGACAAAGGTGTAAGGTATTTTTCAGACAGCTACAAGTTGTTTTTTTTTTTTCTGAGATGGAGTTTTGCTCTTGTCCCCCAGGCTGGAGTGCAGTGATGCGATCTCAGCTCACTACAACCTCTGCCTCTTGGGTTCAAGTGATTCTCCTTCCTCAGCCACTCGGTTAGCTGGGACTACAGGCATGCGCTACCACACCCGGCTAATTTTGTATTTTCGGTAGAGATGGGGTTTCACCATGTTGGTCAGGCTGGTCTTGAACTCCTGACCTCAGGTGATCCACCCACCTCGGCCTCCCAAAGTCCTGGGATGACAGACATGAACCACTGTGCCTGACTAGACAGCTATAAGTGTAATCAGTTCACACAATGGAAAAGGTATCAGCTGGAGATGATAAAACACATGAAGATAGGGTTATCTAAATATTAAAATATTAAAAGTTTAAAAACATTTATTTGGATGTATGTTCTTAGGGTACCTTTTCAGTATCTTTTAATCTTAAAAGTATTGCTTTAAATTTGAACCCTCCTATTCCCACCCAGGTGAACTATTTCCTTCCCACTTCCCTGAAGCATCATGTAGAAACATATTATATATTATTAATGACATAAACTTTATAAAATAATTTCAGATTAACAGGGAAGATAAAGATTAATTTAATAGATATTCCTTATGTTCTTATTTAAAAATAATGAATGGTTGATATTTTGAAAGAATGAAATAATTTGCCTGTGGTCACTAATGAAGTTAGATAATACATATATAATAATGCCTTTTACAGTTTACACTGAAAGAAATAAATGTGCTTTGAAAAGTAAAGTTTGATACAGACAGGCAGAGATAGAAGCCTGGTGTCTAGGTGAGAGATGGACTTAGACCAGCTGCAAACTTGGAGAACTCTGAAAATAAATTCTAAAGTTTTATTTTTTCTCATAAGAATGAACTGCAGCTGTATTTTCAGTCGCACGGATTCTCTCCTGTTTCATTGATAAAAATGAGAAATGCAGCACTCTTGGCACCACAAAACCTTCTTCAACCTTGATACCGTTGTGTGGGTGAAGTCATCTCTATTTATTTATGCTTTGCCGTGTTCCACAGGATGCATGAGAAAGCACAGACTTTAAATCATTGCCTTCAACACCCTCATTTTATAGCCAGGAAACAGACAAATGCAGGAGCAAAAATGGATAAGGGTTGGATGACTTAGTGGCAAAGTCAGATATAGCCAAGGGAATCTGATGTTAAGTTTGCTATTTATTCCACTTTTCCAGGCTGCCTTAATTATATCACAGTAAGAGAAAAGAGGAAGTTTTTCCTTCAATGATGTTTTTCTGAGAAAAATGGGAGAGTTATACACTATTAAGCAGGATGTAATGAAATGAATGTTTGAAAAATGGGCAGCATGTTTAAATGACTCTTTGACCAGAGAATCCTGACTTTCTCTATCAAATGGTTTGTTGGGCAACAATTGGTCCAAATATTTCAGGTGCTATAAACACCATCATAAATTTAGTTAATTCAAGTATCATGAACATCATCTCACCATCATTTGCTGGGTGGCTTTTTGATGAGTTTTCTATGGGCTGTGATGATTTGCTGCTGCACTGTGATGTTTATGGGCTCAATAAAGGGAAGGTTCTAAAAAGATTATAGGCACTGAAAAAGGAAATATAACCTTTTCTTTGGGAGAATGGAGCAAAACCGACCAAACATTTTTGGAATTCCTTGCCTGCCATGAAGAGGTGATGGTTCCCCATTGACATCCTTAGTTGTTTTATATCCTCAACAAAAGTCTTCAAGGGGCAGAATAAAAGTTCCAGATTAGAAGACAAACTCTGTTCTGTTTTCAGCAGGAAGCTGATACATCTTGTCAGTTTGAGATCCATGAAGAAGAGTCCTTCATTGAGTAGATACAGAATTCTAACCAGTATATTTTGAATTGACCGGGTGTCTCTGCAACCATCTAGCTCCAGAAAGCACCAATATCCTCTCTATTTTTAAACTCCTCTCTGGATCATGAACATATGTATAGGGATTACAAAGAAGTGTTGTTTAGAATTTGATTGGTTCTAATTATGCAGACTGTAGAAGTCGAGTAGGGATTTGAGGATGTTTAGACCCACATGGTAACTCCCAAGCTTAGAAAAATATAACGATCATGACTGACTTTGGTGTTTGGGAACTATTCTTCTTGGACTTCATGAGGATAAAAAGAAGAAAATTTAAGAATTGAATTGTGTCAATGTTCGGGGCTGAATATTTCAGTTTTGGTTTGTTTTTAAAGAGTTTTGCGGTTGAACTCCACCCTGGTTTCTCATCATAAATTATCTCCCAATGTGTGGAATGCGATGAAAGATCACAGGTGATAGATTTTCCTTGTACCTGGCTGATGAAGGCTCTCCATTTGCATGGCTCTCTCCTCAATGACTTTCATGTGCTCTGCTCCAAGGCTGCAATTTCAGCTTTCTCCCTCCAGCAGCCATACTGGCTGCTGAGTCCACATGCGGCTCAGGGCTGTTTCTTGTTCCCAATTCTTGTGCGCTCGTGTACTAATTTTTCAACTTGATGTCAATGCTCTCCCCAGAGATATCTGGAATATTTTCAAGATTTTTAAATCAATTTGTGTTTCTAGCATTGATTGATTAAGTGGTTTGTTTAAACAACACATTGCAAATTTTATTCTCCACCAGAACACTTAGGAAAGGAATGTCCTCCTAAAATCAGTATACAAAGATTTGGTTTTGTTTATGTTTAGCTAAATCAGAAAGTTTAAAAAGTATTAATGCGAAACTACTTTGTATGATAGAATAATGGTGGATCCGTGTTATTACACATTTGTGAACCCCATACAATGTGCTGCAGCAGGAGCGAGCCCTCGAGTAAGCTATGGACGCTGGGTGATGGGATCTGTCAGGGTGGGTCCATCCGTGGTAGCCATAATGGTGGATCCATGTTATTACACATTTGTGGAACTCCATAGAATGTGCCGCAGCAGGAGTGATGTAAGCTATGGACGCTGGGTGATGCCATCCATCAAGGTTGGTGCATCATCTCAGCCAGTGATGCTGTTTCAGGAGGCGGATCATCAGGGAGCCTGTGCACCCTGGGGAATGGGGCCGTATGAAAGATATCCATGCCCTCTGCTCCATTCTTCTGTGGACCTAAAACTGCTCTTTAAAAAAAAGTCTCTCTTTTTTTTTTTTTGTGAGACAGGGTCTTACTCTGTTGCCTAAGCTGCAGTGCAGTGGCCCAATCTTGGTTCACTGCAACCTCTGCTTCCCGAGTTCAAGCAATTCTCCTGCCTCAGCCTCCCAAGTATCTGGGACTACAGGCGTGCACCACCAAGCCCAGCTAATTTTTTTGTATTTTTAGTAAAGATGGGTTTTCACCATGTTGGCCAGGCTGGTCTTCAACTCCTGACCACAAATGATCCCCCCGCCTTGGCCTCCCAAAGCGCTGGGGTTACAGACGTGAGCCACTATGCTCAGCTTAAGAAAAGTCTATTTTTAAAAGAACACTGACTTGAGAGAATGAAGGAATGAAATAGTTGGCTTGGTGGATTCAACAGACTCGGGACAAGGTAAAATGGGTAAGGGAATATGGCACTGTTGTTGCAGTGTGAACGGCCGTGAACGGCACATACAATGGCTGACGTGGTGTGGGCATCCCCAGCTGTGACACCAGGGCCAAGTGGAGAGCTAGTTTGACCAGAATTGAAGTTTGACCAAAGAGTAGGAGATGCACAAGCCTGGAGGAAGATGAGAGTCGTTGCCTGGAGACAGCTGTAATGACTGGCCTGGAATTGAGGATGGAAGTGGAGGGAGGGGTGGATCCTGTGGAGGCGAGGGGAAGTGGCATGGCGGCTCCCTCCTCCTTCACCTGCACACCAGCCCTGTGCTTTCTGGAGTGTTTCCTAGAGCTGCTGTCACAAAGTAAAACAACATCAATTTCTTCTCTGAATTCTGGAGAAGTCCCAAATCATGGTCCTGGCAGCGTGGGTTCCTTCTGGGAGGTCTGAGGGAAATCTGAGGCCTTTTCTCCTGCTTCGGAACTCCCGGCTGTCCTGGCGTGGCTTGGTCCCTATGGCTGCATTACTCCAGTCGTGGCCTCTGTTTTGGCGTCACCTGCTCCACGTGCATCTCAGTCATGGCCTCTGTCTTGGCGTCACCTGCTCTGCATGCATCTCAGTCGTGGCCCCTGTCTTCGCGTTGCCTGCTCCATGTGTATCTCTGGGTGTCTTCTCTTCTTACAAGGACATCGGTCATGGGGTTCAGGGCCTGCCCTACTCCAGGATGCCCTTTTCAGGACATCTGAAAAGAGTCTTTCTCCAAATGAGGACCATTCTGAAGCTCCAGAATTCAGGAAAAGTAATGATGAGTTTTTGTACAGATTTACAAGTGCCACTTCTGGAGTAAACAGGAATCTTCTCAGCCTGTTTCCCTGACACACGTGAGATGCTCCCTACGACATGCTCAGTGGATCCCTGGATGCACAGAAGGCCTCAGCTGGCTTTGCCGTACCTCACTCCTGAAGCTGGCTGATGGGCGCATTTCTTATTTCTAGAGGAGGCATTACTATCTTTCAAGCTTTTTGAACATATTGTACAAGTTGTAAAATTAAGTTTAAAGCTATAAATACATCAAGTAAGACGTTGACTTGAAATTACAACTGTATTTCATCAATTCTATGATACATTATTTTTTCCACATTTTAACCTTTCTGAAAAAAGAAGTCCTTTCCCAGCCGCCAGCACCTCCAGGCACAGCAGTTTTCCCGACTCGGAGGTCATGGCCCACACGTGCACCTGCCACTTTCCCTGAGCCCTGAATGTCATTGGCTTTATATACCCTGCATTTAATTATGGTTCAAAATGTTCAATATGTCTTCATAAAAATTACACCGTGGCTGGGCACGGTGGTTCATGCCTGTAATCCCAGCACTTTGGGAGGGCAAGGAAGGCAGATCTCTTCAGGTCAGGAGTTCGAGACCAGCCTGGCCAACATGATGAAACCCCGTCTCTACCAGAAATATAAAAACTAGCCAGGCTTGGTGGCAGGTGGCTGTAATCCCAGCTACTAAGGAGGCTGAGGCAGGAGAACCACTCGAACCTGGGAGGTGGAGGTTGCAGTGAGCCGAGATCACAACACTGCACTCCAGCCTGAGCAACAGAGCGAGACTTGGTCTCAAAAAAAAAAAACACCGCAATTCATCCTTGAAACCGAGATGTATTGTGTACTAAGAGAAAATCTTGTTCAATTGTACAAGTGAATTTATACTCAGAGACAAATAATGTAATTGATATTTTGAAGGAAGTATTTATTATTAAAAGACCGTCTAGATTTTCTATTTCCTTACCGAGCAAATGACATGCTTCATGGGACTGTGTAAGAAGAAAGACAACCACAAGTACACTAAGCTGTGCTCCCTGTGAAAACATTCTTCTCACTCCTGGGCAAGGCAAAGGAAGGCGGGGAAATTCGCAAAATGCCTCCAAATAGGTGGAAGAACATTCCCGGTGGGGAGACGGGTCCGGCGGACTCATGCATCCACTAAGGTGTTGGAAGACAATTCCTCAGAAACTTCCCTCTGTCTTTGAACAGAATGGCTTAGACTCTAGCGCCATGTAATTCAATTCAGCAGGATGCATTGTTTGAAGCTAATGGAAAATGCTCACGAACCGGGTGCACCAGAACCTGTAGAACGCTGAGGCTCCAAGTGATTCAGAGAAGTCAGAGGCCAGATGTGAAAAAGGGTCGGGAGTCACTTCGCTGTTCCATTTTCACATCATTATTCGTTTCGTGCACTCATTATCGTGCAATATGACAAATGTCTTTGTTTAAAAAAGACCAAAACAACTGTTTCAGTAAGTAAAAATAAAAATAATAATAGTACTTTCAGTGATTTTTGTCATACTTTTGTTGAATTCACAATATCTTTCTTTCTTAGTGGTGCCAAAAAACAGTGGCAGACCTCACAATTCATAGCTCTATTTTATGAAACACAATATATCTTCTGAGTTAGAGTATTGAATAATGAATCTCTATGCGATATTGCTCTGTGAATAATTCTACTATCTAGAATATTTTTGTTGTTGTTGTTTTTAACATTCACTTTTGCTCATTTTATGTCACAAAATACACACCAAAAAGTCGTTTAGATTCAAGTTCACACCATAAGCTTATTCATAAACATTCATGCATGTGGGAACAGACAGGAAGGGTGGACAGGGAACAAGGTGGCCCCATGGCCCACCACGCTGACCGGGGAGAGACCAAGGCCATGGACAGGAGGAGCCTCCAGGATCAGGGCCGGCGTCAGCGAAGCCACGGCCGCGTGTCCCTTTCAAACGGCACTCTGTGATTCTCTGACGTGGTTGCTCCTGGTAGTGCCGGGCTGTAGGTGGGGGTGCAGGATGCTAACCAGAGGGACCACCCCCTGGGAGTCAGCCGGGAACACCCGGAGCAAACAAATGTTCCTGTCTCCGGAGGCAGCTCAAGTCACTGCAGCTGCGGAGGGGGCGGCGGAGGCACCAGCACAGCCGGAGGAGGGGTCTCCCCTTTCACCTGCAGAGGAGAGGAGCCAGCACAGCCCCAGGAAGGAAAAGAGCTGGAGACGCCTCCTTCAGGAGGTCTTCAGCTCTTCCCAGTCCAGCAATAGGCAGAGCCCTAGAGCTCACTGGCACGGTTCCTCCTCCCTCCCTCCCTTCCTCCTCCCTCCCTCCCTTCCTCCTCCCTCCCTCCCTTCCTCCTCCCTCCCTCCCTTCCTCCTCCCTCCCTCCCTTCCTCCCTCCTCCCTCCCTTCCTCCCCCTTCCCTCCCTCCCTTCCTCCTCCCTCCCTTCCTTCCTTCCTTCCCCCTCCCTCCCTTCCTTCCTTCTTCCTCCCTCCCTCCCTTCCTCCTTTCTTCCTCCCTCCATCCTTTCTCTTTCCTGCATCCCTCCCTCCCTCCATCCTTCCTCCCTCCCTTCCTCCTCCCTCCCTCCCTTCCTCCTCCCTCCCTCCCTTCCTCCTCCCTCCCTCCTTCTTTCCCTCCCTACCTTCTTTTCATCCTTCCCTCCCTCCTTTCTCTTCTTCATTCCCTCCTGCCTTCACTCCCTTCTTCCTCCCTTCCTTCCTTCCCTTCCTGCTTTCTTCCTTTTTTTTCCTCCCTCCCTCCCTTTCTTACTTACTGTACCTTCTCTCTCCCCACAACTTTCTTACTTTTTGTTTTTAATGGGTCCTTTCACAGTGTAAATAAAAACAAAATCTATTAATGAGCCAAAATTTATATTTTTATACAAAGGATACATATAGTTTTAAATAGTCAATTCCCTAAAGCAAGTTTATGCTTCCCGAATCACCCCCAAGCAGCCCATGCCCACCTCTGCCATTCCTGGGAGATGCCCCCAAATCCCTGTCTGTGCATCTTCTAGGTTTAGGGTAGAATCTCACCCTATGTTTTCTTTTCAAGATGGTTTATCTTTGACTTGGGACCTGTGACCTTTGTCTTCACATACAAACCCTCTTCCTCCTAGCGAACCAAAGCCAAGGCCACCCTCCTCTCTGCCTCTGGTGCTCCCAGCTGAGCTCTGCAGCTCCCTGCCGCTGGGTCTGAGCAGGGGTTGGGCATGTTTAGGTGGGGACCACATAGGGGATGGGGCACAAGAGTCAGCCTGGAAGTCAGGGGGCAGGGAGCTCAGATGCTCTCTCCTCCCCGAAAAGCCAGGTGATGCAGTGCCGGGCACAGTGGGGAATCCAGGGCAAAGGGAAGGACGCTAGACTCCATAGGAGCCAGGGGTGGTAGAGTCAGACCCTGCACAAGTTTTTGTGGAAAATATTCCTCTAAGAAAGGACCAAGGGGTGCAAGGCACCAAGGACGGTGTCTCAGTGGAGAGCTGCAGCAGAGCCTGTTTCCCGGGCCCTGCACCCGCCTGAGCAGCAGACCCTGTTTCCCGGGCCCTGCACCCGCCTGAGGCCCAGAGATTCGCCCGGGCAGCACTGCTGTTCCTGCATTCCGGTCTTCTGCCCGGCCCCGAGGTCCAGAGGAGAACCACAGCCCCATCCCAGGGCTGCACACAAGGCACTTGGGGCATGGGGAAGCTTTCCATGCAGCGATAGCACAGGGACACTGTGATGCTATTGAACATGCGTTTCAGAGGCTTGAGCCAGCGTTGGAGGGTGTTCCTGTGTTTCCAAACAAGTTTCATGGCAAAGCCCAGGCCTAGGTGCCTCACCTGAAACTGTCAGCCATGCTTCCACCTCCATTCAGACCCAGCTCATCCTGGGGCCCTCTTCACTTGCTGTTTTTGCTAATGGTTTGGCTCTGCCCCCTCCCCATCCAATATCCACACCTTCGAGCAGCTGATCTGTGTCACTTCCATCTGACCACACCTGTCCCCTAAAACGAAACCCCACATCCTGCTGCAGTTAGAAAGGAGGTGGCATCTCTTTTCCCTAAAACAGACACTTCCCTAAACAAGTCGGGTTGCACTGCATCCCAGGGACTTGCTCCTTCCTAGAAATCCCTTCTTTGTGACTCTTCCTAGGAAATGGGCTGTAAGCTGTGGGTGGCTGCGTGTCCTCATCCCTGCAAAGGCAGGTGTGCATTCCTGCCCACGGCGGGTGATGCTGCATCCCTGGCAGTCACGCCGCTGTGAGTAACCACCTGTGGAGAGTCCCTGTTCAGCACCCTTCTCTGTTGTCACAGTGCATAATCTCCGAGAATGCCCTAATTTCTCTCATTCTCTAAGCCTGCCATCAGGGCTGAGACAGGCTCATCCCTCTGAACAGATGAGATTAGTCGATCATGTAAAGTCAAAAGGGGGATTATGATGCTTGTAATACACTGAGTCAAATTAAATGCATTTTGTTTGCACATCAGAAGATCCTGTTGCTAGGCTTCAGTGTCTTCCACTGGGTATAATAAATTGCCAATAAAACACAAGTATATAGGGGAAAAAGCCCTCAAGCAGAGAGTAGGAAGAAAGTAAAGATGGTGGTTGCTTTCTTCTTTTTTTTTTCCTTGTCTGTTCAACCTAGTCAATGAGATGCTTCATTCCAACAGTGCCTCTCATTTTTAATATCAAGTGGGAGCTAAAGCACCAGAGAGCTCTGTTCTGAATGGCTGGTTCTGGCTTTCTGTCTCATGGTACTTCGCACTCAGCATCCTGCCTATATATAGCATGCGTCTTAAAACATCCATCATTAGAGACCTGCAGAGACTGTTTGGAAGTTTGTGGGCCCACAAATATAGCATTCATCCCAGGATATTTATAACACCTACTCTGCTCTCTCTCAGCCACTCCTGCCTCTAAATGCTGTCTCCCATACTATTTGAATAAGATAAAATAAACCCCTTTCTTTGAAGATTCTAAGTATTCTCCAAGAAACAAGGAAGACCAGGGAATACTCCCAGGCAGGAGAGACCCTCTAGCAAATGTCTCAGGCTTATTCAAGACAGATCTTGGCACTGGTGAACATAGACAAAATCTTTACAAAGACATATATTAGTAAACTTTGTGTCTCTGATTTTTCAAATGTGACAAGATCAGAGTCTGCATGGACGTGGATGGCCCCTCCTCAAACGCCCCACTCTGGCGTCCCCTGGCATCACCCGCATCCTCGGAAGCCCGACTGTCCTCCAATACGGCCCTGGCCAGGTGTGGACGTGCTGTTGCTCCTGACGGCTAATTACTTCTCCTGTCAGCGCCATCTTGGTGTGCTACCTAATGTGGTTATTTCCAAGATGATACATCAAATCTTTTGCTGCAGTAATGGTAGCTTCTTGGAGAACTATGTGAAACAAAAACCTTAATGAGGACTCCTGCCTTCCATCTGGAATGTCAAAAGGCAGGAAGCACCTCGTTCTTGCCACACAACAACAGCGATGGTGGGACATATGCGGAGTCACAACTTTTATTCTGAATCCATAAGAGAGCTGAGGGCAGAGGCAATAGATCAACTCGAAATCCGAGGAGCAATAGGTGCCTACAGGGAAAGACGGACACATTTCTCTTGCTGGCCGGGCGGATGGCAGCAGACAACCGCCAGGAGGGTTCAGCTACGTTGTTACTGAACAGCTGAAGGCCACGTGTCGGCTGGCGAGGGGACACAGGAGCCCGGGTGCTCTGGAACAGGGGGACTGCTCCCATCCATGGGCTCTTAACTATGCATCTCACTGGGTGTTCACAGAAACATTTGGCAGGCAGGAGTCCCAAGGCAGCATCCCTCAAGGTGCGTGTCGGGGGAGGAGGGGGTGGCAGGGACCAGCATCCACTGTGGGGAATCCCATCTCTCCTATGGAGCAAGGCCTCTAACCGCTGGGGAAGGCCACACACACGGTCCCTCTTTGGGGACTGAAAGATGCTGATTGCAGATGGGAGAAGAGAAAACTTAGAACAAGCTACCCCCATTGAAAGCAAAAGCAGTAGCAGTGAATTATGCGTTTGTAGCACATGTAAAAGTAAAATATATGAAAAAGTAACACAGAGGGTTGATAGGAGGAACTGACTGCCAAGGACGAGGAGGTCCACACATGCAGCAATGACACACTTTCAGGGGGCCTTAACCAAAGACCTGTGCTGCAAACACTAGAGCAAATAATGGAAATAGTATAAAATGAGATATAAACCGTAAGCTAACAAAATAGCAGATTTTATCTAACCACATCAATAATTACATCAAATAAGCAGGCTATAGACATTGATTAATGGAGTTTATCATATTAGATAATGAGTAAGTCCTGACTGTATTCTGCCTACAAAAACCCCACTTTAAATATAAAGAAAAAGATAAGTTAAAAGTGAAAGGGTAGAAAATGATGAACTATGCAAGCACTAATTTAAAGAAAGCTGGAATCGCTATATTAATTAATATCAGACACAGTAAATTTCAGAACAAGAATATTACCAGGGCTAAAGAGGGGGATTACTTGATGGTGAAGAGTCAATTCTCCAAGACAACAAATACAAATCCCGAATGTGTCTGAAGTTAAAACTCGAAGTTCAAAATACTTATAGCAAAAACTGGTAGAACTGCAAAGAGAAGTAGATAAATTCAAATTATCTTTGGAGATTTCAGCAGCCCTTTCTCAGTAACTGGCAGATGTACTAAACAGAAAGTTAGAAAGGTTAGAGAAAAACTGAACATGATCAACCTCAATAGAATTTAATAAACATTTATAGAACACCCCATTTAAGAACTTACATATTCTTTTCATGTTCACACACTTACCAAGATAGACTATATTCTAGTTCTTCAAACAAGGCTTAATAAATTTAAAAGGATTTAAATCATATGATGTATGCATGTTCTTTGACCAAATGTAATTAAATTATAAATCAGTAATCTCAAAAAAAGCTAAAATGTTTGCAAATTGAATGAAACACCGCTAAATAACCCATAGGTAAAAGAAGACATCATACGGAAAATTAGAAATTATTTTGATCTAAATGAAAATAAAAACACAACATATCAAATTTCTGGGATGTTACTAAGGCATTACTTAGGGAGAAGTCGATATCAATATGCATTCACATTGGAAAAGAAGAAATGTTTCCAATCAGTCACCTACACCCTAAGAAACTGGAAAAGGGAAGCAAATAAAATATGAAGTAAACAAAATAGTGGGAATGTAAAGATCAGTGAAAACAAATAAAATAGAAAAAAGGAAAGCAGTAAGGAAATCAGAAAAAAACAAAAGCTGATTCTTCAAGAAGATCACTAAAATTGTAGAATCCCTAGACAAAACAATTGGGAATAGAAGAGAAAGACAGAAATTACCAGTAGCAGATAATAGAGGTGGTTCTACAGGTACCCAAAGGAGAATAGGGGAACATTATGAATAACTGTATACCCATACATTTAACAAATTAGATAAGATGAACTACTTTCTTGAAGGACACATAGTTTCAAATTTTATGCAGGAAAAAAATTGAACAGATAACTTTAATAGCCCTATGTCCATTAACACAATTGAATTGTAATTTGGAACGTTCCCAGAAAGAAAATTCCAGGACCAGGTGGCTTCATGGGTGAATTCCATCAAACATACAAGGAATAAATAATACCAGCTTTAGATAATGTCTTCTAGAAAATCGAATAGAAGGGAATATTTTTGTACTTGCTCTATGAAGCCAGCTTTACTCTGATACCAAAATAAAGACATTACAAGAGAAGAAAACTATAGACCAATATTCCTTAATAAGACAAATGTAAAAATTCTAAAAAAACCTTAGCAAATTGTATCTAAAAATGGATTGTATACAAAGATGAATAAGGCCACATGGTCAATTGGAGTTTTTCCCAAGAATGTAAATTTTATTTAACATTTAAAGAGAAATCCAATATAATTCACCATATTAACAAATAAAAAAGAAAAGCAATATGGTTATCTCTATGGAAGCAAAAATATTATTTGACAGAATCTGATATCAATTCATGATGAAAAACTCTCAGCTATCTAGAAATAGACGGGAACGTCCTCAACCTGATAAAAAGCATCTATGAAAAACCTACAGCTGACATCATACTTGATGGTGAAAGACTGTTTATTTGTACGTGTTGGCAAGGGAAGTTTCACGGAAGATGGGCTAGGGAAGTCTAGACCTCACAGTAATTATGCACTTGTGGCCATTTCATTTTATATCTGCATTTATATTGGGAAGAGCAGATCAACCAACCAGCTTTTGCTGATAAATGATCAACACGTTCATATATTAGACCTAGGAATTTGGGTCTTATTGGTTTATTTTTTAAACTGCATTCATCAGGACCATTTGTACATCCAAACTATGTTTAAAGAAAAGTAATTGGCCTTCAGAGTAGCAGAGTAAACATAAGCATTATATGTCACTGCCAAATCGAACAAAAACCATCTTGATATACTAAGACCTCCTAATAAGTGGAGGGGCTTTCAGCTAAATAAACAGCTTAAAATACACGCTACAATAATGGGAAGAGTGTGAGCTTTTTGGGGGACAGACAGTTGTATTCTCTTGAGCTATGGCCTCCTCAGTCTTAAAGCAGAATTTTAAAAAGCTCAGCAGGGTTCATGGAGATGTCTGTAGAATTCTCAGCAAATGAGGGCTGATACTTTGGATATGGTTGGTAAGCATGGTCTGGCTTACTGTATGCCTGGGTGTGTCATATAGATGAACCCGATGTGAAGACAAGTTCTCTGAAAAGAAATGTGGAGGAAAGAAACTTTATTCAAGTGAAAGGTTTGCAGACTGGGGAACCTTTGGTGTAGAGGCACATTCCAGAGCAGACCAAAGGGAGGATCTGGCTTTTAAAGAGAAAGTTCTCACCCAGGTTCCCAATCAGGTCTGTTTATGTAAATGAAAGATTCAGCCTTGCTTAGTTTAGATCAGTCTAGGTAGCTGAGCTCTGGTTCATTGGGGCAGCTGAGCTCTGACTGGTTGGTTTAGGTGAGCTCTGACAGTTCCCAAGTTGAACAAAGATGTGAGTTTTCAGGGAATTCAGCCTGTGTGACCTCCAGTCACCAAATGGCTGCTTGTCTCTTTTTTAAATTTAGGCCCAGTTAGCCACTTGCCATCCATCTTGAAGAATCAGCTCTTTCGGGTTCACAATTGTTCACCAATTGTGGTTTGTGGTGTGTTTAAGAAAACCCAAACATGTAAGTCTAAATTTTAAAAATTAATAAATTGGGAACGACCATTTACTTTATAAAAAATGGCTTTTATAAGCGTTGTTTAATCATGGAGCATTAAATCATGATTTGATTTATACATACACAAATTTTGAGAGATATATGAATCACACCAGAAGGGCTCATATCTGTAATGGAACTTTATATGAAAACTGTGTACTTGATCATCAACCAACAAATGAGTTGTATTGGCAAAGTTATGTGAAACTTTGAATAGATTGATTTAAAAGTGGGACTTGTAGGGTGCTGTCCTTGTTATAAAACAAGCAGACATCAGATAGAGGATGTCTTTCATGACTGCCTGCTTCTTCTCAAAATCAGTGCCTGGAAGAAAGTTGCACCCTTTTCCTTTGACCTCCAGTGGCTACTGTGGTCATTGGGCATCAGGGCCATTCAGCGCAGATGACATGGAGGGGCTAAATAAAATTGCTCTCCAGTCCTCTGGGACAAGACTAATATTTTTTGGCAATTTCAGATTGACTGGTAGACAATGTTTTAGATACAACTGTCAATTCAGATCGCAGTCAACCCATTCAAAATACATGCAATAAGCAAGTTCTCAGTTGAAATTGACAATTTCTAGTGCCTATTTTGCTAAATTGTGATCTTCGTTCCAGAGCATAACAGTTATCTGTTATGGAGTGTGGCGGTCTCATTAATTTATGCTTAGAACTGCTCCTGACAGTGGATTGTCTTTGGCTTCCAAGAACCTTTCATTGACTGTTTTAAGCTTTAAACAAAAATACTACCAAGGTAATGTGTGTCATCTACTCTGTACTCTCCATTGACCCTGTTTCTTATACTTTCTAGAGGGAATGAACCAAAGCATATTTACAAAAGGGTCTCTATCAAGGCCGGGGTGGGGGGGGACAAGAGAGAAAGAATAGCTTAGAAATTAAGTCCCTAGGCCGGGCGCGGTGGCTCACGCCTGTAATCCCAGCACTTTGGGAGGCCGAGGCGGGTGGATCATGAGGTCAGGAAATCGAGACCATCCTGGCTAACAAGGTGAAACCCCGTCTCTACTAAAAATACAAAAAAATTAGCCGGGCGTGGTGGCGGGCGCCTGTAGTCCCAGCTACTCGGGAGGCTGAGGCAGGAGAATGGCGTGAACCCGGGAAGCGGAGCTTGCAGTGAGCCGAGATCGCGCCACTGCACTCCAGCCTGGGCGACAGAGCGAGACTCCGTCTCAAAAAAAAAAAAAAAAAAAAAAAAAAAAAAAAAAAAAAATTAAGTCCCTTCAAATTAATTTGTGCAGACACTTTGGCTTTGGATCAGATTATCAAAGTGTTTAGCACTTACGGCTCAGCTTCCAAAATGTGCATGCCCAATTTAATTAGGGGTAATTTTCATTCATTACGCACTAAAGGCTGGTTAGGCTGGTGGTGGCTCAAAACTCTATTCTAACAGTGATATTATATGAAAAGCCCATAATGTCACAATGAGTTCACTCAAAGAAGAGCTGCCACCTAGGTAAGTGAGGAGACAGTAGCAGCCCCTCCCTGGCCGACCCATCCCTGGGCTGAAGAATGTAAACCATCGGGATTGGATCTGACATAGCAAGTCAAGGCCTCTGCGTCCCCAGCATCCCTGGCGTGCGCGTCTCTGTCGATTAGAGACCAAATCTGCTGCAGCTTGGATGTTATTATTCGTGGGGGGGTCATGAGATCCTTACGTGATTCCAGGGCGGGGTACTGTGTTCATGCATGTATGTGTGCATGCATGTGTGTGGTATTTGGTGTGTACACATGTATGTTTATGTTTATGTGTGGCATGTATTTGTGTTGTAAGCGCAGGTGTGTGTGGTGTGTGGTGTGTGGTGAGTGTACAGTGTGGTGTATCGGTACATGTATTTGGTACATGTGTGTAGTATGGTGTATGTGGTGCATGAGTGTGAGTGTATGGTGTGTTTATGGCGTGTGCCTATAAGTGTCTGTTCATGTGTGATGTGTATGCAGTGGTGATGTGTCTGTGTGTGTTGTGTGTGTAGTGTAGTGTGTGTGTTGTATGTAAAGTGTGTGTGTATGTTTGATGTGTGGTATATGTGTGGTGTGTTTATCTGTACATGTGTGGTGTGTGGTGGTGTGTGTGGTATGTAGTGTGTGGTGTGGTGTGTGGTGTGTGTGTGGTGTGTGGTGTGTGTGGTGTGTGTGTGGTGTGTGTGGTGTGTGTGTAGTGTGTGGTGTGGTGTGTGGTATGTGTGTAGTGTGTGCTGTGCGGTGTGTGTGTGCTGTTCACGTGGTGTGTGTGTGTGTCGTGTGTCGTGTGGCGTGTGCCGTGCGTGTGCGCACCGTGGGCGGGAGGCGAGAGGAAGCGCAGTGGGAGCCGCGGGCAGGCGGTCGCAGAGGGGCCTGGGGAGGCGAAGCAGCCCGGGTGGGGGCGTTCGCTGGAAACGGGGCCCCTCTGAAGGGCGTGGGCAGCCGGTGCCTGCAGAGCGTGGAGAGCTGCGGCCGCCTCACCTGACACAATTGGGCAGCGATTTCTCAGGTCCAAAGAGCGGACCCCGTGGGCACTTTCCTGACGGAGGACTCGGCTCCTGGGAGCTCCGGCAACATCAGCGACAGTGGAGCCCGGTCTCAAAAGACCGACCCGGCGGCCTGAGAAGAAGGAAGGAGGCCGAGGCGCCGCAGGGACCCTGGCACCTGCCCCTGACGCAGGAGTGGACGCGAAGGGTGGGCCTGGGGCGGAGGCTCGGGAGCGGCGCGGAGGTGGGAGTTGGCAGCTCCAGGCCGGCGCATGTGGAGGAGAGGAGGGGGCCCTTCCACGTGACTCCGAGGTTGGAGCCCCCCTGACTGGGGGGCGGACAGCAGGTGTTCACAGAAGGCAGGAAGAGCTGGAAGCTGGGGTGAGCCAGCTCATGCGGGTTTCCGGGGGCTGTGCAGGTGGAACCATCTAGATAGCTGGGGAGTCTCACACCCAGAGCGTTTTAGACCCAAGGTGGCCTTCATGGCTCCCACGAATCCCTTCACGGTTTAGAAGAGATCAGCTCAGCAACGACGAATGCCTTCCCTCAGTTGTGCCAAGGGGGCAGCGCCAGGTCTCCTGGGTCAGAACCACGGGACAGCCACGGGCATTCTTAAGGCTGCCAGCCTGTGGGTGTCACCTGGTTCAGCCACTTTCGGAGGAAGTCGGTGGGGGACAAGACCCACTTTTGCAGATTTAGAAAAGGAAGGCAGAAGTGTCTGGGCACGCGGGGAAACGCAAAGACCTGCTGAACCAGTTCATTTCTAATCAAAAGGAGCGCTGGTGTGGGGTATGAAGGGCACGTCTTCATGCCGTGTCGGCATCTGCTGTTAGAAAAACCTTGAGTTCTATTCCCACCTATGAGTGAGAACATGCGGTGTTTGGTTTTTTGTCCTTGCGATAGTTTTGGACACAGGAAGGGGAACATCACACACTGGGGCCTATCGTGAGGTCAGGGGAGAGGGGAGGGATAGCATTAGGAGAAATACCTAATGTAAATGACGAGTTAATGGGTGCAGCACACCAACATGGCACATGTATACGTATGTAACAAACCTGCACGTTGTGCACATGTACCCTAGAACTTAAAGTATAATTAAAAAAAATAATATATATATGAAAAACCTTGAGTTCTGTTTGGACAATGAAAATGTGGGACAAACTCGGGTGAGGAAATTCCGTCCAGCTCCCCCGTTTCACAGGAACATCCCAGAGTTCACAGCACAACCACTCCTCCTGCCTGATTACAATAGGTTGATCGGAGAAAGAAAAGGATGATTATCTCCAAAAAGGATTTGGTAGACAAAATCAGTTATTTAATAAGCGCTTGCTAAAGCGCTGTCCATTTTACACTGGAGAGCTTTGCAATAACGCTCTCGCGGAATTCCTTAGGATGATGGCTTTCCTGGGCAGACGCTCACGTGCTAAGTAACTTGTCCAGGGAAACGCAGGGGGATAATGGCAAGGTCTGAACGAAGCTCCTTCTCCCTGGAGTTTTCATCTAGTAGCTTAGTGTACTGAGCCAGAACGCTTCCCTACATGAGTTTCTGGATTAAGAATTGATGGTGGGTGAACGCGTTAGAATAAAATAATGCAATGCAGGAATACATTTTCTAAAGGCTACATTTCATTAAGCTTTAAAATCCAAAATAGAAAGCATCTAAAAATATATTGTTTGCTTGTTTAATTTTTTAATTTGTATCTGACTTGAAACCAAATAATTACATTTTACTTTAGAAAATGAGATCCCCACCGCTCGGCACAGCTCCATTTACTCGGATGTTTCCATAGAGAGAGAAGGAAGACAGTGACCACTGGCTTGTGAACCCGTTCACTCAGAAGTCACGGCCTGTGTGCGCTTGGGACACAGTCGAAGTCTGGCCTCAGATCTAGATACACTGTCATAGGGCTACCTCTGTTCAGAGCACAAATGTGCCACACTTCATGGCCGGCTTTGAGAGACACAGAGCCCAGTGTGACAATCTGGCTTTGGATTTATTAAATGGTGCATTTTTTTCTTCCTTTAAGCCCCACTCATCGGATGGTGTTGAGTATCTACTATGCACCAGCACTAGAATAGACACGGGGTCCCCAGTGCTCCACAATGCACGCATGTCCTGGCCTCACCGCCACGCGTTTGTTCCTGCTTCCACACCAAAAGAATGCATCAGCGGGGCTCAGAACGGGACAGTGAGCCCAGCATTCCTGGGAGGGGGCTGGAGTGGCATCTGCGGGGAGAGAAGGAAGAGCTGTGTGCTGCTGGCCAGGACACCCTGCTGCCTGTGGGGCCCTCATGGCAGCCTGCAGGACTGGCCACGTTCTTTAGTGCTTTTTCTGTCCTGCTGTGAAATTAAAAAGAAAAAAAAAATACATCTTTTTTTATGCTCTTCTCTTCAAGTCCTGAGTATCACAAAAAGTCCCCAACTCCCAACTTCAGAAGAGGAGGTTAAGTGCTGATGAAGAGTGAGATATTATCTTTGAGAAACAAGAAAATCCGTGCTAAGAAGATGAAGGTAATTGTTGCTGTCTGAGCATTCTTTAAATATTTTTTTCTTCCAATGGACGACTTAATATGCATTGCTTAGATCCTACAAAGTTAGTTAAAAGAGCAAAAAAATTCATCCAGTTGTGCCGCTATGATAAGGTTAAGATTTAATATTTCTCCTATACCTTCTGTAGGGAATAGATTCTGCTGTCTAGTCAACATCTTGACGTATGAAATACATTTTTGAATAATTTAAATGTGGAAAAATGACAAATCACTGTGAACAAAACCGAGTTCAGTTTTCAGAAGGCAGACTTCTGCATCTCTGCATTTCCAGTGCGGGATCTGTCTCTCTGTCGAACTCTCTGCTGGGTCATGAGGGTCAAACCAGAACTCAGCCCATCTGGACGAGCAAAGCCACGGAAGAGGCTCCAGCCGGTCTGTTCGGCTCTCCTCGTTCATAAACCATCTCTTAATCTTCTTTTTTTCTTTTGCAGACTGTAAACCAAAAGTGCTTTTGTCTTTTGCTAAATAAAATGTCACAAGGACACACAGATGGGAGTGGGGAGCAAAGCCATGTGCAGGCGGCTCTTCACCTGAGCTCACTCCATGGGCGTCCGGAGACTGACCACGTTGCTCCTCTGTCCTTGGTTAACGGGTGTCTGGGGCTCAGCCCTGCAGTCAAAGCTTCGGTTTGCCGAGGGCATTTTCCCTTTGCAGGGGTGGGTATTTTGAATGTGCACACACAGCGGCAGGACACATACTTTAGATCACAAAGGGATTAGCCAAAGGCGGCATCTCCACCTCCAGACTGCACAGAGGGAGACAGACGAAGCTTTGGAGTGGGGAGGTCTCCTCACAGTCAGCCCTCATCCTCCATTCAAATCTGGTGCCGAGTTTATATTATGAATAAAAGGACCTAAGTTGCTTTTTCTAAAACTGCTAATAGCGTGCGTTTAAAACATTCCCTTTTTCAGCAGTTATATTTACTATTTTTATACTACACAATAGTCTAATTATTTGCTGTTGGCCAACAAATCATCTCAGAGTATGCATCTGTTTTAAGATAAACAAGGAACAACAGACTTCCTGGTACTTTTAAGCACAAATGTTGCATAACACAGAGGCTGGGCAGGTTTCCACTGATTACTGTACTGACAAATAATCTTTGGAAATTTTGAGCTTATAATCATGGCCAAATTGCTTAATTCATATGCAACATCACTAAAGGAATTCAGTTTGGGGATTTCTTTCCATTTAAGTATTTAAAATTTGTTCTTTAATGTAGCTTCTTCTCCAGCCCCTTAAAATTAACCAAATCACAGAATGATTTCTGAAAATAAGGTGGTACCAAAATCTGAAATTTAAAAACACAATTTCATTGTTGAAAAATTCAGCACTGTGATTGTGCCTGCTTTGTGCATGCAATAAGATGCATTTCTTCTTTTCCAATATTTTTTTCTCTTTAATAAGTTTTCCAATATTTAATTTGGCTTGATCTTATTTTTAATATTTTTTACACTTTCTCTCTAAAGAAAAAAAAGGCGAGTGAATATCGTGATGGGTGCAGTTATGCTGAATAATTGGATGGGAGGACGTGCCAGGCGATCTCCAGCCCCTGGGAGCCGGACGCCCACGCCTCCCTCTGCCTCGTTCTCACAGACACATTTGTGGGGTGATTAACTCAGGAATTCATGCTGCTCAAAGTAACTACAGTGGTGAGTGTTTTGACCGGTTTGATGTAGAAATCAAGGAAAACACCAGAAAAATCAGGGGCGGAGGCCCAAAATCCCTGGCAGGCTTTGGGCGGGTAATAAACACACGGCAGGCTATAAAAGCAGGTGATTTAAAGGAAGGCAAGTGTTTCAGCACAGCTGGTATTTTAAAATCTGACATTATTTTCAGTATTTATTTTAAATCTCAATGCTTAAATTGATTTAAGAAGGTCAAAGAATATGCTCCACTTTCCCTCTCACATGTAGAGAATCAGGATGACCCTCAAAAATAAAGAAAGGAAGAATTGCCATTCGTTGGCTTTGAAAAGAGGAAGAAAGTTATGTGCACCGTCCACCGAGGAATGAATGACACCCCGATTCTGAGCATCAAGGAAGCAGAAATGGGAAATAAAATTGATGCTGTACGTGAATTTTTTCCAGACAAGCTTGTCCCAGAACCAGGTGCTCACCCAGTCCCTTGGAGGATGGCGGGCTTTAGTGACCGTGGCTGCAGAAGCACCTCTCGCTTCCGGGCTGTACTGTATGTAAACTGAGGTGTGCATTCTTACCGCTTGTCAAAACAATCCTGAAATCCCATTTTCCTTTAATAAAGTATAGTTTTGTCCTCCAGATGTATGCTTGAATAAGATGTCATACTCTGTTTTTGTTCCGGATTGCACCCTGCTGATGTTCTTAGGCAGCAAGAAAATTACCTTATTGAAACATATTGCTGGGAGTGACGACGGTGCCAAATTTTGCATTGGTATTACACACATGACATATTCAGAGACCTTTGAGTAAGACTATGAATATCAAGTGATTGAAAAGATTATACAGGCTCGGGTTTTTTTCTTGGGGTATAAAAGGTTGTGGTTCTGGATGAGTGTCTTTCAGATCAATATAATTATGTCATAAAAACATGTCACAAAAGAGTTTACTTCACAGCCTTTCACACTTGCCTGCCTTCACACTGCTCGGTATTCTGTGTGGAGTTGCCTCTGGTAGTGGCATTCGTCCTGTGGGGGTACGTGTTTACAATTCCTGGTTTCCCATGCACACACAGGCCTTCTGGATTCCGTCTATCATCCAGTGAATAATTCCTGACATCCAGGACTCAGTGGAGGTGTGGAGATGCCATCCCCCACTTCACACACGCGCACACACACACACACACAAAGGGAATATGTGGAAGTGTGGCTTACTGCTGTTTGAATAATCCTGAGGCTGCTAAAACTGTAGGTGAGAGGCTGAAAGAGAGGGTTGAGGGAGCTGGCTGTGGACTCTCTCTTGCCCTAGATGGACTTGGCCACACATGTGCTGATGTGAGACCCCAGGGTCGTCCCCCTCCTCCAACCAAACCCCCAAGGCCAGTCCCAGCGTCCTCCCCTTACAACATGGAGTTGCGCTGATCCCTGCTTCTGGCTCTGGAGAAGAGGCCCTGTGAGCCACAGTGCCAGGAGTGAGTGTCCAGCGGGAAGGAGACACCAGGGAGAGGGGACCCTTGGAAGCAGCAAACAGGAGTTGGAGGAGACTCACACTAATTTGTTCCTCTGGTCACTGACTACAGATGCTCATTAGCAATGGTCTCCAGTTAAAACAAGATCATCTGATATTGGAAGTCATTCAATTCTTCAGTCCACTTCTAAGTGGATGTCGAGTTCATGAATTCAAAAGTATAGTTTCTGGGCAAATATCTTGGCTTTTTTTGCAGGGAAAACGGGGAGGGGTGACATTTTCACCTCAAGACAGAATAATTTTTCTTTTAAAAGAACACAAACGCACAAAGGCAAGCTGTCCTCCAACAATTTCCAGCTTCTTGGTCCATCTAAGTGACACCCATCGTATTCATTACTTAAAGGAGGAAGTGAAATATTTAGAACCAGAAGTGTCAGACCCAAACAGGGGCTGTGCTTCCTGCCCAGCCGCCACCTCAGTTTGGCAGCCACCCTCCTTCAGAACCCTCCTACTGTTGATTTCTAAACTGCCCCATGCTCAGAAATATGAAGAGACAGAGAACCTTCCGGAACTGGAACTCTCCTCACTTTCCAGAGACAATTGAAACCCCAAATAATAGCTCTTGCACTTTGCCTGTTTTTGAAGAAGGTTTTCACTTTCTCTCTTTCTATTATGTCTCTCTGTCTTTATTCTCCTATTTCTAGCTCATTTGTTTCCTTTTTTCATTAGTTTTTGGTCACCAGGACTTGACTTCTCTGCCTCTCCCTCAGTGACCATTGCGAAAAGTGACGGGCGGTCAGCAGGGCCACTGTGTCTGAGAGAGGTACAGGAAACCCGGCCTCAGAGTCAGCCAAGCAGGCAGGACAGCACCTGCCATTTGAATGATGAGCAAAGAATTTTCCTTTTAGGAAAACAACCAGAATATAATTTAAATGCTCTATGTTGCTTTTGATCAACGCTTCATTACTCCATTAAACTAACCCACTAGAAAGGAAAGCTGTGATGAACACAGGAGTGTTCCAAACACCCTAGTTCACCACCCAGCAATGATCTTCTCCTGAGGCATCTTCCGGAACACGCTCTTCCTGTACATTGGCGGAAACATCCTCCTCCTCTTGAGCAAGTCTTCACGTGGCATGAATGGCATGAAATGCTCTTCCTCAGGACTCTTGCCTCACAATCTGTTTTGGTCAGTTTTGCTCAAGCACCTGTGAACACGGGTGGTTTGAGGCCAGAGAGCAAAAGCTTGCGGGCAACTGGGCTCCCTAGACAGCAGAATGCCCATGTGTGCATGAAGTTCGGCCCTCCACGTAAACATCTTAACAATAACATTCCCTTTCTCAGCACATGATTTTACGTATCCTGATTGAAATGATAGGGGAGAAAAGGCTGAACACAACTGTGTAGCTCATTCATTGCAACATCGACGGTCCGCGTTGCCACCGGTGCGGAAATCCCTCCCCTCGTGAAAGTGGATCCCTTCTTTGCCTTTCCTTCTTATAAATGTGTACATCACCCAGGATTATCTGCTCCCCTGTGTTTATTACTCCATTCTGTTCACTTTATAGAAATGAAAGTCCTCTCCATTACTTCCTCTGTTTCTAAGTGATGAATGCATTTCCTGGTGATTTTATTACATCGCTGTTTATAAAGGTAAATCTTTCCAGCAGATTCACTCCCCCAGAGGATGGATGAGTCCATCAGGGCCTTGCACGCGAGCCCGGCATGGACAGAGATGGTATCGCTCGCTCACTTCCTCCTCTGGTGAGTGTTGACTTGGGTCCGGTGCCCATATAGACATGGCAGGCATCATCTGTCCAGGTCTGGACCCTGAGCCAGCTGGAGGCTGGGAGTCCTGTGTGTCCTGCACAGTTCTGCGTTCTCAGTGCTCTCACCTTCTCCTTTACTTTTGTGGGTGATTTTTCATCCAAAACCCTGTGTATGTTTCTCACTATGTGATTAAACGTCCAGAACAGTGTTTATCCTCCCCTTCTCGATATCCGGACTCATGGAAGCCCGTCACAGGGCACGGGCGTTTCAACAAATGCTCCTTGTGTCTGTGCTTTTAAAGTCACCTCTGCTCTTAACGGCTGCTTCTGCACCCCCTCTGCCCCTACGGTTGGGTCATAAATCACAGTGCCAGCCCAGCCCCTCAGTTTTGCTTCTGACTTGTGCTACAACACGGTCGTGAAGACACTCCACGCGGGTACTTCCCCAGCTTTCCCTTCCCTAGAAATGCGGCTTCCGAGATTTCAGCACTGGCGCGGGCGTGCTGCCACACTCCTGGAGCTGGCTTTGTGAACACTGCGCAGAACTTTCAGAGTTGGTGGGGTCTTTCGTCATCAGTGGGAAACAGGACGTGGTGCAGGTCATGGGTGCCAGCCCAAAATGTGAAGAGGGCGGTGTTGCTCAGATCAAGAGGGTCTCACACGTGCTGCTGGGGAGGGGGTGAGGGGGGAGGACCACCACGGAGAGCTTAGAGCTGCACATAGGACTCGGGTGGGTGTCAGGGTGAGATTTCTGAGATAATGAGTCTCATTACACCTCCGAGGTTGGCTACCCAGAAACCCAGCTACCTTAGGGGGGTAAATATAATGTAAAGAGGAGAGGAGACTAGTGCGGGGAAATGAAGGCTGCAGCTGCTTCCCAGCACAAACGGTCCTGCGAGGGCACCCGCACCCTCCCTCCAGAACGCAGCCGCTCTCCCGGGGACGGAAGGAAAGTTCAAGCACCGGGGCCCTCGCAGTGGGAGACCAGTCACATGGGCGGCATCATGAAATTTTACTGCAAAATATCCTCTTTTTCTTATTTGAAAAGACAAATTATTAGCATTTTTAAACAATTTCAATATGTTTAATGGCTGAAAGTTAAGCTCAAACTGTTCCGCTTACTGAATAAAGTGCTAAGTCTGTAAACAGGAATCTTAAGTTACCCCAAGAGTACACTCATTTTAAATTTTACTTGAAAGCGGGATGTACGTTTATTACAATTTCAAACAAAATGCTAATGCCATTAAACAAATGAGGTTTAGGCAAATTAACTGCATTTTAATATTCTGAAAGCCTATGATATAGGACATTGTGTTACGAAACATTGGCTAGAAGTATCAGTTGCAAGGGGATTTTCATCGCTGTGAATCTCAGGAGAATATTTGTAATTAGTATCATTTGCCTAATACTTCAGGTTAATTAGAATATTTAATTGAATAGCTGTAATCTTCAGAGATGACTATATTATGATCAAATCAGCACCATCCCCACGCACGCTGATCACAGGGCGGCAGCCTGCCTCACTTCTGCTAGCTATTCAGCCCTCTGGAGCGTTCAGCAACATAAGAAAAAATCTGTTTCTTACACTTTTGAATTTTAATGATCCATTTGAACTCTGCCATCAACATTTAATTATTCTAGAAAAAAAAAAGTCCCAACCATGACTCCCATATGGCATGTTGGCAAATACTCTTGCCCACAGTGGCGTCTGCACCTCTCCCTGGCAGCTCCGAGAAGAGATTTAACACAGCCTTTTCTCCCCCTGAATGCGAGGGCTTCTTTTTTAATAGTGTTTGCAAATACAGACCAGATGAAGCCTCACAGAAGAGGTTCCTAGGATACTATTGAAGCGCTATTAGGAACAGATGAATTGAGTTTTAGAATGCGACAGTGGGTTTAATCCTGTCACGTTTCCGCTGGACCTTCTGTACGGTGTCCAGAAGGTCTGGGGAGTCAGGTGCCTGTTTGGCTAAACCCCGTTAGCAGGAAATGTCATATTTTTTTAAGACATGGAGGGGGGCAGCACTGGGGAGGGGTTTATACAAAAATCTTCATCCTGACTTGAGAGGTAGGGTCTGGACCCTCTTAAGTGGTAGGATTTCACCATATACACATGTCTTTCATATACACACGTCTGTACATGTCGGCATCATGTACCATCCAAACAGTTTGAAAATTAAAGGATCATCGTGGAGTGATTCAAGAGCTGTGGAAACGTATTTATGGCAACAACTACAGTTTGTCAAAAACTCAGACTCAGTCCCAGTGACTTCTGTAGCCTACGGCTATCCTATGAGCACGTCATGAAATCCTGTGAAGGGGAAGCTTCCCCGGCTTAGATGTGTGGATGCAGAGACATTTCAGAGCCCCAGGAAGTGCTTTCCCCAAGGACCAGGGCTCGGAAGGTCAGCTCCACGCAATAAGCCAAAAAAGGTTCAGAAGGAAACATGATTTAAATGTTGGGACAGTGTCCCATGGCATAGAGCCCCATTAGATTTCAGCCCTTTCAAATGGCTCGTAGTGTAAGTACTAAGCCCCTTCACAGGGAAGGGGGTTTGCAGGGAATGAGCAAACTGGGAGTGAGCAGGTGAAGGAGGGATGGAATCAGCTGATATTTAACAAAACAATGTGTTTGCATGACCATTATTAGTTTTCTTCCTAGATAATCTTTTTCATCCTTTTTGCAAGAACTATATATCTTCAGAGAATTCCAGAGGACACCAAACACACACCACACACACACACACACACACACACACACACGAAGGTGAGATTTTAAAATAGAGATCATATTTTGCTTTGAAATTAATAGAAGAGCTGAAATTGAGAATTGATTTTAGCCGTGCTGGTAAATACCAGTGAGAGGAGTTAACCATGGGGAAACGTCACCTAGAGATTTGTGTCATGATTTGCTAACAAGAGTTACAATAGCTGCTTATGGTTCACGGCACTGGCAAAATGCAGTTTTATTGGCACATGAATGGTTGGCAATATGATAAATATGAACAGTAGTGGTCACTAATAGTGAGTAACATATTTACCCAAATTCTTGAAGGTGTTCTTCATTGATAATAGATATTATGGAGGGAAAAAAAGTACTAGCTGTAAAAGCCGGAACGTCTTGAAGGAAAGAGGATGAATGATACAGCATAAGTCAGAGAAAATCATCCAGGAGTGTGAAGAGCCTTAATTTGAATAGAGGCAGAATAAGCTTTTCGCAGTGAGAGGGGGGCTGGAAGGGGAAAGGCTGCGTGCCGGTGGGCTGTCCGGAATCTCTGCTGCGTGCGAGTCACTGCTGGTGTAGCCGGCTGAGGACACAGAATTAAAGGAGTGGCACTTCCACTCAGACACTGATTACCACCAATTTTATTTGTAAATCTCTTCCAAATAATGATTTAAAATCCATTCTTAAGCAGCCATTTAAAAGCACCTTGAGAATACATTCTAATGGCTTAATGTGCTGCATAATTGAAGCTTTCTTGTATGAAATCTTGAAAAATTATTGACTACAGAAATCGTGCCTGTCATGAGAGAACGGAGTCTTGCATGATCTATGAATTTGAGCTTAAAATTTTTGTGTGCAAAACCAGTTCTACTTTTTGTGAGCTAGTGTTATATTTATATAGCTATTTCAAAGTATTCATAGGTATATTTTAAATTTTTTTCCACTCCTGAAATTTGGTGAGCATCTGCTGAAACCCATTACAGGCAATCGCTAATCCTGAGTAGCGACGCGGTGATGTACTGTCTTCTTAGTGGAGGTGCTCCCCACGCATGCAAAATTCTTCCAGAATTAAAAAATCTGCTCCACTAATTGTGGAACAAATTTTCCACAACCCTCTTTGAGAATCCAGCTCTAAGTATTCTCCCATCTATTAAACAGATGGCAGATAAGATTGTAAACATATTTGCTTCATATTGGATAGATAGTTTCTGGCATGATACTAATTAACAAATTAAATGACTGACTTTCTGCATCACGTTAGAGTTGAAACCACGTGGTAAGTTTGTCTTGGGTAGTTATTTACTTTGACAATAGCATGCAGTGAAACACTTAAATGTTTTCCCAGGAACATTATGCATTGAGCAGTTTTCTTTTTTAAAACTCCATATTTTATTATAATTCATTTGACTTTCATTACAGTCACTCATTACAAAATGTATGTGCATTTAATCCATCTCCGAGGGCTGCATATTTTCACATCCCATTCGCGATCATTGTGATTATGTCTTCGGTCTAGGCAAGGATGCGTGGAACAAGGCATTGCCTATTCTCGCTCCTCATATTTTAGGTGGGACTATGCAGGAAAGAGACTTCTAATGTACTGTAGTGGCAGCGAAGCTGTTGAGGAATGCTTCTGTTTAATTCATTTGGAAAGATAGCGTCTTGCTGTTCTGCAGCTTTGTGGATGCGAGTGAAATCAGTCCAAGCCGATTAGACAAGGCTGCTGCTTGTTATTCAGAAACACCTGAAAAGGTTGAGCTAATTGCTGTTCATTCTGGGCCCCAGTGAGCTCATCTACAAAATGGGAGCAAAAATTTACCCCCTCTTGTCATGGGAAGCATCTTGATTGTCAAATTTAAAAATGCATAGGAGAGGACTTTGGGAAGTGGATGTGTGGTTAGGGGCCCAGTAACATTAGGTGATTGTACCACCTAGAGGTCTGCACTCCGGAGTGGAAAGCGTGGGGAGGAAGAAATGGAGCAAATTATCTAGAATAATCTACATGCCTCAGTGCCCCTGTATTTTGTGGGAAATGAATTTCAGCCTGAATTATCCAGGAATTCAGGTTCCTTACCTCCATGTAGATAGTTTATATGCTTAGCCATAAAGAATATTTCTCTTTCTTTTTTTGGCAAGCTTTATAATAATTTAGAAAACAAACATTCATTTACAGAAAATAACCTGAGAAGTCCACATCTGGAGATAACTGCAAACGAGGGGCAAACCTGGGCAGAAACATTTGGGCAAAAAGACCCGGGACAGGGGCCGCACCCACCGTTACCCAAGTCATCTTTCTGGGCAGACTTGGCAAAGATTCACATTCAACCCATTAAATCACCAGGTTGTTGATCAGCAGTAGGCTACCTCAACAAATGAGGTGCACACAACATTGGGCAAAAATAATTTGTTATATGATCGGCAAAATGTGGCTCCGCATGCTATCACCGGAGACCTACAGTATAACCACAGCATTCCCAAGGGCAAGTAAAATATCCCTCTCTGGAAGTCAGTGGTATCATTCAAGCAAGAATTTCCAGCAGTCTGTAAACATGTGGGGATTGATGATGAATAGCTGGCTCAAGCAGAAAAGCAAACCCCAAATTATCTCATTTTCCTAACTTGTTCAAATTTCTGAAAGCAAGCAAAAAGATTCTACCCTCAGGTAATTCAAGGCAACACCCACCGTCCTGCATGCCTGGAACCCAGATTCAACATCTGATATGCATTCGTATTTCCACTTTATGCTGCAGGGGTAGTGTGAAGAGTGGATCATATGAGGCTTGGGAATATTCTCAATCGAAGGTTGTTTTTCTTCCTGCTCTGCGTACGCCTCAGTTGGTATGATGGAGCTGTGCTGGTTCAAGGGCTTCCTTCAGATGGCACCTTTGTAGACTGGAGAAAAATGGAAGCAATCCACCCAATGCATCATCTATACTTCAAGATCATGTGTATGAAACAACGTAAAAGCACCTTTCAATGGAAATTATTATTATTATTATTTGAGACTGAGTCTCACTCTGTCTCCCAGGCTGGAGTGCAGTGGCATGATCTTGGCTCACTGCAACCTGTGCCTCCCAGGTTCCTCCTGCCTCAGCCTCCCAAGTAGCTGAGATTACAGGCACGTGCCACCACACCTGGCTAATTTTTATATTTTTAGTAGAGACAGGGTTTTCCCATGTTGGCCAGGTTGGTCTTGAACTCCTGACTTCAGGTGATCTGCCTGCCTTGGCCTCCCAAAGTGCTGAGATTACAGGCGTAAGCCACTGCACCCTGCCATGGAAATTATGATTGAATTATCTGCATCTCATTATTCTTCTTTTCAATGCCAAGTATTTTTAGAAAATGTGCTATGTAAGTGATTACTTCAAAGAATAGACTGTCACGTATTGAGATGAATATGGTCTCTCCTACTTCTGGAAAATTTTTTAGAAAGTGGGACACACTGTCCTGATTAGAACCCAGAGGAAGGGGCAGCCAAGTTTGTGTAGCAGAAAGAGGAGAATACGCCAACGCATCTGACCTCAAGAGGGGGTGCAGTCGCTGCAGGCAGGACACCTGTGATCTGGAATTCCCTGTTCTCTCCACAGCACTACATTAGTCTCTGTGGCACACATCATAATGTGCTGGAAAGAAAGGTTTTTATCTGAAACTTGCATTTGAGTCTCAGCTTTACTGGGTGAAGTTTGCTAATTCATTCAATAAACCTGACCCCAATATTCTATACATGATGGAAAAGAGAATAAACGCTCTGCTTTCTTGGATAAAGTACTGGAAAGTACACCATGTTTATCCATTTTTATCAATTAACAGTTTTTTCTAATAAAATGTATCTTGAGTTTTGCTTTTTAAAAGATGTATTTGTTAAAGGAAGACATTTGTAAAAGTGTGCAACCAAAGTTCAGAGAGATTGTGTAATTCCCCATAGAGAGTGGACATTGTGAGACACTGGGAGTTGCTCAGGTAAGGTGGGTCAGAGCTCCGCAGGGCAGCCTCAGTTCTTAATTTCATGCTGAAGAGTGTGCTTAGAGAGCTGCATTAATTTCCTTCTAATGTTGTTTTTTCATAAAGTATGAGCAGGAAATGTGTGATGGTTTTGTTTGTTTGTTTTTTCTTAGAGTAGGGGATTGCACAGCAAGGACCGAACCAGGAGTTTAAAAAATCAAGTTTGCAGCCTGGCGCTGCCCTGATGCATGGTGTGCTCTCGAGTGAGTTGTTAGTTCTCCCAGGAAGACCCAGTTAATTTATTAAATGAGAGGCCTGAATTCTGAAATAGATGATTTTTAAGGTCCATTCAACATACATTTTACATTTAAGAAATTGGAAAAGGTCATTTTCACGAAGCGGTAATAAGAGTGTTGAATGACAGGCTAAGCATCTGTGTCCATCCTGGACGTATTTGATTTCCTCTCTTGGACAAGTCAAGTGTGCCTTTTGTAAGAAGCATTTAACTTCCTAGGGGTAAGAAGCACATTTTTATTTAAATATGATACAGGAAAAATGTGATTTCCACAAGTGATCCTAGCTTTTCACACTTTATCCATTCTTTTCCTTTTGATAAAATCCACAGGAAAGATCTCAAATTTCCACACTGATGCAATCAGAAAATAAAATGTTAAAATGTTAAATACACAAAGTAAAAAGTCAATGCACATGAAATCAAAAATTATATTTATGAACGCAAGTTGTTTTGGCAAATAAACCATCTTTGATTAGCCAAGTCAAATATCCATCTTTATCTATCTATCTATCCATCCATCTATCTAGGTATCCAACCATCCATCTATCACCTAACTCTCTCTGTGTTGCAGTCCATGCCCCCAAGCAATCAGAATGTCTGAATTTATATTATTTCCAATAATTGTCTCAGCTTTATTTTAAGCACAATATGAAATATGAAAAGTCTGATACTTTGGCAAATGAAAAAACAAACAAATGCAAACTTAGAAAAAAAAATTAGCTTTAAATCAAACACAATGTTCCTACATGTGGACCATCAGTGGTGTCCTATATACATTTATTTATGAAGAATTCCTGAAAGCAATAAAAAAATTCAGTAATAGGATTACCAATAGTAATAATATTTTCAAATGATTCTCTAGCGATTTATAATGAAAATGATAAAATAAAGATTTATTAATTATTAGAGGTTAGAGTTGTCCTTCAAATAATATTGCACTTGCTTGGGCAAGGTTTTAGGTTGATTTCTGTTTTTGGTTGTTGTTGTTGGTTTAACTAAAACAGTTTCTTCAGGATATCGAAGTGTGCTTAGAAGCCTACTTAATCTTCAAAGAATGATGAGGCAGATAACGTGCTACCTTTGGGGAAATAATTGACAGCTAATCAAAACTTTAAGGGAAAAACTCAAGTAAAATATGTCTATCAACTTAGCAAGAGATTTGTCTACTCATAACACACTCTACACTTCCTAAGTGGCATTAGTATGAAAATATCAGACGTCAGATTTGAATATGTTATTAAAGATGACACTTAGGGACCCTTGTAAAAATGATTCACAATGCCTTTTAACTTAAAATTTATTTCCATGAAATCAGAGAAGATCTAAAATCTAAGTGAAATAAGAATGGGAGTGAACAATTCCTCATATTTATAGAGAGGAGGAAAGAGACATAGTAATTCACAAATAGTCATCATTTTAATTATGGAATGACTGCTTTTGGACATAGAAGAGAGCAATATAATGATTATTGTATTGATTATTCCATAAAAATTTAAATAAGTCAAACTAAAATATAAATATATGATAAAAATTTAATTTGATAAAAACTTTAATAATATAGAGATGTATAAAAATTAGATAATTTGGTTGTTTAGGTTGTTTGGGGATATTTGTTTGTTTAGGCTTGAAATAACTACTATTTTTCTGAGATCTTCCCAGTAAACCAGACTGATTCCGCTTTACTCAAAACTGATTTAGCCAAGTCAGTTTCAATCATGGTTTAAATAATCTTTTTGTTCTTAATTATCTTCTGCAATTTTCTGTAAGTCCCTAATCTTTGTGTATTAAAAAACTGTACTTAAATTTTAAAAGAATGGAAACAACCGATCTCTTTAGGAAACAAAGTCAGTTCGGCCTCCCAGGCTTTCAGGTTTGGGATGCAGTGCATGGTTTTGCGGTTCGCACATTGCAACCCCGGCTGGGGTATGACTCACATGACGGCCTGTGGTGATGGCCCCTGAGGGTTGTTGAGACGAGGCCTGTGGTGCATGCTCACTCGCCCATGAGGCTGATGATACAGGAGACATGAGACATTCAGAATCTTCATGGGTGCAGACACACTAGGAAGTAACACGGTGCCTTCTGCAGCCAGGAGACCAAAGAGCTTCGTGGCCCCTGCATTGCCTCCCTCAGGCACTTCCCCCAGGAGAGGATGCCCATCTGCTGCCCTCAATACTTGTCCCACCCATTGCAGCCTGCCTTGGTTTTTACTTTCTCCCATTCGCACCCTGACGCCCTCCTCACACCCCCCAGTGCCACCATTGACAGTGAGGGGCAGGAGAAGGAGTCCTGAATTGGAATGTGCAGAGATCACATGGAGGGAGAGGCAGCAAGACAGTGGGGGAGGCTCCGGGCTCTTTTTAGCAGCAGCTTATAGTGGAACTAATACAGTGAGAGTTCACTCATTACCTTACGGACAGCACCAAGCCAGTCATGAGGGATCCACTCCCATGGGCCAAAGGCATCCTACTAGGTTCCAACTCCAATATTAGGGGTCACATTTCAACATGAGATTTGGAGGGTTGCATCAATGTCTTTTGAGCTTCCTTTCAGTGAAGATGTGCTAAAATGTTATTGCTTTACAGATTACCATCTCAAAATCGAATGTAGAAATTATATAATAATAACCAAAAGCAACTGAGTCAATTTTGTGCAGGTGATTATTCATTTACGTGAGTTCATTTTATTTATTCTTGAATAATTTGGTAACGTGTCCATGGTGCGTGGGACCTCATAGTGTATAAGAGAGGTAAGCTCTAAATCCAGGTCAGCTTGGTGCCGAAGTCTGCTCTCTTAACCAGTCCGCGTGTTGCCTTGTGGGAGTGTTTGGGCAGTTGACTGTGATAGTAAAAGCTTGGTTTTATTTGGGATTGCTACACAAATATGTCAGGACTGACTGCCCATCAGTGATGGAATGGTGCAAAGCCAGGCCAAGGTCTGGGAAGATGCCAGAGAAGAAGGAAGCAGGGGATTGGGGTAAGCAGGTTGTATGGGTCCATTCTCACGCTGCTATGAACTGCCTGATATTAGATAATTCACAAAGGAAAGAGGTTTGACACACAGTTCTGCATGGCTGGAAAGACCTCAGGAAACTTACAATCATGGCAGAAGGTGAAGGGGAAGCAAGGCATCTTCACAAGGTGGCAGGAAGCAGGAATGCCAAGCAATGGGGGAAGAGTCCATTGTAAAACCATTAGATCTCATGGGAACTCTCTCACTATCACTAGAACAGCATGGGAGAAACCGCTCTCAAGATTCAATTACCTGTACCTGGTTTCTCCCTTGAGGCAATTCAGAATGGGATTTGGGTGGGGATACAAAGCCTAACCATATCACAGGTACTTGGAAACTTCTCTGAGACCCAGAGAAGGATCACTCACTGCATAGGCCTGGGCAGACCCTTTTCTTTGTGACTCAAGCAGCTGATCGTTATCTTTACAATCCAAGTTCTCTCAATAGGTTTAGCTCATAGTGAACTTCTATTTGGAGGAGAAAGAAATTTCTCCACTCACAGACCTTGATTAACCCCACATGGAGAACTTAATATAGCTTCTCCTTTTCTCAAGTGTCAAGAAAAGCAAAGATTGGAATTTGGCCCAGATTTCCAAAAATTTTATTATGACCAACTTTGGATGATGAATATTTTAAAATTTTCAGAGGACAAATGCCAAAATGCAATAATAAGTGAAGGTTGCAGTGCAAAAGAAATGTTGTATTTGTAAAGCCTTAGGTAGAATTTGCTCTCTAAATAGTAAGAGAAATGACGCCGTCATCATGGGAGTGAAATTTCTGTTTGAAAACTGTAGGCTGTGACAAATTTCAATTTTCTTATCAATGCTCTTTATTTCCCATTTGCCAAATGACCTTTATTTTAAATAATTATTATTTTATGCAATATTTAACATTTAAATATTAAAGTAATAACATTACTTTACAAAACAATAGTATCATTATCATCTTCACCATAATCTCCTTATCACTATAAAGTCACGTGATGCAGTCACCCCAAATTTTCTTTTCACACTGTGTTCATTCTGTATTCATTCTGAAAGAAACCGGAAGCATATCTAGTGCAGACATCTCATGATTAAAACTATAAATAATTTTTAAACGTTTTTTCTGAGTATGATTAACAGATAAGAATGGAAGAATTATTTATTTAATGACTACACATGTTTCAATTTGTTCCTGTGATTTGAGGTTGTTTAAATTTATTGAATGTAACCGACCTTATAATAATGATCTATCCACCTACTCTGCTAGCTAAGTATAATTCCATATATTTAACTCTGTGTGTAGGTCTGAGCACTTCTTTAAAATAGATTACTGACACCGGAATTAATATGGAAACATGCAAGAATGCTGTTAAGCTGGGTGTATTAGTCCGTTCTCATACTGCTATGAAGAAATACCCAAGACTCAGTAATTTATACAAAAAAAGAGGTTTAATGGACTCACAGTTCCACATGGCTGGGGAGGCCTCACAATCATGGTGGAAGGCAAAAGAGAAGCAAAGTCACACGTTACATGGTGACACGCAAGACAGCCTGTGCAGGGGAACTCCCCTTTATAAAACCATCGGATCTCGTGAGACTATCAGAAAAACAGCATGGGAAAGACCCACCCCTGTGATTCAATTACCTCCCACCGGGTCCCTCCCAAGTCACATAGGGATTATAGAAGGTAAAATTCAAATGAGATTTGGGTGGGGACACAGCCAAACCATGTCATTGGGCTGAGTTTGGTTCATACTCACTAGTTACTGCCAGATATTGCCTAAGTTTTGTGTAGTATTAGACACATGGACAAAAATCAGAATTTCTACTTTAATAAGTGGTCAGATCTAAAAAAAAAAAAATTTAAAAATGAGTCCTATGTAATTGTTGCAAACATTTCCAGAATTCCTGTAACAAACACTTTCTACAAATCAGCATCCAGAGTGCTCCATGGTAAACTGATGCAGCATGGGGAGCTGACGTTGCACAGTTGAGTATCAGCTGTGACGGGCTCTAACTTTCTCTTATGGTGTTGGGAGACATGACCGTCTCTCCTGCCTTGGTGTTCCTTTAAGTGGTAATACGGCCTGTGAGACACAGAAACTGCTAAACCACCCATAGTCAGGAGCAGTGAGAAGCGTGAGAAATGAGGGGTCAGGTGGATGCAAGTGTGGAAATCAGAAGCTGTGAGTAATGTGAACTTCTTATCTACAGTGGCTTTGTCAGCTACTGTATGTTATGAGTCTGTAGCTCTTTATTTACAATATTATTAGTTGTTAATGCTTGATTTTTTTGCAATAATCTTTTTGGATCCCAGAATTTTTAAAACCACATATGTAATTTAAAAATCCAGTGTTTGGCTCCCACCTGTAATCCCAGCACTTTGGGAGACTGAGCCAGGTGGATTACCTGAGGTCAAGAATTCGAGATCAGCCTGGCCAACCTGTTGAAACCCTGTCTCTACTAAAAATACAAAAATTAGCTGGGTGTGGTGGCGGGCACCTGCAATCCCAGCTACTTGGGAGGCTGAGGCAGGAGAATGACTTGAACCCCGGAAACAGAGGTTGCTGTGAGCCGAGATGGTATCACTGCACTCCAGCCTGGGTGACAGAGCGAGACTCCATCTCAAAAACAAACAAACAAACAAATAAATAAATAAAATAAAAATAAAAATAAATCCAGTGCTGACTTTCCAATTTTCAAGAAATGCTATGATATGTGTAATTTGTACAAAATATTTAACATAATTTACCATCTCCTATGGAGGCAACAGTGATACTAACTTCACACAAATCTGAAAACACAAATCTACTGAAATAGTCTTAACCATCTTTCAGAAAAGCTAATTCTATAGGAAATAATTTGTGCCCAAAGGTAATGATTTACCCTATGCAGCTGTGGACGGGATCTTTATATGTTATTCCATGTAATGTGACTTTCCTTTCACATGAAATGATATTCTAGTAAGTTAATTTCAGGCATTTTTAGTCCCTTTTTTGTATACATGAAAGTGAAGCAACAGTTGGCTGGTTAGCAAAATCAACCTGCAAAGTAACCAGTGTTGTTATTGGTTTAAATAGAAAAAACAGTTGTTATCTTCAATAATGATCAACATTTTTATCCAATACTTTTATTTTCTTTAATCCAAAACTTTCTTAACTTCATCCTGTTAAAAGTGAATGATGTGATGTTATTGTTAATGCTACAAATTTTGACAAAATTTTAACATTGATTATAAAATTGTTTGCTTGGTGGTGATAATAAAATTGCAAATCTTGATGAAATGGGATTATGGTAAAAGTAGTATTCTTACTAAATTATGAAATATTTGAAGCATAAATGTATATAAAGTTGGTTGTGCCTGCATAATTCATGGTTGTATTCACAGAAGGTAAGATATTCTACTAATGGAAAGAGAAGTTATGGCTGTAAAAATTTAATAATATTTTATATTGTACAGAATAACTGAAATATAAATATTTTAAAAAGAAATTAACATTAGATAAAACATAATATTTCAGTATAATAGTATAGACCATCAGTATGCACTTCCTATCATCAGACACAGTGCTTGTTTGATCATTAAAGGCTCTTCTGTATGTCAACCAAAGCATCCTAAAATGATTTCAACTATTTAAAAAATAATTCCTCTAAACTATATTATATCTTGTGCAAAATTATTTAGAAATAGTTAATAAGACAATTTAACCAAAACTTTGCCAAAAACTTCAGCTTTTGAGCCACACTATTGCCTGGCTCCCAACTCACCCGCTCCAAACAAACAAGCAACTTGTAAAGAAGGCATAGAAACATATCCCCAAAAAGTAAGGCAGAAGGTGAACAAATTAAATGCTGAGAACTCAAAGAGTGTAGAAGATTTAATTTTGAAATTAAGTAATTGCATTCAGAATAAATCAACTTTTAATAAATGCCTTCTGATTCATTTTCTGTAATAATTAGATTCAGTTATATTCAGGGAAGAAATGAAATTGTAAAGCCCTGTAATTGCACTTCATCCAAATTTGGCAGAATTTACAAAGGAGTCATAGAACCTTAATTTCAGAGCTTTTATTATGTTTTATTATGTTTATTTTTTATTTTTCCTCCTGAATAGAAAGGGAAAGGCAGTAGCTGAGAAAACAGAGGCTTAAATATGTGTATATTTCAATATGAAAACATAAAATGGAGACTATCATTCATATAAGAGAATTTTTTCTGAACCTGTCATGCATCTCAGTATTTACAAAAAAACTGTCTTCTCAAAAAAAGGTTGTTGAAAAAAATCAATTGAAAATGTCAATAATTTCAAATTCATTAGTCATTAAATTCAATGTTTGGAGAATGATTAAGAAATATTATATAAACATTCAAAGTAATAAGAAGTTTTAAAAAATTTTCAGAATAATAAGAAGACTGGTAAAAAGACAGAGGTGCCTTAGAAATGGATGGCAGTCATGGACCTGTCATGATTCCATATGTAGTCATACCACTTAGGCTTATTTTGTGTAGAAATAATTAATATGTAGAAGAATTTTGTACAATTTGCTATAATGTATTATAATGTATACAGATATATGTAGTTTATATGTTTCAAAAGCTATTTTAGTCTTAACATAGTTTTTGAATTGAATTCTATTACAAGTTTATCCATAAAATTATACCAAATAAACACTTTATAATGATGTGACTTGTTATTTTTATCCTTTCCTTTTACTCTGAAAAATATTGCTGATTGCCTGATAAATTTCATGGTCATATACCTTTATACCAGACCCTGTTGCAGCAATATGTTTAAAAGAATGCACCCAGACTTCCGTGTTCAATTGGCATCTAGAGAGAAGCAAGAGACCTTGCTTCTATCCTGACCATAAGGATAGCCTGGACAAGCTACAAACCCATCAGAGGGCTGAAGGTGCATACTTCATGGACTTAAGTCTAGAAATTAGCCAGTCATTTCCAAGCAAGGAGAGAGCCTCAGCTCCTTCCACTTTTTGTGGAGCACCATATTGAAGGATTACGGGGAAACCAGTGGACTTCTAAACGGCTTTTGTTGGCTGTGTGTAGGCTAGAATGACAGTTCAAAATCCCAAGTCATCCTGAGTCACCTGCTTTCTAAAGGCGGGAGGAGTGCAGCAGAGACAGCTAAGCACAAGCAAGACAGCCAGAAACAGGACTGCAAGGAAAAGCAAACTCCCAGCAACCAACCACAACACAGCCTGTAAAGGAGAAAAAGGCCTCCTGTGATGCAGAAAGATGCACCAGGACTTAAGAACAGAGAGGCATTTATAGCTCTCCAATACTTAGAGCTCAAGGCCTACAGAAGGTAAATACCTGATCTTGCCTCCAAAACATCTGAAGTCACTGTTGATCAAAATCCAACTAGAGCTACAGCGAAGAAAGATGACCAGTTCAACTGCAGATTAGGTGAACATGTGCCCCACTTAATCAGCCTGACAGGAAAAGGGCATGCCATTTTCTAGGAAAATATTATTTATTTCAGTCTCGTCTGTTGTTTTATATACAATGTCTGGGACACAGTAAGAAATTAAAAGAAACAAGAAAAAGCAAGAAAATGTCACCCATGGTAAAGAGAGGAAGCAGTCAATAGAAGATGGAGAAGTTCAGGTATGGTATTATAAGTCATGAGCTTTAAAATTACTATGATATAGTGGAAAAGTTGGACAACATGAGTGAAAAGATAGAGAAGTTTACCAGGGAGATCAAAATGATCTCCCTGCTAATCTTTAAAAAAAATAAAAAGGAAACCTGAAGACGAGGCAATACAAATGATCCACACTAAATCACAAGTAATAATAATAATGGCAAAAAACACGAGGAAACACAAATGATCCACACTAAATCACAAATAATAATAATAATGGCAAAAAAAGAGGTAATACAAATGATCCACACTAAATCACAAATAATAATAATAATGGCAAAAAAGGTAATACAAATGATCCACACTAAATCACAAATAATAATAATAATGGCAAAAAAGGTAATACAAATGATCCACACTAAATCACAAATAACAATAATAATGGCAACAAAGATGAGGCAGTACAAATGATCCACACTAAATCACAAATAATAACAACAATGGCAAAAACAGTGATAACAAGACCACACTAAATCACAAATAATAATAACAATGGCAAAAACAGTGATAACAAGATTGAGACTTGAGATTTGTGAGGCAGTATCGCCTTAACATACACATAGTTAGAGATCCAGAAGGAAAAGGGTGGATAGGGCAGGAAAAAAAATCTATGAAAAGATAATGGCTATGATTTTTGAATATTGATGAAACAAATCAACCCAGTGATCCAGAAAATCCGTGAAACTCAATAAAAAATACAAATAAAGAAACCTACATCTGGGAAGACCATATTCAAACTGCTGAAAACCCAAGATAAATTAAAAATCTGAAAAGCAAAATAAACAATAACACAAAAGAAAACTGATTTTCAATGACAAAAATAAGCAAGAAGATAATAGTTGATAATAGTTTGACAATTTTAAATGCTGAAAGGCTAAAAATAAAGTAAAAAGAAAATTTACAGACCAAAATTCTACATCCATCAAAATGTTCTTCACAAAATACTTTTTTCAGGTGAAAGAAAATTAAAAGGGTTAATGGCCTGCAGACCTTCCTTACAAGAAATGGTAACATAAGTTCCTCAGACCAAAAAGAAATCACGCCAAACCTATAAGAAGAAACAGAACAAGAATGATAAATGTATTACTGTTCCTTTTACTTTCTTAATTTCTTTAAAAGACAGATGACCCTTTAAACCAAAATTTAATGCCATATTGTGGGATTATTATATATTAACAAAAGAACAAAGGACATTGCAAAGTTTTACATCGTATATGAAGCAGCACAATGATAAGCCCATGTATAGGAAGAAGGAAAAGAAGCATGTTGTAATCTATAGAAAATTAATAGAAAAGTCATGTAAAGACTTGTAGCTCAAAGTTAAACATAAGAATTAAATAAAAGAGACTACTAAAAATATTTCTACCAAAAAAAAGGCAGGAAAAAAATCAAACAAATACAAAGGTAGATGGCATGAATAGAAAACAAACATCAATATAAAAGCCTAAATAAACTTTCCCACATTAAATAAATGTATATAAACTAAATAGTGAAATTAAAAGACAGAGAATTGTGCCCAGCTGAACTCACCTAGTTCTGAATTTACTCTTGAGAGGAAGATGTGAAACCAACTCTAAGTCTGAAGCTGACTATGTAACTGTGAGCTCTCCGGATTAACTTCTGTACGTACAACAATGATTATTAAAATAAGAGGAATAATATGTGCTCATTTGAAGCTCCATATGTATCTATATATAATTTTTAAAATATATATATTTTTATTATACTTAAAGTTCTAGGGTACATGTGCACAATGTGCAGGTTTGTTACATATGTATACCTGTGCCATGTTGGTGTGCTGCACCCATTAACTCATCATTTATATTAGGTATATCTCCTAATGTTTTCCCTCCCCCCTCCCCCCACCCCACAACAGGCCCCAGTGTGTGATGTTCCCCTTCCTGTGTCCAAGTGTTCTCATTGTTCAATTCCCACCTATGAGTGAGAACATGCGGCGTTTGGTTTTTTGTCCTTGTGATAGTTTGCTGAGAATGATGGTTTCCAGCTTCATCCATGTAAACTCAACAGTTACAGCAGCAACTGTTTAGAAAGTAGTCCTACAAGCAGTTATTTTAAAGAAGGAAATTGAACAGAATTGCAGCCACAGAGAGACAAGGAAAGCAAGCATACTAAAGACAGCTTGTTATTAGTTCCAGTTTCTCTACAGCTGATGTACCTCCTCATTACCTGCAGCCATGATGGACTGCTCCCTCAGCCCTGCCATCAGTAAGCCACGGTACCATCCTCTTTACAACATTCTTCCTATCAGTGTCTCATACCTGTAGGCTCCACACGTCTATCACCTCTAAGTCTCACTTTAGATGTTCTTTCATGTGGGAAGGATTTTTTTTACCCTAGTATTTGGGTTGGATCCATTTCTAAAGTCCATCATGACCCCCTGTCATTTCTCTGTCATTGTTCCCATCATGTGGATTTTCCCTAGTATATCTAATTTCCTACTATTTAATAGGAGTCAATGGAATTCACTAGAAATTAATATCTGTAGGAAAGGAAATCCCTCTCTCTGTCCACACACATCTCTCTACTTTAAAACTTAAATGAAACATAAGACACAGTACCTATCCCATGAGGAACACTCAATTAGTGTTGGACAAATAATTGGTAGAGTAGAAAATATTATCAATATACATAATGGAAATAATTGATTAATATTTGTAGGAAAATAAGGAAGAACTCTTACAGAATTCAAAATAAATGAAAGACACATACAAGTTAAATGTTAAAAGAAAGCGTAAAAGAAATAGAGGAAAATCTGGGTGATTCATTATGTGGCAATACATGAGAGTGGGCTTTTTTGTCCTTTATACTTACGGTTTGTTTAAGTATAGTTTTACTCCTTACAATTTTTCTAGCTTTCACAGTTAGCTCTGTTGTCCACCTCAAATCATTTGTACACATGTGAAGAAGGGGAAGGCTTGATTGTTTTCCAATATCCAGTTCTTCAAGCACCAATTATTGAGATTTTAAAAAAGTTTCACCTCTGATTTGCAGTGGAGCCTTTGCTATAAATCAGGTAGCTGTCCTCATGTCCTCATGTGGGTTTTCTAGACTCCATTTTAATTCCATTGGCATATTGTTTTCTCATAGGCCAATACCAAGCTGCCTTACCTGCCAGAAATTTTATTAATTTATGCAATTTCATGGAGTCACTTGTCTTGTTTTTCATTGTGAATACTACCTAAGTAATTCTTTGGTGCTGCATTTGTTTATAAATTTAGAATCAGTCTGTCCATTGCCACAAAAAATACTGGAATATTGATTGATATTGCATTTAATGTATATCCAATTTGTAAAAAATGACATCTTAAAAATGTTGCTTATTAAAATTCATGAACATAGAATAGTCTCTATCTTTTAAGTCATCCTTAATTTCACTCAACAATGTTTTGGAATTTCTAGTGTAGACGTTTTCAAAACTTTGGTTATATTTATTCTAAGTACTTCTTTTTTTAAATTACATTATATATAATACTGTTTTTTCATTTTCTTTTATTTTTAAATGTTGGTAATAGAGACACTTAACTGATTTTGGATATTGACTTCGTATTCAGGAAACTTTTAACTTGTCATTTCTAAGTGTTTTTTATGGTTCTTTAGGTTTCTAGATACACAGTTATAACAACTTAGGAGAAAGATGGTTTTATGTCTTTTGTTCCAGTGTTAACATCTTTTCCTTTTCTCTTTCTGTTTCTTTGTTACAGTGCTGGGGTATCTATGACAACATTGAGCATAAAACCCAATGGTGGATGCTCCAGCCTTCCTCCTGATCTCAGAGTGAAGGCATCCAGTATTTCGCCGTGAACTGGATTATATCTACAGCTTTTTTGTAGCTGTCATTTGTCAGTTTGGGGAAGTACTTTTCTATTTTCAGCTTCTGAGAGTTTATCATGAACAAGTGTTGAATTTTATCAAATGACTTTGGGCATCTAACAAGATGACTATATAGCTTATTTTCATCCCTTTAATGTAATAATTTACATTGGCTCATTTTAAAAGTAAATAAATGAAAAACAAAGTTGTAGAACTCACTGTTGCCAAATTCAAGACTTACTAGATAGACACATTAATCAGGATAGTGTAATGAATGGTATAATTGTAGATAAAAGACCAACAGAATAAAATGGATATTCATTACACATCAACGGCTTTTCGGCAAATGTGCCAAGATGACTCAAAGGGGACAGGAAAGTCTTTGGGGACAATTAGACACGTCAACAATCAGTTTAAACCATTGCATGTCTTCCTATACAAAAATTCAGTTCTGGTAGGCCCAGACACAAAAGGTAGAACCAGAAACTTGAGATAGGCAAATATTTCTTAGAAGAAAACAAGCACTAATCATAAAAGGGGAAAAAAGGAAATATTAGATGTAATTAAAATACATCATTAAGAAAATGAATAAGCAGGTTACAGATTGTAAAAAAAATTGCAAGCCAAATATTTAATCCAATATACTTTTATTCAGAATATATAAAACTCTTAAATCAAAAATAGGAAGACTCAATCAAAAAAATAGGTAACAAAAATATATCACAAAGGAGATATAAGAATGTCCACTAGGTTTATGGAAAATATAAAGGAGATACTATTTCACACTTAGTAGAATGGCAAAAAAAAAATCAATAAAAACCAGAAAACCCAGACACATCTAATTTTGGAGAGGATGTGTGTTGTAAGGATTGAAGCCCTAACTCCTGAGAATGCAATTGTATTCGGAGGTACAGCCTTCAAGAAGGTATTAAGGTAAAATAAAGTCATCAGGATGGGTCTTAATCCAACATGACTGCTGTCTTTGTAGGGAAAGAGCGCAGAGAAAAGCCCACAGAAAGACACAGCAAGAAGATGGCCATATACAAGCCAAGGAGAGGCCTCAGGAGAAACCCACCCTCATGACACCTTGGCCTTGGACTCCCAGCCTCCAGGTTGGGATAAAATCAATGTTGGCTGTTTTAAGCCGCCGAGTCCATGTCTTTCATTATGGCAGACTGAGCCAACCAATACCTTGTGGAGCAACTGGAACTATTGTGCATTGTTGGGGGAGTTAAAACAGCATAGTCCCCTGAAGACCCAGTGGCCGCTGTGTTTAAAGTTAAACATCCACTCTGTCTCAGCAGTTCCACTGTAAGGAAATGCACTTATCCAACGGAAGCGAGAGCCCACGTCCCAACAATGACATGGGAAATGGTGAATCAACGCAGGCTCTTGATGCATGGAGTGTATAGGAAGGGGGCGCACTCAACAGTGGAATGAAAGCTGGAAGAATGGGGAGTGCAAAAAACGGAAGAAATAAAAATCCATGTATCAGATGAAATTGCTGTGAATAGAGGGAACATACAGAAATAAACTTAAGCATGGGCTGGTATTTTCTGACTGATTGGATGATGTCTTTCAGCCCCTCTGGTTCCCCTCCCTCCAATTACGTTTATATTTGTCAGAAATACAAAAATTGCGAGGAATGGCTGGACTAGTGAAAGTTGTGATAAACTATGGTTTGTTTTGCCAAGGACGCTACTACTAGTGACATCAATTGACATTTGGGAGTGTTGCCTAGGCTGGTCTGGAACCCCTGAGCTCAAGTGATCCACCTGCCTGGGTCTCTCAAAGTGCTGGGATTACAGGCCTAAGCCACCACGCCCAGACGATTGCTTTGTTCATTGTTGAATCCCACTACCTTGTACGTGATACTGCTCAGAAAGGTTTAATCTACCTGCTAGGATTCTGCGGATCCTCACTCATTCCACCATTGAGAGATTAAGGAAAACACAAAGAACAATATACTAGGAACAGGACCAAGCCAGGAATCCAGGTTTCCTAGGTCGGGGCGCTGCTCTAAGACTGTGGGCACATCAGTTAACCTCTCAGTCTCCGGAGTCTTAAGCATAATGGGATTCCCTCGGGGAATCCACAGTCCCTTCCAGTGAAGCCTCAGGTTCTTATAGGGTTTATCTGTTTCCTCATCTTAAGGAGAAAGAAACTATTTCCAGATAAAGAGAATAAACTAGTTTGAGTTGTTACAAGTATCCTACCTTAGTCATACTCACTGTAGAGATTTATGTAAAACTGCATCTCAGATTTGCACCCAGAATGCCGAAACACCCTAAAAAATTTCACCTGGAATTTTTAAACAGGACATCATGGAGGTGGAGACCGCAGAGGCCATGTAACCGTGACCTACTGGCTTCTAAATCTCACATCTCTGATCTTTTGAGAGAAGCACATGAAACGTACAGTAAGTGCTTTATTGCATAACCTCTCTGCCTCCTCTACGTTCCAACTTCAGAGGAGGCCTCTGCTGCTTACAGCCGCTTGAGTCTTGAAGACTCGATGGAGAGAGCCCAGTCTTCCCTAGATGGGAGCAGCTGTCTTGATTTTGCCTGTATTTGCGTGTGAGGTTCAAACGAGCCTCCTATCCACTGCTGTCACCGCCATATTGATCGCCAGACCATCTCCCTGGACACCAGGTGGCCCGGTACGCTGTCCCCGGCCCAGACGGCTCCAGGGGCAGGAAGGCCACCCAGCAGCAGGGGCCCAGGGCTGGGGCAGCACGTGCGTCCAGGCATCTCAGGCCCTGGACTGTGGCGAGGATCAATGCACCAGCGGGAGCCTGCGTTTTATCTGTGATGTTTTTGAACATAAGTAGGAGTAAGGGCAGATTGAGGAGGAAAAAGACGTTCTTGAGCTGCATTAGAGAGAATCATACTTGGGAAGCTAAGGGCTCGGTTACGGCTCATTGTTCTTTGACAGCCTTTCCTCCCTTCCCCTCCCTTCACCTCCTTCTCTTCCTGACCTCCTTTGCCCTGGGGACCTGTGACACCAAGGAGAATATTGCTGAAAGTCAATCATACATTTTCACATCATAAATGCGCTGACCAGGAGACGTCCAGTGGCTTTGCAGCCCCACCATGAATGATGAGCAATTCCTAGAACGTTATCTGAGATGCTCTGGTTTGCGAAAACAACACAGTGTGCTCTGAAATGAAAACAGCATCGCCCCCGTGTAAAGAGAGCAGGCGCCAGAGTGAGGGCGGGGGTGGGTGTGTGTTTAATCCGATTCTGCACATCTGTCTTCACACAGTTGGACTCCTTCACAAAAGTCACCCTAACTACCTTAACATATGTAGAACCAAATTAAAATTACTTTATCAATCTTGCATTTTCAGCTTTCCCGTCTTTGGGGTTATTTTCCATCCATGTGTTTCATTATTTCAGTAAAGTCATCTCATCTCCCTAACTGAGAGAAATCAAACAGTGGAAGGCGAGCTACATGGCCGAGCTGCGGTGAGGGTGGAGGAGAGGGAAAGGGAATGTATAATTTATAAGCATTTCAGGTTTTTGTGCACATTCTCTTCTTAATGTTCTGCAATATTTTTGTAGTCAACCATTTTTTCTTTATCTTTTCTCAAATAATATATGTTCCCTGAATTTGTTTCTTTCAATAAATTTCTTTTTGAGTTGAGGTGGGATTTTGGAGTAGGGTGTAAAAAAGAATCTCTCCTTAAATGTTACACATTATCTTTCAAAGCAGTGACACACCCCTAAAACGATTTTGTAACATTTTTTGTGCAGGTGCTTTTGCAACATCTCCTTGGAATGGTCGGGTCCAGCCCATTCTGCTTCTGTTGAGCCACAGCAGGTGAATCCGGGCAAAACGGGAAGAAAATGGAGCAAGCAAAGGACGCCAGAGGACGGCGGCGCCTGGAAGCATAAAACACAAATGGCACAGAAATGAAAAGGGGTGCCCCACTAGAATGTGGGTGCAAACTCACAGGAGTCGTTTCACTGTGTCTTAAGGAGCTTACCCTTTAGGATACAGACGTTCACCACTGTCTTTCTTAGTCTTTCCCATTGTTCAGGCTCACATGAGGGTCATTTTATTCCAACCGCCCCTTTCATCACGTCAGGACACTACGTGGAGTGCAATCAAGGCATAAATAAATCAAATGCAAAGGTTTGTCACTGCATGGGCACAGGCCCCTCATGACCAACACCCTGAATCCAACGCATGCATTTGATTCATCATCTGACATGTGAGTTTTCTTATCTTTCAGTGTAGATATTTAGATGCTCAAAAATGTGATTGCTAGGTGGCTATAATTAACCCCTAATTAATAATAGGGAGCTAAATAATAATTTTTAAACTTTACAAATTGAAAGAAGCAACAAGAAAGAACAAGTAAGAATAAATGCTTTTTCTCATAGAAACGTATTTTAATTTGGAACCCAATGACTTTCAAAATGTATTTTGTAAAGTTGCACCACACAGCATAATAAAAAGAAACTCCAAGTTCCTTTTATGTTAAGGGGATCACCCATCTCGATTCACCCACAGAAGTCCAAATTGAGAGACACATGTTGGCAGATGTAGTGGTTGTTCATTTTCACTGCTGTGTTGTGTTCCATGAGTGAAAATGTCCGTTTCCTTATCTATAATCATGTGAGTCAACAGTTAAGCTTTTTCTGGTTTCATACAATTCCAGCAATACTGCTGTGTAGGCTACTGTGCATGTGGAATGGTGTACCCGTGCAAATATTTCTCTGGGATACAAGGGCAGAAAAGAAGTTAGAGGATCATGAGAAATAGGCTAGAATGTATCCAAATGGTTTCCAAAGTGATTATTCCAATTGACAGTCTCACCGGTAAAGCTTCAGTCTTCTCAAGGATCCATCCTCACCAACAAGTAGAATTGTCAGACTTTTTAACTTTTGCCAATCTGGTGGGTGCAAATGGCATCTCATTATTGTTTTAATTTGCATTTCTCGGATTGATAATGAGGTTAAGCATCTGTTCCTGTGTTTATTTGCCATATTTTTTCCTCTGCTGTGAACCTATTAGGCTGTTTGCCTTTTTATTACTGATTTGGAGAATTTTTTAAAATATATTTTGATGATTAATTCTTTGTTAGTTAATTTTTTTGCAAATCTGCACTCACAGTATACAACTTGCCTTCTCACTGTTTTCCTTGTGTATTTTTGAGACATAAAGCTTCTTAATTTAATTGAGTTGAATTTCTTATTTTGTTTTCTTGTTTTTTTTTTTTTTTTGCTTTAAGATATATGTTTTCTGTGCCTATTTTAATAAATGCTTCCACATGTGAAGTTTGTAAAGTTACTGTACTGATTTTTCTTGTGACAGTCTCAAAGTTTTGTGATTCCTATGGATGTTCTCCATACACTAGAACTGATCCGTATGAAGTGGTCTGGAATAAAATTTTAATTTTCCCCGTGGATATCCAATTTTCCCACACCAATTTTTAAATAGTCAATTTCTACCTAACTCCCTTGTGATTCTACCTCTCTTCCATGTTAAAGCACACTTTTCAAAGAGTTAAAAGCAATTTTTATGCAACTATACAGTCAGCTTTTGTCAAAAGTGCAGTAAGTCTTTAAAACATTTTTTTAGAGACAGAGTCTTACTCTGTCACCCATGATAGAGTGCAGTGGCACTATCATGGCTCGCTGCAGCCTTAAACTCCTGGTCTCAAGTGATCCTCCTGTCTCAGCCTACCCGGTAGCTGAGGACTACAGGCATGCACTACCAAGCCCAGCTAATTCTTTGTTCTTTTTTCTAGAAATGGGGTCTCACTATGTTGCCCCAGCTGGTCTTGATTACAGGTGTGAGACACCACACCCAGCAAGATGTAGTAAACCTTTGATGAGGAAGCCAGTGAGATACCCAAGCTACAATTATTGATGCATAAAGATTAAGTATAATTACTAGTGTAAGATGGTTAAGTTAAATACAAAACTGGCTAGCATCTCATAGGGCAATTAAACTTTAACATTTGAAGTTATCTTCTCTACTGGACAGAAACTATTTACCTTTTCCCTAGACAACATCATTTGCATTGTACTAATTTTCTGCAAGTACATGTCTCGCTTTACAGGGCTTGGGGTTTGGGTCTTCATCAAGAAATAGTGAGTCAAACAAAAATACATTTTCCCAAGAGATTCCTGTGAGATGGGTTGGTTAGATGATCTGGACCAGTGGTTCTCAAACTTGAGCAAGCATGAGAATCACTTAGAGGCCTTGTTAAAACGCAGGTGCTGGGCGCCACCTCGAGTTTCGAATTTCAGACTCAGGTATGAGGCCCAAGAGTCTGCATTCCTTACCCGTTTCCAGGTGAGGTGGATGCTGCTGGCCGGATGCACATCCTGATAAGACTTTGTTAAGACCCAGAGCTATCCTTCCGTCTCATGTCCCACATTGAGGTAATATTTCTCAATACACACATCAAGTCTCCACACACGCATGAATCTCTGGTGTTTTACTTTCTGTTCCACTGATCTATGCCACAATGCCTGGTTACTACTGTTGTATTGTAAGTCTTGACACATGACAAGTGCATGAAATGCCCTCTTGTCTGTGTTGGCCACTTTGCTGTAAAAGCGACTTGGTTATCTGTGATTCTTTTTTCATATAGATTTTAGAGTCATCTTGGTAATGTCTGTAACAAACCTTATTGGTATTGTGAGTGAGTAGCACTACAAATTTTGATATATTTTGTAGAAATTGGTATTTTTTTCTTCCACAATATTTCCTTCTATAAATAAGACATATCCCTTCATTTATTTACCTGTTTGTTAAAGCCTTTTAATAAAGCTTTGTCAATTTCTTCACAAACTTTTGCCCATTTATTTTTTTAGGTTTATTCCTAGGTATTTTGTTTGGTTATTTTAAAGAGTGTCTTTTTATAAAAATCACATTGGAATATTTATTTTATTTTTATTTATTCTGAGAGCTAGAATATTTAAACCTATTTCTAATTTTAACTTTTTGACTTTTTCCTTTTTGTTTCTTTTTTACATAATATTCCTTTGTTGCTTTCTTAATTTTTCTTTTTTTTAGTAAGATGGAATTTATGCACTCTATTTTCTTTTAGGAGTAATGATAGAAAATTAATCATGCCTAACATGGTGAAACCCCATCTCTACTAAAAATACAAAAAATTAGCCGGGCGTGGTGGCGGGCATCTGTAGTCCCAGCTACTCGGGAGGCTGAGGCAGGAGAATGGCGTGAACCCCGGAGGCGGAGCTTGCAGTGAGCCAAGATTTCGCCACTGCACTCCAGCCTGGGTGACAGAGTGAGACGCCATCTCAAAAAAAAAAAAAAAAAAAAAAAGAAAAGAAGGAAAATTATCATGCATGTTTAACATTAGAACAATATAAGAATTTTAGAATTTATTTGCTATTGTTACATAAATTGTATGTCTATCAAGTTTTATAACCACCCAAATTAAACATTTATTGTATCACCAAAGTATATTTAAATGTGTGCACATAATTACCATGTTTTAAAAACTCACTCCTTCTTATGTTTGAGACATACCTTCAGTCTTCCTGAAGAACACTGGTACAATTTTCCTCCGTGAGGAATTGTTAATAGTAAACTGTGGCAGCCTGGCACGGTGGCTCACGCCTGTAATCCCAGCACTTTGGGGGCCCCAGGAGGGTGGATCATGAAGTCAGGAGTTCGAGACCTATGTTGTCGCCAGTTCAACAAAGTGAAACCCCGTCTCTACTAAAAATACAAAAAAAAAAAAAAAAATTAGCTGGACATGGTCCCAGTTACTTGGGAGGCTGAGGCAAAGAGAATCACTTGAACCTGGGAAGTGGAGGTTGCAGTGAGCCAAGATCGCACCACTGCACTCCAGCCCAGGTGACAGTGTGAGACTCTGTCTCAAAAAAAAAGAAAAAATAGTAAACTGTCTTAAACTTATAGTTGGGTGATAAATGTTTGATTTTATTATTTCTTTAGAATGATGGTTTTACTGGTTAGAAAATTCTAGGTTGACAGTTTTGTTTTTGTTATGTTTCTGTTTTTTCTTTTCTTTTTTTTTTTTTTAGCACTTTGAAGGATTCTGATTTCTCTCAGACTGTCTTTGGTATAATGCTGCATCACTATTGGTTTGTCTAGGTATAGATTTCTTTTTATTGATCCACAAGAGACACATGTGCTCTCCTAAATCTGAGGATTTTTGTTTTTTATCAATTCTGAAAATATTACTAGGCCTTATTACTTGGTACATTTTTAAAAATTTTCTACAAGAACACTGATTAGAAATGATTAGTTAGTTCCATATCCTCTGCATCAATTAACATCTTATATATTCCCACCTTTCTACCTCTGTGCCATAGTTTGGGTGATTTCTCCACCTCTATATTCCAGTTCACTAATTCTCTCTCCAATTGGGTCTAATGCACTGTTTAACATATCTGCTGAGTTTCAAATTTCAAGTATTACATGATTTTGGCTTAATGTAAACTTGTATTGTTTTTAAAATACATCTGTTATTTGGGTATTTTCTTATTTCTTTGCCATACCTTTTACCAATACCCTCCATAGTTTTAAAAATTAATAGACTTCATCCTGTAGAACAGTTTTAGGTGTACAAAAAATAATGAGCACAAAGTACACAGTTCCCGTATACATTCTCCCCCAAACTATTTCCTCCTACTATTAACATCTTGTGATAGTGTGGTACAATTGTTGCAATAGATGAGCCAATACTGATACATTATTAACTAATGTCCATAATTTACATTATGGTTCATTCTTAGTGGTGTACATTCTATAGATTTGACAGTTATATAATGACATGCATCCCTTTTCACAGTATCATACAGAATGAGTTCACTGTCCAAAAGATGCTCCATGCTTCAGCTGTTCATCCCTCCTTTCCTCACAAACCCTTGACAACCACTGACCTTTTAACTATCTCCATGTTTTGTCTTTTCCAGAATGTCACAGAGTTAGAATCATACAATGTGTGGCCTTTTTAGACTGAATTATTTCACTTAGCAATATGCATTTACCTCTCCTCCATGTCTTCTCATAGTCAAATGACTCACTTACTTTTTATCAATAAATGATATTCCATTCTCTGGATGTACCACAATTTGTTTATTCATTCACCTACTGAAGGACGTCTTCGTTACTTCTAAGTTTTGGCAATTATAAATAAAGCTGCCAAAAGCATCTGTGTGCATATCCATGGACACAGAAACATGCATGGTTGTCAGCTTTCAACACTTTGGGGAAAATAACATGGAGACTGACTGCTGGATTGTTTGACAAGACTATTTTTATCTTTGTAATAAATGACTAAATTGTTTTCTAAAGTGGCTGTATCATTTTGCATTCCCACTAGAAATGAATGAGGGCTCCTCTTGCTCCATATCCTTGCAAGCATTTTACGTTGCTAGTGTTTTGGATTTTAGCCATTGTAATAGGTGTGTACTTGTATCTCACTGTAGTTTTAATTTGCATTTCCCTGAGGACATATGAGGCATAGCATCTTTTCATACACGTATTTGAAATCTGTGTCTCTTCTTTGGAGAGTTGTCTGTTCAGATCTTTTGCCCATTTTGCAATTGAGCTGTTCAGTTTCTTATTATTGAGTTTTAAGGGTTCTTTACATATTTTGGATAACATTCCTTTATCATAGATATGCTTTGCAAAGATTATCTTCCCAGATATGACTAGTCTTTTCTTTCTCTTAACAGCATCTTTCACAGAACATAACTTATAATTTTAATGAAGTTAACTTATCCATGTTTCCTTTCAAGGATTACGTTTTTGGTGTTGTATCTAAACAGTCATTACCAAACCCAAGGTCATCTGTTTTTTTCATATGTTACCTTCTAGTTTTTCTGGGAGGGAAATATTCACTCTATATGTCTGGATTTTCCAGTATTGAGTGTATATGAATATACACCCTGTATATATATACATATATATATATATACACCCTGTATATATATACATATATATATATATACACCCTGTATATATATATATACACCCTGTATATATATATATACACCCTGTATATATATACATATATATATATACACCCTGTATATATATACATATATATATATACACCCTGTATATATATACATATATATATATACACCCTGTATATATATACATATATATATACACCCTGTATATATATACATATATATATATACACCCTGTATATATATACATATATATATATACACCCTGTATATATATACATATATATATATATACACCCTGTATATATATACATATATATATATACACACCCTGTATATATATACATATATATATATACACCCTGTATATATATACATATATATATACACCCTGTATATATATACATATATATATACACCCTGTATATATATACATATATATATACACCCTGTATATATATACATATATATATACACCCTGTATATATATACATATATATATATATACACCCTGTATATATATACATATATATATACACCCTGTATATATATACATATATATATACATATATATATACACCCTGTATATATATACATATATATATATACACCCTGTATATATATACATATATATATATACACCCTGTATATATATACATATATATATATACACCCTGTATATATATACATATATATATATACACCCTGTATATATATACATATATATATATACACCCTGTATATATATACATATATATATATACACCCTGTATATATATACATATATATATACACCCTGTATATATATACATACACACACACCCTGTATATATATATATATGTATATATACACACACACACACACCCTTTATATATATATATACACACACAACCTGTATATATATATATACACACACCCTGTATATATATATATATACACACACACACACCCTGTATATATATATGCACATATGTATATACATATATGTATAGGTATATATATACACACACATATATATACATATATACACATATATATGTATATATGTATAGCATGTATGTAGGTATATATATGCAAATATACATATTTGCTTTTTTTAATAATATAAATGTAAATATATATTTGTTTTTTTGCTTTATAATTTCAACTTTGATTTTCGATTCAGGGGCCGTATGTACACGTTTGTTACATGGGTATATTATGTGATGCTGTAGTTTCAAGTACAAATGATCCTGTAACCCAGGTATTGAGCACAGCACTCAAAAAGTAGTGTTTCAGCCCTCACTTCCCTGCCTCTTTCCCGCCTCTAGTAGTACCCAGAGTCTATTGTTCCCGTTTTCATATCTGTGTAGACCCAGTACTTAGTTCCTGCTTATGTGACAACAAGCCACATTTGGTCTTTGATTCCTGTCTTAACTCCTTTAGGAGAATGTCCTGCAGTTGCATCCATGTTGCTGCTATGGAGGTGATTTTGTTCTAGATTATGGCCCTATAGCATAGTATTCCATGGGGCATATGTACCACACTTTCTTTATCCAGTCCTCTATTGATGAACACCTAGGTTGATTCTGTGTCTCTGCTATTGTGAATAGCAATGCAATGAGCTTACATTTGTGTGTGTCTTTTTGGTAGAATGATTTCTTTTCCATTAGGTATATACCCAGTAATGGGATTGTGGGGTCAAATGGTAGCTCTGTTTTAAGTTCTTTGAGAAATCTCCTAACTGTTTTCCACAGTGGCTGAATGTAAATTATTTACATTCCCACAAACAGCACATAAGCATTCCCTTTTCTCTGCAGCCTCACCAGCATCTGTTATTCCTTGATATAAAAAAAAAGTCAACTTTTATTACAGATTAAAAAGTATGCATGTAGGTTTGTTATATGGGTAAACTGTGTGATGCTGAGGCTTGGGGCTCCAGTGATCTCATTACTCAGGCAGCAGACATAGTTCTCAACAGGTGGTTCTTCAGGCCATACCTCCCACCCTCCCTCCCCCATCTAGTGGTCCTCAGTGTCTATTGTACCCACCTTTACCTTCATGTGTATCCAATATTTAGATCCCATTTATAAACGAAAAGATGTGGCATTTGGTTTTCTGGTTTTGTGTTAGGTCATTTAGGATAATGGCCTCCAGCTCTACCCATGTCATTGCAAAGGACACCATTTTGTTCATTTTTATGGCTGCATAGTATTCCATGGTTTATAGTTACCAACGTTTCTTTACCCAATCCATGGTTGATGGGCACTTAGATTGATTCCATGTCCTTACTATTGTAAATAGCACTGCAATGAACATATGAGTGTGTGTGTCTTATAGCTAGAATGATTTATTTTCCTCTTGGTATACACCCAGTAGTGGGATATCTGGGTCAAATGGTAGTTCTATTGTAAATTATTTGAAAAATTTCCAAACTGATTTCCACAATGGCTGTACTAGGTTGCATTCTCAATAACAGTGTATAAGCATTCCGTTCCGTTTTTTTCTGCAGCCTTGCCAACATTTTTTTGACTTTTTAACAATCACCACTCTGACTGGTAAGAAATGGTATCTCATTGTGGTTTTGATTTGCATTTCTCTGATGGTCAGTGATGTTGAGCCTTTTTTCACGTTTTTTGGCCTCATGTATGTTTTCTTTTGAAAATTGTTCGTGTCCTTTACCCACTTTTTAATAGGGTATTTTTTTATTGTTTATTTGTTTAAGTTCTTATAGATGCTGGATATTGAAACTTTGTCAGATGCGTACTTTGCAAAAATATCTCCTATTCTGCAGATTTTCTGTTTATTCTGTTGATAGTTTATTTTGCTGTGCAGAAACTCTTTAATTAGTTCTCATTTGTCAAGTTTTGTTTTTGTTGTAACTGTTTTTGAGGACTCAGACAAAAATTCTTTGCCAAAGCCTATGTTGAGAAGGAAATTTCCTAGATTATCTTCTAGGATTTTTATAGTTTGAGGTATTACATTTGAGTCCTTAATCCATCTTGAGTTAATTTGTGTATATGGTGAGAGACAGTTTAATTCTTCTGCATATGGCTAGCCAGCTATCCCAGCACCATTTATTGAATAGGAAGTCATTTCTCCATTGCTTCTTTTTGTTAATTTTGTCAAAGATCAGATGGTTGTAGGTGTGCAGGTTTATTTCTGCATTCCCTATTCCATTCGACTGGTCTATAGGTCTGTTTTTTTCTCCATACCATTATGTTTTGCTTACATAGCCTTACAGTATAATTTGAAGTTGGACAATGTGATGTCTCTGGCTTTGTTCTTTTTGCTTTGGATTACTTTGTCTATTTGGGCTCTTTCGTGTTTCCAAATGAACTTTAGAATAGATTTTTATAATTCTGTGAAAAATGATGTTGATGTTTTGATAGAAATAGTGTTGAGTCTATAAATTGCTTTGGGAAGCATAACCATTTTAACTATATTGATTCTTCTAATCCATGAGCATAAAATATTTTTCCATTTATTTGTGTTGTCTCTGATTTCTTTCATCAGCATATTGTAGTTCTCCTTCTAGAGGTCTTTCACCTCCTTGGTTAGATGAATTCCTAAGTATTTCATTTTCTTTGTGGCTATTGAAAATTGGATTGTGTTCTTGATTTGGTTATCGACCACAAAATTATTAATATATAAAATAGTATTAAATTAATATATAAATAGTATTAAATTAATATATGAAAATAGTATTAAAATTAAATAGTACATTGATTTTATATCTTGAAAATTTACTGAGTTTATGTATTAGTTTCAGGAGCCTTTTGGCAGAGTCTTTAGGGTTTTCTGTGTATAGAATCATATCATTGGCAAAGACAGATAGTTTGACTTCTTTTCCCATTTGGATGCCTTTTATTTCTTTCTCTTGCCTAATTGTTCTGGCTAGGACTTCCAGTACTATGTTGAATAGTAGTGGTTAGAGTGGGCATTCTTGTCTTGTTCCAGTTCTCAAGGGGACTGCTTCCAGCTTTTGCCCCTTCTGTATGATATTGGGTATGGGCATGTGATCAATGGCTCTATTTAGTTTGATGGCTCTATTCAATTTCCTAACTTGGTGGTATTTTGCCCAGGTTTTCATTTTCTTCCTGACAGCAAAAAGAACAAAGTCAGATGAATCACATTGCCCAACTTCAGACTAAACCCTCACACCTTCAATGCCTAATATGTTCATGTTTTTTATCGTTAAGGGATGTTGGATGTTATCGAAAGCTTTTTCTGTGTCTCTTGAGATGCTCACATGATTTTTGTTTTTAATTCAGTTTATGTCATGAATCACATTCATGGATGTGCAGTCTTTCATCCCAGAAATAAAGCCTAATTGATCGTGGTGAATTAAGTTTTTGATATGCTATTCGATAGGTTTGCTAGGATCTTGCTGAGGATTTTTGTGGCCATCTTCATCATAGTTATTGGTCCCAGGTTTTCTTTCTTCATTGTATTTCTGCCAGATTTTGGTATCAGGATGATGCTGGCTTCATAGAATGAAGGAGAAATTTATCCTCTTCAATTTTTGGGAAATGTTTCAGTAAGATTGATATCAGTTCTTCTTTGTGTGTCTGGTAGAATTTGGCTGTGAATCCATCTGGCCCAGGGTTTTTTTTGTTGGTAGGTTTTTTAGTACTGATTCAATTTCCTAATTTGCTGGTATTTTTTTCAGGTTTTCATTTTCTTCAAGGATTCAATTTTGGGAGGTTGTGTGTTTCTGGAAATTTATCCATTTCCTCTAGATTTTCTAGTTTGTGTGCATAGAGGTGTTTTTAATAGTCTGATAATCTTTTATATTTCTTTGGGTTAGGTTATAATGTCATCTTTATCATTTCTGATTGTGCTTCTTTCTATCTTTTTTTTTCTTTGTTAATCTACCTGATGGTCTATGAGTCTTGTTTATTCTTTCCAATAATAAATTCTTAGGTTCATTGATCTTTTGTATGGACTTTTTGTTCTCAATGTCTTTCAGTTCTTCTCTGATTTTAATTATTTCCTTTCTTCTACTAGCTTTGGTGTTGGATTGTCCTTTTTTTCTTAGTTTCTCTAGTTGTCATGTTAGGTTGTTAATTTGAGATCTTTCTACCCTCTTGATGAAGACATTGAGAGCTACAAGTTTTCCTCTTAACACTGCTTTAGCTACATCCCAAAGGCGAAGGTAAGTTATGTCTCTTTTTCTTAATTTTAAGAATTTATTTTATTTCTTAATTTTGTTGTTTGCTCAAGAGTTATTCAGAAGCAAGTGGTTCAGTTTTCATATTTTTGTGTAGTTGTGAGAGATCTTCTTGGTGTTGATATCTATTTATACTACACTGTGTTCCAAGAGTGTGGTTGGTATGATTTAAATGTTTTTGGATGTATCGAGCCTTGCTTTATGGCTGAGCATGTGCTTGACCTTAGAGTATGTTCTGTGTGCCGATGAGAGGAATGTAAAATTCGTGGTTGTTGAGTGGAGGACTCTATAGATCTCAACTAGGTCCATTTGTTCAAGTCTTGAGTTTAAGGTTCCACACGAATTTCAGGATGGATTTTTCTGTTTCTTACAAAAGTGCTACTGGGACTTTGATCGGGATTGCATTGAATCTGCAGATTGCTTTGGGTAGTAGTGACAGCAATATCAAATCTCTCAATCCATGAACACAGTAAATCCTGCCATTTATTTATATATTATTTATTTCAGCAACACTTTTTAGTTTTTAGCATACAAGCCTTTTACCTCCTTGGTTGAGTTTATTCCTATTTTTTTATTTTGGACGCTATTATAAAAGAATTTTTGTCTTGCTTTCCTTTTTGTATCATACATTGTTAGCATACAGAAATGTGACAAATTTGTTTGTGTTGATTTTATTGTATAACTTTGCTAACTTTGTCCATTAGTTGTAGCAAATTTCTGGTGTGTAGAATCTTTAGGGTTTTCCACACAGAATATCATATTGTCTGCAAATAGATGATTTTACTTCAAACCATAGCATTTTTTAATGTTGGAGGATTTATAGTCCATGTGAATTAATAATAATTAAGATTTTTAAATTGATGTAAAGAAATATTTTTAAAAATTGATATAAAGAAATTTGCCCTAACATTTGAATAATAAAGTGTTTTAAAACCAAGATTACAAACCATCTTTGAAGCAATAAATAGAAGGACATTTAATACCAAAACAGGGGAGCACCATAAAACCTGCAGAGCTTTGCTATTGATTACAAAGACGCAAAACTGAATAGTCTGTTTATTCCTCATGGAACTAAGCTAGGAGGTGATATTAATAAAAATTTTAAAAACTGAAATCAATAAAAATATAAGAGAATTAATAAAATATACAGTAAAGTAAAATAGATAAAAGAAACATTTTACAAAAGGTGTTCCTTTGATAAGGCCATCGACATAATTAAAATGTATATCAACGCAATTAAAAAGCAAATTGGCACTCTTAAAAGCACAGAGATGAGATTAAATATACAAATGTGTTAAAATAATTAGAAGCAACTATTAGGTGTAACTGTAGGAAAATAACCGAAAAAAAAAAAGAAAGAAAGAAACACACACACAGGAAAAGTACATAAAAATCTGGCAAACTGCACATTATAAACATGATTCAAGAAGAACTAGAAAATTTCAACAGACCAGTTACAAAAATAGATTGAAAAAGTGTTTACAGATTGGCCTTTTAAAAAGGTAACGAGTCAGATTGTTTCACATTTCTAGCAAATAACAGATAAATTGAATGTTATGTAAATTATTCAAGGAAACCCAAATAAATGAAATGTTTCCCAGATCATTTTATGAAGCCAGAATGAATTATTACCAAAATTGATAAATCTAGACAACAAAAATTACAGAAAATTCTCAAATATTAACATAGTTCCAAAAATGAAAATAAAGTATTAGTAAATAAAATCTAAAAATATACTCAAGAATAATTCATTACAACCAAGTTAGCCCAGATACATAGAAATGGTTAAAAATTATGAAATATAACAAAATAACTCATTTGCTCAATAAATAAAAGATTAAAACCTTCATATGAATTTTCAAAAATGACCCAAATGTTTGATGAAATTAGAAATCAGTGCTGACTATGGGGAGTAAAAACTTTGGGAAAAATAGAAATAAGAGGAAACTATTTAAATATATAAAGTATGTTTAACAAGAGCCAATTGAGTAAAGAAACTGTTCTAAATGTTGATTTTCTGAAGTCATTTACATTAAAATTAACAGCAGAAGAGGGATACCTCCCATTTGGAGGTTCCAGTTACTTCAATATAATAAAAATAAAAAATAATTACCTAAAACTATAATCGTATCTACAGAAAATCCAAGATAATCTAATATTTTTAAAGTGACCAAAAATATTTGTTAAATCATTTATGATTATATACAGAAGTTGATATAGAAACAAACACTGAAAATATGTACATATTATTAAATAACATTGATAATTAACATAAAAAAACAAAAAAGTTTAGAAATAAATGTGATGATAACATTATCAAACATGTATAAAGTAAAGCCTCAGTGAAGCACCTGAAAGACACACATTAGATGTAAAAAATAAAATAAATACATTGAATGGCATGGATTTAATTTTTTTAAATGTCACTTTCTGACTTGTTAAAGTGCAAAAATTAATAAAGTTAAAGCAATTTTAGCTAGATTCTCAAGTTTTAATTTAGCTGGAAAAAATTATCTTAGCCTTTACACAGAGGAATATATATGTCTTAGGCTGTCAAGTGTACTTATGAAAAAGAAAGAGCAGGCCAGGCACAGTGGCTCACCCCTGTAATCCCAGCACTTTGGGAAGCCAAAGCAGGTGGATCACGAGGTCAGGAGTTCGAGACCAGCCTGACCACATGGTGAAACCCCATCTCTACTAAAAATACAAAAAATATTTTCCTGGCGTGGTGGCACGCACCTGTATTCCCAGCTACTCAGGAGTCTGAGGCAGGAGAATCCCTTGAACTTGACAGGCAGAGGTTGCAGTGAACCGAGATTGCGCAATTGCACTCCAGTCTGGGCAACAGAGCGAGACTCTGTCTAAAAAAATAAAGAAAGAAAGAAAAAGATAAAGAAACAGCAGAAATAACCTATCTGATCTGATGTTAAACTATCACAAAGCCACATTAATGAAGAGTTGAACCAGACACACAGGTCAATGTAAGAAAATAGGTAAGCAGTTAAAACTAATATTAATAGAAATGAAATATGTGACAAGGGAGAAATATGTGACTTGAAGTCAGAAGGAAAAGTAGTCTATTTAAAAATTAGCAAAAATGTGTATGGATAAGGAAAAAAATAATTTGAACATTTCCATCATGCCATATATTTGTAAAATGCTGATAATTTATAAATCTAAATATTTACTGCAATATTCCTGTACTTGATATGTCAAAAACAAATGAAAAAATAACAAACAGTGAAACAAAAACCTGGAAACAAACTGAATACTTTTCCTTGGAGAAAAAAAATAAACTTAGTACAGCCATCCTTTGGAATTTCATGCGGACACTGAAAGAAAGAAAGCAGCAGTCTACTAGTTGCTTTGGGAAGATATGGATAGGTTAAAAAAATAAATATGCAAACACATGTATAATATGGATCTAATTTTTTACAAAAGAATCAGTGACAATTGTTTTTGTTTGTGTGTGCACATTCTGATGTAAATATATACAAAAGCAAGTTACTAAGCATGCGCCACAATTTAAGTCCAGAAGTGAAAGGGCTTGACTGGGGAACACAGTGGTGGGGGTACTTTATAGAACCAAAACCAAGACCACCAAAGCTATCATCATGTCTGTACATGGTGAGTGGGTGTGTGTCATGAAAAGGTAGATGAAAATCTGTTCAATAACCTGATAATGATAACAAGGATGGGAATTCAGACGGTTTTTACTTTTTCCTTACACAGTTCTGAAATTGTTGTAATCTATTACAACAGCATATATTTTAAAAACACTCCTACTCTACGGTAGTTTTAGACTTACAGAAAAATTGTGAAGACAGTAGAGAGATTTGCCACATAGCCCACATCCAGCTTCCTCTGTGATTAACACCTTATCTTAGTATGGTAGATCTGTTGTAGGTAATTAAGGCATCCAATGCATTGTTATTAACTAAGGCCCACACTGTTCAGTACCTGCTGTTCTTTCGGCCCTAGGATCCCGTTACTGTTTGCTGTCATGTCTCCTTACTCCTTAGGCTTGTCTTGAATGTGGCAGCTTTTCAGACGTATCTGTTTTATGTGTGTGGATTACAGAGCAGGTCTTTCATAGAATAAGCCTTGATAGTGATTTCTCTGATTTTTTTCTCATGAGGAGGTTGGGGTTATGGGTTTGGGGAGGACCACGGAGGTAAAACACCATTCATGCCATACCATGTCCAGGTACACAGTCAACATGGCTTATTACTGTTGACCTCGACCTTGACCATCTGGCCGAGGCTGTGTCTGTCTGTCTTCTCCACTGAGAGATACTCTTATTCTCCCCTTTCCATACTGTGCTCTTACAGCAGAGTCATCACACGGTTAACACAGAACAAGGGAAGAGTTAGGCTCCAGCTCCTTGAGGAAGAAGTATCTACTTAAGAATTCTTCTGCATGGCAAAGTGATCTTTCCTCTCCATTTATATACTTATTTATTTAATCATTTATTTAGATCAGTATGGACTCATGGATATTAATTTGCACCTTTGATTATAATCTAACTTTATTTATTGTTGCTCATATTATCCCAGTTTTGGACATCAGAGGCATTTTCAGTTGCCTCTTGTGTCTCAATCATTATTTTTGCAGCCTTTTTTTTTTTCTAACTCTACAGGATGCTCCAGGCTGACTTGTATATTTCCTGCCCCAAGACTCACCGTTTACCCACGGATGCCCAGTTCCTTTTATGTGAGAATGGTATGAGAAACTGAAATCAGGTTCCAGATTGCTTGGGGGCTCCTTGCTACTGCATTCTTATTGCTTCTGGCCCTCTCAGCAGACACAGGGAGGAAATACTTGTGTGTATACTAACCTGTGTACATTCACACGCCCACAAATGTTTCTGGATGTACCTGTCCGTATCAATACTCACCGGAATCAGAATTCATGCTGATGTGTCCATCTCCAATTCATACCATATGGAGCATTCTAGATTCTGCTTGTCTGTAACCTCCTCCTTCAACACTAAGAAACCTTGCTTTGCTGTTCCCCATCCGTTACTTCACTGATCAATTCCAGCAATCCCAGTATACGTCCATAGCGGTATCAGAAGTGTCAACCCACAGTTCCATAGGAAGCAGCATTATCAACTAGAGCACAGCTTATGTGCACGTGCTCCTGCCCTGGGTTCCACAGATTCCACTCACGTCCACAGTTACTTACATCAGCACCTTCTTCTCCTACCACTTTCAGTTAGGTGGTTTCCTCTATCTGTAAGGCAGTTAAATTGTTTTTGTCATATTCCTAATTCTATCGTGGGATCCTAAACAATTTACATTTATTTGCATACCTTAATGTTCACCGCTTGTGTTGTAAAGTCATCATAGGTTCTACAAATCACAGTGTCATTCCCCACTACAGTATCTTAGGGAATAGTTTCATTGCCCTAAACTATGCCCAGGGCTTCACCTAGTTAAGCCTCCCACGCTACCTCATCTTCCCAGCAACCACCAATCTTTTTATCATTTCTATACTTGTGCCTATTCCAGAATGTCATATCACTGGAATCATACAGTATCTTTTCATGCTTTCAGATTGGCTTCCTTCACTTACCAGTATGCACAATATGAATTTGTGATACATGTCTGTCTTTTTGTGGCTTAAGAGCTCATTTTTCTTTATCGCGGAATTCTTTTCCATTGTGTGAATGTGTCACTTTTTTATCCATTCACCTATCGAAGGACATCTTGTTTGATCCCGTATTTTTACAATTATGAATGATGCTGCTGTAACCATTTGCATGCAGGATTTTATTTCTGGATATAAAAACTTCAAAATAGTTGAGTAAATATCAATGAGCGCGATGCTGGGTCACATGGAAGATGACAGGTAGCTTCGTAAAACCTGCCAGCCTGTTTTTCGAAGTGGTTGGGCCATTTTATCTTCCCACCAGCAATGAACGAAAGCTCTTGTTGCTCTGAGTCTTCACCAACACTTGCTATTGATCAGTTTGTTTTTTAGTTCAGCTGTTTATATATGTATAGTGGCACATGATTGTTATTTTAATTTGCAATTTCCTAATGTCAAATGACCATTTTGTCATGTGCTTATTTGCCATATGTATATCTTCTTTTAGAGATGTCTATTCCAATCTTTTGCCAATTTTAAAATTGTATTTGTATTCTTATTCCCAAGTTTTAAGATTGTCATATATGCAAGTTCTTTGTCAGATGTGTATTCTGAAAAATTTTCTTCCTATCTGCAGTGTCTATTTTGATTCTCTTAAAAATGTATTTGCTTAAGCAATGGCCGGATGTGGTGGCTTACGCCTGTAATCCCAGCACTTTGGAAGGCCAAGGTGGGCAGATCACCTGAGGTCAGGAGTTCGAGGCCAGCCTGGTCAACATGGCGAAACCCCATGTCTTCTAAAAATATGAAAATTAGATGGGCGTGGTGACGTGTGCCAGTAATCCCAGCTACTTGGGAGGCTGAGGCAGGAAAATCACTTGAACCTGGGAGGTGTAGGTTGCAGTGACCCAAGATTGCACCACTGCACTCCAGCCTGGGTGACAGAGCGAGACTCTGTCTCAAAACAGTAAATAAATAAAAGTATTTGCTTAAGAAGTTTTGATTTTAAAAAATTCCAACATATCTGTAGAGTTAATTCATGTGAAAAGTGTAATTTTTTAATAGATAATGAACCTGATGGTGTAGATATCCAATTTTCCAGCACCATTTGTTGAAAACACTATCCTAACTCCATTGATATGCCTGTTTCTTGGTCAAACATCAATTGTTTTAGTTATGTGGCTCTGTTTCTGAGTTTTAAATTCTATTCCATTGATATATTTGTCTATTCTTCTACAAACACTATGCTGTTTTTATTACTGCAGCTTTATACTAAGTCCTTACTATAACTGGGCAGTTCTCCAACTGTGTTCTTCATCAATATTGTGTGTCTTTTGATTGGTGTATTTAGTCCATTCTCATTAAAGCTCATTACTGATATTAAATATAATTGGATTAATATCTACCGTATCTGTAACTTTTTCTATTTGTATCATTAGTTTGTTCTTTTTCCCCTCATTTTCTGCTTTCTCTGCTAACTGAGCATTTTATGTATTTTTTAAATTTTCTCTCTTAGCTTATCAATTACATTTATTTATTTACAAAGTACTTAACCTAGAGTTTCCAATATACATTTTTAAACCAATCTAAGCCTACCCTCCAGCACTTTGGGAGGCCAAGGTGGGCAGATCACGAGGTCAGGAGTTCGAGACCAGCCTGACCAACACGGTGAAACCCCCGTCTCTACCAAAAATACAAGAAATAGCCAGGTGTGGTGTCACGTGCCTGTAATCCCAGCTACTCAGGAGGGTGAGGCAGGAGAATCGCTTGAACCTGGGAGGTGGAGGTTGCAGTGAGCCAAGATCGTGCCACTGCACTCCAGCCTGAGAGACAGAGCGAGACTCCATCTCAAAAAAAGAAAAAAAATCTATAGATTGAGAGAAAATATTTGCAAGCCATATATCTGATAAGAGATTAATGCAACACAACTGAAAAATGGACAAAAGACTTGACTAGACATTTCTTTTTAAAAAAGACACACAGATAGGCTAAAGATATATGAAAAGATGTTCAACATCACTAATCCTTAGGGAAGTGTGAGTCAAAACCACACGAAGAGATCGTCTCACACTCGTTAGATCGGCTGATGCAGGAAAGATGGACGAGAAGTGTTAATGAGGATATGGAGAAAAGGAAGCCTCGTGTACTGTTGGTGGGAATATAAATTAGCATGTCATTAGGAAAACTGTGTAGAAGTTCCTTCAAAAGTTAGACATAGAACTACCATGTGATCCAGCCATCCCACTTCTGGTTATACATCCAGAGCGTTTGAAATCTGTTTGTAGAAGAGATGTCTGCACGCCCATGTTTACAGAAGCATGAATGCACAATAGCCAAGCCATGAAATTAATCTAAGTGCCCATCAATGGATGAATTGGTAAAGAAAATGCAGTGTATAAATACACAATGGAATACTATTTAGCCTTAAAAAGAAAGTCATTTTGTGATTTGCAACAACATGAATGAACCCAGAGGACATTACGCTAAGTGAAATAAGCTAGGCACAGAAAGACAAGTATTGCATGTCCTCACTCAGATGTGGGATCTCAAATAATTGAGCTCCTAGAAGTAGAAAGTAGAAAGATGGTTGCCAGACACTATGGCCTGAGGGAAAGAGAGATGATTGGGGAAGGGCACAATGTTTTAGTGACTTAGAGAAAGAAATTTCTTGAGATCTCTTGCCCAGATCTCAAGAAATTTGGTGACTATAGATAACAGCATTGTATACATAGAACATCACTTTGTGCTCCATAAATACATGCAATTATGATTTGTCAATTTACAATAAAAATATCTTTTTCTGTGAGATGACAATCTTACTAATAAACTCTTGGGAGGATTTGAAGCTGCCATGCATAGATTCACGGCAGTTTTCTGAGGAAAAAGTAATACTGAGAAACATAATCATCTTGAAGTCCAAAATTACGTTTGTGTCTGGAAAGTCAAGGTAGAAATCTCCTTTTCCTTACATGCTCTATTACCTGGTTGCCTTTCACTTTCGTTAATGCAGCTGAAGGTTTGGGAACATTTTTATATTAAATGTATCACTTATGCAACAGTAAGTTTTCATGCCCTAAAAAAATGCAAAAGTCTTGAAAATAATAAGCACAACAGACAGAAGGTGTGTGAATCAGTTCCTTTTAGTGCAAAAACAAAGAGGCCTCATGTACAACATATCAAGTGTATACATGTGTGTGGTAAGATCTTTCCTTTTGAAGGATAAACAAGTTGCCACAGTGTGTATCTCTGGGAGTTAGAACGGGGCAAGGCTGGGAGTCGCCACACCCACCAGGTCCCATCCTTTTCAGTGGCTCTATTTTTTCCTTGTGTATCATAACACTTGGGGGAAGTCCCTCTCTCAAGCCCAATTTCTTCCATCAGAATTACCTAGGTAGACCTCATTTATAGGAACAAGTATTTACACTTCGCACTTTACTTGCAGTTTGGAAGTTTAGAATTACACATATAGTTCCAGCGTGGCTTTCGCCCAGTACACTGCGTGTGTTATTTTCTCTACCTGTGCCAGTTGCTACAGCACCGGCATGCACAGACGGACGGTGGAGCCGTTGCCCCCTTAGCTAATGTGAGTGTTTCGTAAGGATGACTCTACCTGATTCTGGAAATGAGCATCCAAACAATAATTTTTTACAAGCTTAGTGTTCTGTTCCCTCCTTCCCATACCTCTCCTCTCACCATCACTTCACTCCAAACACATTTGAGTTAAGATTGGCAGCCGACCCACTTCCTGCGGAGCTGACAGGATGGCAGCTGTTGCAGGCCACCCTCACCTGCCTGGGATGGAACACCAGCAGCAGGAGGGAGGCACCGGCCATCACAAGGGGCCTCCCCTACACGGCAAAGCGAGGCAAATCGGCATTGTGACTGTCTGTTCAAAAACCTGTTTCCTCTGCTTTTGGCAGCTCCGTAAGGAACCTCCTCTCAGTCTTGACCCAGGAGAGTGCCAGAATATCGTAGGCACTTAATTAATGTTTGCTGAATGAATGAATGAATGAATGAATGAACGCATAAATTCATCCCCACTGGTTCAACGGTGCAGACCTTCTCTTTGTGATCTGGGGTCCTTTTGAGCACTGGGCTGGGCTGAGTGACTGCTTTCCCCCATCGTGGCCCCTCTGAGGGTTCAGCTCTGATTTCGTCTGTGCCATGATTGGGAGAGTGTCTGACCCATTGCAGGAGGCCAGGAAGCATCACAAGAGTGAATAAAGGAAGGTACACATATACAGAGATGCGTACATGCACCTACACGTGGGCATATGGGAAAAATGAATATTTACATGCCGGCATGCAAACTAATTCACAGGAAAGAGTCTTAGTTTGTATGCCTTCAGCATCTTGGCCTGTACCCCGCTGTCTTCCCACTATTCTGGAGGTTTTGGGAGAAATTTGCTGAGACCAGCTCCGTTGCGGATGTCTGGATCTAGCAGTTTGCTGTCACGTAGTAGGGCTTACAGAGACGTGTTTCTGGAAAGAAGAAAAACAGAGCCTAGGAATTCTTTCCTCAGCATTGGGGTATCTGTCCTCCTCAACCTCTTCCTCCTCCTCCTCCACCTCTTCCTGATCTTCTTCCTCAAACATTTTTCTAGTGGTAAAATATACATAACATAAATTTACCATTTTAACCATTTTTAAGCGTGCATTTTGCTGGCATTCAGTACATTCACATTTTTACGTAACCATCATCACTATGTATCTCCAGAACTCTTCCATCTTCCCAAACCCAAACCCTGTCCTCATTAAACACTCTCTACCCGTTCCCCCTTTGCTCAGTCCCTGGCACCTGCCACTCGCTTTCTCTCTCTATGACTTTGGTTACACTCAGGACGTCACGTTAGGGGAACCATGTGTATGCGCCCTGTGTCGGGCTCACTGCACTCAGCACCATGCTCTCAGGCTCCTCCAGGCCAAGGCAAGTGTCGGAATTCCCTTTCTTTTTAAGGCTGAATGGCATTTCCTTGCATGGATATACTACATTCCTTTGTTTTTCATTCATCAGTTGCTGGACTTTTAGGTTGTTTCTACCTTTTGGCTGTTGTGAACAATTCTACTCTGAACATCAGTGTACAATGATTTGTTCAAGTCCCTACTTCCAATTCCTTTGAGTATATACCCAAAAGTGAAACTGTGGGGCCATATGGCGATTCTACGCTTAACTTGTTGAGGAACCGTGATACAATTTTCCTCACTGGAAACACATTCCCACTAGCAGTGTGCACGTGTTCTCATTTCTCCACATTCTCTCCAACACTAGTTATTTTCTGTTTGTTTTGTTTTATAATGCCCATGCTAATGGGTGTGAGATGGTGTCTCATCATAGTTTTGATTTGCATTTCCCTGATGACAGAGATGGAGCCTGTTTTCATGTTTATCATCCATTTGTGCATCCTCTTGGAGAAAGTCCCTTCATGTCCTTAGTCCTTTTCTAATTGTTTTTTTTGTTTTTTTTTTTTTTTTTTTTTTTTTTTTGCTGGTGAGTTCTATGAGTTCTTTATATATTCTGGATATTAATTTTGTATCAGATATATGATTTGCTAATATTTTTCCCCTTCTGTGCCTTTTTCCTCTCTTGGTAGTGTCTTTTGGTGCACATATTTTTTAATTTCAATGAACTCCAATTTTTTCTTTCTTTGTCTCCGATGCTAGTGTCATATTTAAGAAATTGTTGCCAAACCCAATGTCATGAAGCTTTCCTCTGATGTTTTCTTCTAAGAGTTTTATAGTCTTAGCTCTTACATTCAGTGTTTGATCTGGGCTCCTCTTGACCATAAGGTCACATTTAGTCTCCTAGCATCTTATCAGTGACACTGTGTTTTATAGAATCTGCTTACGTGCTAGATGAATAGCTAATAGAACAAGGTCGGCCCCAAATTTCAGGCTATCCAACTACACTAGCTTGACCACAGCTGCGAATATCTCCCCAGAATAAACTTTACCTTCCTTTGTTGATGCGCAGAGCAAGGAAGGCAGTGCTTGCCATTTTGGACTGTTTTTTTTCTTAGATAATTTTGAAATACAAAACCATTTATTCTTCTGAATCTCTTCAAAACACTGATAACATCAACAGACAGTGTTAAATGGTAAAACTGCTCACCAAGGTGTGTGTGGTGGCTTGCTGCGGTGTTTTGCTCTGATGCTGTTTGAAACATGCAGGGCGTATTAAAGGTCTTCCTGGTGTATTGAGAACAGCTATGGGACAAGGGGGCTATTTACTAGTGACTGGGGATATTGCCATACGTTTGCCCTGCTGGTGCCATTTGTCTAAAATATCCTTGTTCCAATCCCATGCACAGAAGGCTTGAGCTGACTGTTCTTTGGGAAAGAACACTATGTTGCAATAATGCTTAATTTGGGAAAAACTGCATTATGAATCAAGCACTGAGCAGTATGTGGGCCATTTGGTTTTGAGTTGTGAACTTTCCTTCGCAATCCAGCATAATGTTGAAATGTCAGCTAGGACTTAGTTTGGCTATCAACGGAATTTCACTATTTATAACAGAAGATGTGGTATCTGGGCTATAGCTCAGTTCCCTCAAACCTGGGCCAAAATCCAGCTCCAAAAAGATATCACTAGACTAATTTAACAGGATCCTTTTGTGTCTCAATTGAATAAGGGAAAATGTACTAATTTCTGTAGTTATCACGACAACTGTCACTAGTGGTTGATCCGAAGCAGTGGTGGAGGCTGCAGTCCTGTTACACTCTAATCGAAATTCTCATGTTTTGATATATCGTAGTCTCTGTGTTACGTAATTCCATAGCCAAAGCGCTCCATCAGCTACGCTTTGTTTAGAGGAAGAAGCAGGAAATAAAAAATTAGCTTCATAATGGAACAGAAGACACCACGTCTTCCTGTCAGAGAGTGCTGCTTATCAGAATGCTTCGTGTACAATTAAGGCAGTCAATTCAGAAGGCATTCCAAATATCGTTGTTTAAAAGTATAAAGAAATTAACAAAAAATGCATTGAGATGAGAGTGGTTCTGTCTTAGAGTAACGGGGGTTTTCTGCTTCCTTTTGTCTGCAGCTGGCCAGAGCTGTACCCTTGAGTCCTCAAAGCGCAGTCCTCTTTCCAGCAGCAATCAGCCTCACCTGGGAGCCTGTCAGAAATGCAGACTCCCAGGCCAGCCCCCAGATCCGCGTAATCACCATTTGCATCTCCACAGACCCTCAGATGGTCTCTGTGCCCAGTACGGTCTGAGAGGCGCTGCCCTAAGTTCCTGGTGAAATTGGAGCCAGCACTGATAATGTCTGTGGCTCCCTCTGTGTCATCAGGAGCCCGTGCATCTGTGAATCCTCCTCGCTCAGAAATATTGACGATCTTGTGCGTGCTGCCAGGGAAGAGGTGGGGCGCGCAGCAGCAGAGGAAAGCCTGGGTTGGAGGAGGACACTCGACCTCACTTTCCTTTTTCAGAATCCTGGCAAGCAGGCGGGATGCGTCCTCACTCCGGTGCCAGGACTATGAATTTACAGGCAGGGGGCAAAAAAAGCGAACATTTTGATGACCCTCCCCGGTTTGCTGCTGGGCTGAGGGCGGTTGTTTCCTGCAACTTCCCTGATTAGCATGCATCAGGCGAGTCAGGGACCTGAGTGAAAACCTGCTCTCCAACGCCGCTGTCAACGTCCTGCCCTTCGATAAATGATCCAGAGCTGCTGCTCGGCGTGGGGATGGGAATGTGTTTAGGCACTAAAACCACTGCTTGCATGACATCATTCCATATCAGATTACACTGTAATGTCAGGAATGTAATCATTAGCATTTAAACATGCATAAAATTTAATTAACCTACTTACCAGTTTGCTTAGAACTTTTGAAGGGCTACCTAGAGTCCTCTCTAAGCGTTTTATTACAGGGTTTTGGAAAGCTCACAAAAGAGAGAAGTTCACTGGGATTTTTCTCCCTAAAGCTGATGGGCCGTGACAGATGAGCAGATGACCCGAGTTAATTATTATTGAATTCGTTATTACTGCTTTGTTGTCACCCAGCTCAGCCAGGGTAAAATGATGACAGTAGGTATCTCATTAAAACAGCTGTTTCAATTATGTAGCGGCAAATATTTAAAAAGCGAGCTTCCAAGTTTAAAGCCGTTAACAAAGTTTGTTTGTGCTGGTTGTGCCAAGATGATCTGACGGAAAAGGAGGGGGAGGAGGAACGATGGGAGACGTTGATCAGCGCCATGGCTCCAGAGGAGAGGCGCCCCCACACCAGCCCAAGCCCGCCTGGTCTGGCCAACCTCAGCGGGTGGCGGAGGGCAGGTAACAGGGAGGAAAGGGCTTGGGTTTTCCCCACCATATCCCAATTTCAGGAGTCCATGTTAAATCTAGTTATGTTTAAATTGTAATGGAAAAGAGCTGTTTACATGGATTTCTTTCCACCTACAAAACGGGATCTCAGCCAGTGTGCTTTATTATGATCACCTCGCCTAGCTGAGACCCTTATGTAGGTATTCAAAGAAATAAAGAAAAACTTCTCCCAGGTCTCCATTCAGGAAGAGTGTCCTCACTGTCTGGTACTCGGAGTGACTTTGTGTAGATGTTGGCTGTCTTTTATTAACACATATCTACCATGAGAGCATTCGATTACAGATCAAGCCCTGATAATTTATCAGGGAATCTGATTTTTTTCTACCGTCAATATGTTGCTGACTTACAATTGATGAAATTCAGCAAAACTGTCAGAAGTGGAAGTTTCCTGTTCTCTCACTGGAATTTGTCTCTCGGTTTTATCATAAATGGCACATTCTCTCAATTCTGTGTTCAATGTTTTCCAGAGAGGGGATTCAGCTCTAGGTTCTCTCCTGGACTTATGATGTGTGTCCTTTCCCCTTGATGACCATATGACTCTGAGGCTGGAGTCCTCAAACATGACCCTAATAAGTCCTGGGTCACGGATCACCACACCAGCCAATTAGTTTCAGGCTGGGAAAATGTGGGTTCACCAGCCATCAGGAGGAGGGCTTCATCCCACTCTAGTCACTAAGTGAAGGCACACTGGGGTTCATGAAAGAGCTGAAGCAGGGTTGCACAATCATTCGGCCACTCCTGGGAGGACCCGGCAGGCGCAGACACCGGGGCTGAACTTCACTCCCTGTGCAAAGCGCAGCACATTTGAGATGAAGAGATCTGGGTCAGCGACCCTGGTGGCTGAGGAGGCATGGAGAGCTCTGAAGAAATAAACATCTGGGAATTAGGGTGCAATTGGCGTTTGGAATTTGCCTGAGAATAAACTGTCCAACTTCTGTCCATCCAGGATAATTAGGTAGAACATTTGCTTCAGCTTTGCTTGGGTTTGTTCACAGTTCCTAAGAATGTTGCTTAATAACATTGCCTAGCAGTGTGAGAGTAGTTGCTGATTTAAAATATGAAAAAAAATCAATCAACTAATATTCTCCTATAACATGTCAATCAACCCTTGTGACCAATGCAAAAATAAAACTGAGGCCCCATCAGGAAGGCACCATGGCTGGAGGGGGCAAATGCTTTTTGTGTTCATGAAAGAAGAAAATGTTATCTGGACTCTCTAATTAACGGTGAAAAAAGACATTTGTGTAGTTCCTAAAATTAAAATTCCAACAGAGAACTTTAAATCAGAATAGTGAACATTTTGAAATTTACTTTTTTCTAGAGTTTCACATACATAAGGTGTGTCTAGGTTGACAGTGTAATATTTGGAACACTTTAGAGAAAGGCTCTTCCCATCTTCCCCGTCGCCAGTGTGGTAAGGATTTTTGTGTGTCTTACCGTCATCATACGGGCAGCTCGAAGGGAGGGAAGGGCCCGGAGGGGAGGGCTCTGTGGAGGACCCGACAAACGGCTTTGTGCTGCAGAACTGGTGATTCCCAGAAAGGAAAGGCTGCCAATCCCAGTGTGAGCTGGGGGCACGGGGAGGCCTTTGAGGCTTCACAGTGAAGGGACATATCTGTGCAGGAAGGAAAAGGGAGCGTGTTGAACTCCCTTTCCTTATGATCTTCCTGACCACAGGAAGCCCCAGGAGAAAACTTGGCAGAGGCCTGTGTGGTTCTCTGCCTCTGGCAACGAGCGTCCTCTGAAAAAGAGTCCAGTGCACAAAACACGAGCCGACCTCCTGCAAACAGAAGGGAAAATCGTACGGGGGCCTTGTTTGGAATCTAATTTTCCCCAAAATATTTTAATTGTTAGTAATAGTCCCTTACATGTACCAGTTTAAGAATTATAATGGCACAAGAAGCAGAAAGATGGCAGCAAGGGCTGTATCTAATGCACTATTCTCAATGGGATTTATATTATAAATACATCTTAGAAATGTAGATATATGTCCCTGAGAGAAAAGTTTTAAAACCATCTAACTTTTTAAGCATTAGTAACTTAATGTACTAAACAGTTTTAAAACCATCTAACTTTTTAAGCATTAGTACTATTCATTCCAGGAATTTTGAGTTACCAGGACTTCTATAATCATTGCATTAATATTATTAATCACTACAGTTCTTCTTGCAGTACCTGGAAAAGTACTTATTTACTGTGTTATTGTGTGTTGGAGACTCATTGTGTATCTTATTATCTCCATCCCACACAACAGCTTTGCAAAGAGGCATCACTTGTCCTCAATAGAGGAATGAGGCCGGGGGAATGGGGTCAGTGGCCCCAGCTTCATTTCCACAGCCCTAGGGCAGCCGCAGCCGTCTAGGGCCCCCATCATGTTCAGCCTGTGGTGGGAAGGCACTACCGGATAGGCAGGGGTCCAGGGCGCCTCTCCAGGAGAGCTCCTCAGGGACCACGTGGTCTGTGCACACCTTTGAGGTGCTGGCCTGGGAAGCAGCTGCACCTGCTAAACCCACCCAGATGAGTCACGTGACCCTAGGATCATGTCCAGAGTCACCAGCAGCTGTAAGTCAGCCCCTGCCCTGCAGAAGCCGTCCACTGATGTGTGTCTCCTGCACCTCCAGCCTCGTTTCCAGCGGCAAGGGTACTTGGAAAACTGAGCAGATGCTTCTCCCTGTCGGGGTGCCCCTCCTGGGTTCATGGCTCTGCCTCCCCCATCCCCAATTCCCACCTGGCCACACAGAACCACCACCACTGCCTCTTCCCTCATCCCTTCCTGAGAGGTTTGCGATTCCATGGATGCCACTGTTTTCTTCATTCGGCTTTGGCACCCAAAGAAAGGGAGCAGGTCAGGGAAGGAGGAAGAACAGCATGGGAACAGGCAGAGAGAAGCCAGAGCTGGCCTTCCCTTCGAGGACCTCCCTACAATATCTCATCCCTTTCTAGTCTTTGTCCTCAGATCCCCCTTGAATTGAATGAACTTGATTTGTGACAAAGTGTGACTACAGATGGAATGACTTTGGATGGAAGAAGGTGCACATTTTTAAGTATTTTGGGAGTCTATCAGAAGCAAAGCGTAGGTGAAAAGATGGAGAGAGAAAAATTGGAAAGATTTGTGATAGAGCCACAATACAGCTGGGGTGCCTTTAGTACACGGCTGAACGGGCGGCAGGTTCAGCTGGAGGCACACTTCATTTTTTCAGATCAAGGGATTGTTGGCATGGAATTTAATTTTATTGAGAAATACAAGATTTCCAGGAGGACTTTAGGATTCTGTCATTGCCGTGGCATGTTGTCAGATGCAGTTGGATGGTAAGAATTTATGAAGTCAGCTTCATCCCTTATATTGTAAAACAGTGAAAATAAGCAACACAGATTGGAGAAAAATTAACATTGACTTCTCTCTGGATTTACCTACGCCGTTAACATTGCAAACCAATAAACCACAGGGGAAATTCCAGGGTGTGAGATCAGGTGAATTCCAGAAGCTTCCAGAATGTCATCTGCACCCACGTGAGGTGGAGTTGACAAGTTCTGTGCATCTCTAATTATCACCGTCACCATCCCCATTCACTTCCATCTCATCCTCTGCTTAAGGAAGAGCAGCATGTTTTCGTCTTCATGTTCCCCTCCTCGTAGGTCCCCTCTCCCTCAGTGTGCTTTGGTCGCAGAGAAGAATATTACAAAATAGCATTGTGAAGGGACATATGTCCAAAGATGTCAAGAACTAAACACTTAATGGGGAAACTACTGTACAGTAAGCATCAGTCAGGAATTAGGAGAGTAACTGTCTTTTCAAAGCTGGTGATGCTAATTGGAAAGTTGCAATAGGCTGTACCCTAAATCAACATTCAACAAAGATCTCATCAGTTAGGGGTTTGCAGATGGATAAAGGGCGTGATCCACGGACTGTTCACGGTGCAAAATTCTTGCGCAAAGATGGGAGCCTGAGGTCTGGAAAGCTCAAGGAGCAGCACCAGGCCACACAGCTGACATGCTCCCAAGAATGACCGTCCGCCTCCAAATCATAGCTTCTCCATTTTGACTAAAGTATTTTTATATTTCACTATGATTCATGGTAAAAAGTCTTTGCAAATTTAAGTAAACTCATTTTTTAAAGATCGAATTCCAAAGCACGAAGATGTACCAGAAGCAAGACGTACCAGAAACAAAACCCTTTTACCTTTTGGTAAACAGATAAGGCCAGTATCTCCTGAGATAAGCAGAGATGGTCGATCCTCACCAACAGATCAATCACCATCCCACATGGAGATGCACCTGAGAGTTTCCACTTTCTCAAGGCCAGCGAAGTGGGATACCTCAGTTCCCGGAAACCTGGCCCTTCATCATGCCAGGAAGCTGACAGTTCCACTGAAGAATGAAAATGGCAAAATGGTAAACTGGGATCAGATTACCGTGTAAGAGCTCATTCCCTCTGCAAACCTGGAGATTTCCCATTATTCGTGAACTGGAACCTGGGAAACTCTTGACATTTGGTGGGATTTTTTTTTTACCTTAATTCTGGAAAGTATTTCATAGCTAAAAATTTGTTCACACCTGTTATTTGTTTTTGTACACATGGAAAACTTAAGTTGTATTATTTCATTTCCCCCACCAGAAATGCAGATTCCCAAGACCAGAAGGGTAAAGGGCTGAGGCCACACAGGCTGTGAGCAGGAGAATTAGAATTTCATTTCTAAGATGATGCTGCTGTAACCTCCCTGGGAAATGTCACCCCATTTAACATAGGTAGTGCAGCATTTGTGTGTATATGTCTGCAGTGAGTAATGCATTACCTGCCCAATTTGACATATTATTTGAGACAGGAAGACCAAACACTCTAACAATATAGAATTATCTATGTTTGGTATCACCATGGTTTTGGGGGAGAATCACTGGCTTCTCTCTCTCTCTCTCTCTCTCTCTCTCTATATATATATATATATATATACCAGTGTGGAAGTTTAGTTACTTTGATTTTTAAGTTTTTCTAATAAAGGAAACAGATAAGAAGCAAACCTAAAGCTTAAGAGGCTGCACTCAAAATGGTGTGGAAGAGAAAAATAACTCATTTCCTAAATGCATATCGTATATAATAAAAAGGTTGTTCAAATATGTATTATGCTGCAACTCAGATTATTTTAATGGGAAAATGTTGGGGTAATAAATCAATGTTTCAATTTCACAGAAAATAGCTTTAATTGCACAGATATCATGTTATTCTAGTTATGTTTATAGGAATCTGTGAAAAATAAAATTGCTTTTCTAATAGTTTGTTAGGTGGTTGTGAATCTTTAGTAAATGGATTTGACAAACGAGGAACTGGTAATCATTTTCTAAATACATGTGTCTCTGTTGGGATTCCCGTTTCAGAACACATTGAGAAATAGGAGGAGCTGGGGAATAAGAAGGCCGTGTCTTCGTTTTGGATCATATCTAATGATTTGTGTTAAGCGAATAGAACTTTCAAGAGTGCTATGCCCGCATTTGCCCATGCATTGCTGTTTATGTTGGCTGTTTACGGGGACAACTTACAAGACACTAGGTCTCTGGAAACCTGCGTTTCGTGGGGCTCTGCAGCTCCCGTGTCTTTTAGGGGAAATGATTTTGGATGGCAGGAAAAGGTCCAACTAGCAGTTTTTCATTCTGAGGACCTATTCTTCTGGAAGCTTGCGGCTAGGCCGCATCCCTGAAAGTACTCTGGACCTTTACCACAGGGGACACACATCCCTGAGGATACTGCCTGAGCTAGAGATCATTGAAATTTAACCCATTCATTTCAATTGTCAAGAAGAAAACTAAAGCATACTGTAACATATCATCTCAAATCAGGTTTCTAATAAGCTACAGTAGTGACTAGGCATTAACATATCTATAGGGTTGTGACAGTTTATATAATTATATCGTGTATTTAATCAAGAATAAGGGAAAAGCTTGGAGATTTTAGGAAGGCAACATTTCACAGTTTTATCCATTTATCATGTGCCTGTTTGCTGAACCTTTTCCATCTACTCTCTATGCTCAAATTACTTACAGTCTCTTTTTGAAGGAGATTTTGTTTAGATTGTATTTGCTCTTTCCCTGTGGGAGATTATCAAGCATTGCTTTATGGGTTGTGGTGGGGTTTTCTTGCCAGTAGAAGTAGGGGTAAACGATGTCATTAGGAAAAATATACTTAATCAAACTACTGGTAGCAAAAGCAATGAACACGTCAGAACGTAATGACCCTGCCTTCTACCTTCTGAGACTATGAGCTCAGGAACCACAGGGTCCTATGGACTCTTCCCCTTCTTAGTACACACATTGTTTTTCTCCTCTCCTGGAGACACACAGTTTAAGAACCCAGGGTGCCCTGTTCACGTGATGGGCTCCAAGCAGCCTGAGATGCCTGTGCTGTTCTCCCCACCTCCTTCCCGCCCTCCCCACCTCCTGCTTAGCCCGTTCTTTAATTATTAGGTTAATGCTGTTCCATTTTTCAAAGGGAAACTGCAGTTTAGTTTTCAAAAATTGCATAAAGCATTCCTACAGCAGAAAAAAGAAAAAGAAAATGAATAACACATTGGACCCTGGAAGAGAAGTTACAGGAAGATTTTTAAAATTAGATATGAACTCAATTCCTTGATGACTTTTTCCTGGAGACAGAGAGATTCTGAGTTTTCAAACGCTGTACAGAGTATCTGTCAGCACCTTAGTTTCTCTCCCTCACCTTCTACCTACTCAGTCATTTTTCACTTGGGATCCTTAGAAAAACGGACTCTGACTTCAGATTTTCTAAACAACAAGAAAAAAAATGATTAGTTATCAAATTTAAAAGACCTAATATAAAGACAATATTAAGATTACTAGAATCCAAATATTGCTAAAATTTTACAGCTATGTTTGCAAAAAGTAGCTGCAGTTTTTTACATTTTAAATCTAAGGTCATTTATGACAACAATGGGCACATTTTCAAGGACACTGGGAGGCCCAGAAGCCCACATTCCTTCTGCCCCCTTGCAAACACTTGCTGCCTGAGAACAGGTGACACAGCAGGCAGAGGAGTTGGGCTCTTGTCTGTAAGGCCTCTGGGACTGTCTTCTCCCTGCTACCTGGGGCATGACTGGGGCTGGGTTCCCATCTCCAAACCTTACCTGTTCTTCCCTCCTTTCGTGTTGCTTGATGGCCATACAGTCACATAGGACGCTCTTGGTTTAATGACAGCTGAATCTTTGCCAAACTACCTGTGTGCCAAATGCCAGGCTGTTATTTTTTTAAGCATGTACCTTTACTATTGAGTCTAATGAGATTGCTTTCTTTACCCCAGTGACCAGAGTTATTAATTGTTTAGACTTTACATCCATGCAATTTTTCCCTATTAGTGTTTCTATTGTCTTCAACACACACACACAAAATGTGTATATCATTTTTATTTAAAATGTGACTGCAGACCTTGATTTCAAATTACATGTTTTATTGAGCACCTACTATTTACCAGCTTCTTTCATATGCTAAAATCTGCAGTGAGCAAGACACTCTTTGCTTTCGAGGATAAAGGAAGGAAACAGGTGAGTACCTTAGCAGTAACCAGTCATGCTGAGACCTATTATTGAGACAAGGGACTAATTTTCATTTTGGTAAAGAGTTAAATCAGTAGGGAGCTGGCGAATTTTCCAGGCATTTTTCAGGAACGTAGAGGGGCCCAGGTACTGGGATGGGGTGTGTGCTGGAGTCAGGGATAAACAAAGGACACTTAGGTTCTCTTGGAAGCCCGTTTCCATAAAAAAGAAAACGAGATTTATATTTCCACGCTGTGCAGCAAGTACTGTAATGTAGATGCTCAGGGCAGTAGGTGCTGTGATGCTCAGGTCTAAGACGCCCCGAAAATGGTATCCCGAGCCTCGGAGGACTCCCCCAAACCGTGCCCCTCAGAGGTGGCCCGTGCTATGGTGAGGAGGCAGGTGCTGAGCTCCCCACCCCACTTGGAGTGATGAGCTACGCTGCTTCTTAGACACCCCTTGGTCCTAGCCTCCTTCTGACCAATGGCAAACATCTGTGAGACCGCAGCTGTGATTAGAGAGGCAGCCTGTGAGACTAACTGGCCCATACAGGGCTCAAACCCAGGGCTTGCTCTATCACCACTGGCTCCAGCCGAGCTAACAAGACACAGAAAACCAGCTGACAGCTGTATTCTACAGGACATGCTCAATGTGGGCTTTTTTTAAATTTTTTTTCCTTCTCTTGCTTTTCTTTTATTTCTGTGCGATTACCTGCTCCTCTGTGGTTTCTTTATTGATGTCCTGGTACTGACTTTTAGGCAATTGGAGGTTTGGGTCGAAGTCTTCTATTGGGATTATAAATATAATATCCATGAAGCTACCTATGAAATACAGCTGGATACATATGCACGTCTAGATAAATATCATGGTCCCAAAGACAAGGACACCCCAAAGGCCGCACTGATTTATGACTGCTCTGCAATTTGAGTGGCACTCGATAGAAATCATAGGCAAGCACAAATGTTGAAGAAAGAAGATAATACATGCAGGTTTGTCATGCATTTTGTAATTACCTTTGTATTCATCAAGGAGTCCTAGGAGCATGAGGGAGGAAGGAGGTGGTGGTGTTTTGGCCCCCGAAGAGTTTAAAACTATGGTGCCTTGCATTACAGGATCCTATTAATAATTAAACTACCTGTCACTTACCAACAACATACATTCCAAATGAAATTTAAGCAAAAGGGAAAAAGAGATCATTTGGGACTGAATTAGTGGGCTTCAGAGAGAAATAAATAATAATCAAACATCTGTGTTCTAAATAGTACGTGCTTTATCAGACAAACAACTGTTACCGTCTCATTGTATAAAATTGCTTGGGGAAAACACGGTAACTGGCAAGCAAAGTCTCCATGAGGAAGCGGGGAGGTGAGAAAAAGTTCATTCATGAGTCAGAAAGTGATTGAAAGTTGCCGTGCTGTTCTATCAGCTTCTTTCTCAGCATCTTTGTTGGCAGACGAGAAGGTGTATTTACTTAAGTGCACAATCCAGTGGACAGTCCCACAGCCCCAGAAGATCTAAGTGGCCCAGTCCTGAGAAGGGCCCGGAATAAAAACACCCTGCCCAGATCCACAATTGTTGAGTTGCCTGGAAGCCAGTCAGTTCTGAAGGTTACAGAATAGAATTTATTTATTTATTTATTTATTTATTTTTTGCAGGGAAAGGAGAGAGAAGAGACACAGAATTAATAAACAAACGAGCAAAGAGGGAGAAGTTAATACTCCTTCTACCCTGCAAAGGTTCAGTGGAGGCCGACGCCATGGCCCAGCAGGCACTGGAGAAGCAGCCACGGTAGACAGTGCTTACTAACTGGGTTTCATATTCATAAAGGGGGAGCACTTTGCGCTCTGTCTTATTGCACAGACATTTAACTCTCCGTCGGTCGGCTGCCTCTGAAATCACCGGAGTAAATAAAGAAATGAGCTATTCTTTTCCTATCTCGGTGGCTCTCTCCTCCCAAACGGCCTGAGTGTGTTTTCTGGTCTGTGCTGGGGAAAGCTCCTGGAAGGAAAAAAAGAAAAACGCTGGTGAATAATTGGAAGCTCCTTGCAAACGCAGGCATGTGCTCTCTGGGAGACAGGGAGGACCCCTCAGGGATGCCCAGCTCCTCATCCCCGCACTTTCTCAGCTGTCCCTGGCCTGCCTGGCTGGGAACGCCGGCCGCAGCATTCAGACACCTTTGGAGCAGGCGACTGTCTGTTTGTCTTCTCCTTAGGTAACCGTGTGAAAATATCCTATTCCAGCTGTAACACTTGTTTTACAAGAGCCCTGGTTTTGTCTGACACAATATGGAACAACATTTGTCATCCGTTATCAGGGGTGATATATTTGTTAGCCTGCAGAGAAACATCTGCTGCGCGCTAATCTCCAGTGTGCAGGCCAATATTCATAGGATACAGCTGCATAAAATCACGGCATTACACGAGGCTGTCCAGCCTGACATGAAGGCTCGCTGGCAGGCAGATAGAAACAGATTTTATTATCTCCCTTTTACATATTTATTTATGTCAAATATTTCTGAGAATCCATACATTAGCTCTCCTTTTATGCATTGTTGTTCAGCGGTGACAAGCCATCGACATCCAAATGAGAAATTTATGTTACGTATTAAATATGGACATCTGAATGATTATCAAATCTATAGAAGCCAAGCCCGGCCAATCACCCCTAAATAATGGATGAGAAGTAGATGTGACTCAATTTGTTCAGTGCGGAACCTTGGCGACCCCGCCTCGTGCTTCATCTCCGCAGCCCTGTCATTATTTGCTTCTATTCATCTCACTTGGCATCACTCAATAAAATCTGCACATGATAAAGAGAATAACCTTGGTCAAGAGTGAGAACAGAGAAAAAAGATCATTTCCTTCAGTCCCAGGTAGGGACCTCCTGGTGTCCGTTTGCCTTGGTGTGCACATCAATACATCAGGATGATAGAAGGTTCCGGAGTTTGTATACAGAACGCAGAGAAGCATTCCGATGAGAACTCAGGACGACAGCTTCACCGTGCAGAGGGATGGCAGAGCGGGCTGCTCCACTCAGGGGTCTCATTTCTTTGATTGTTTGCTGAGTTTAAAATATACAAATACACATACATATATAGACGATGGCTATGCTATATATGTGTGTATTTATGATGGATGAATATTTATAGTTATAAACATAAATAAATATTACCTATATACACATATATAAAATTATATATTTGATCACATAATTATGTATAATTGTATATTTATGTATAAACATATAAATGAAAATTAAGTATATAAATATATCATATATGTATATATACACACACACACACATTATGGTAAAGTTAGAGTAAAATAAACCAAATGCATTTGGTCACAGCTCTGTGTTTTAGAATTGTGGTCACCAAAGGATGCAACACGTATTCAACTGAATTCATGTTTTTTGAATGACTACCTTAAATTATTCTTGATAACTCGGTGTGGATTTGGATCCTGAAAAGCTCCTGTGTCTTCCTGCTGCAACCCGCCCTCCTACAGCAAATTGTTTTGCGTCTATGCAAGTAACCACCGCAGGGCTTGCAGCTTTAGGCTATGTGCTTTTACTTACTAAGTGTAATAGATAGAGGAATACACAGCACAACCACTGGGGTTTCAGGAATTAGAGGCTGCTTTGTGGAAGAGACAGGGGGCTAAAATGGAACTTGAAGGGCGGGTTTTGGTAAGGAGGCAGGAGTCTACATCTCTGGGCTTGACTCATCAGGTGAAGGTGGGGTAGAGCCAAGCACGTGCAGCGGCAGGAATGCATTCTCTAATGTTGAACAAATAAACTAGAAATACCCTTACATAACCGAGTAGGAAGTTTTTATTTCCCATGAGAATGCAGAAGAAATAGCTGAAGTTTCTTTAGCAGTGCATAATAATGCGATATTTTAAAATGTTAATGTAAATATGTACAGAATTTATCCTGTACATATTAAATTAGAGTAGTAAGCAGGATTTGCATTAAGCCAGAAATTAATAATAGAGTTGATGCATTCATTTCCTGATGTTGGTGTAAAAACATACCACAAATTTAGTGGTTTATGACAACACACATTTATTATCTTACAGTTCTAGATCAGAGGTTCAAAGAGCTCTCCTCTGCTGAAAGCAGGGTGTCTGCAGCGTGGCTTCCTTCCGGTGCCCTGGGGGAGAATCCGTCCTGGAGTTTTCCAGCTTCCGTGGCCGCCCACACTCCTTGGCTCCTGGTCCCTCCTCCACCTCCAACGCCAGCAGGACCGGCCGGCCTCTCACACAGCATCTCCCTGACACTGGCTCTCCTGCCTTTCTCCCCCCATTGCAGGGCCCCCTTGATTACTTTGGAGCATCCAGGCCATCCTGGGAAACCTCCTTAGTGAAGCTCAGTTGATTGGCAACCTGGCTTCCCCCCACCTGTAACAGAACCACTCACAGCTTCCTGGGATTGGGACATGGACATCTCTGGGGACCAATATTGTGCCGACCACAGAAAGAGAGAATAGAAAAGTAAAAAATAAAATCAAAATAGAATGCAAAGGAAAAATTATGTCTTCCTTGGAAGGGAGAACATCACACATTAATGAAGGAAAATGCAAAGATTCCAGTGTGCACAGCAGGGTAAACCATAGCAATGGGGGAAAAGAGGATGTCAGAGGTTAGAGCTGTGAGCCATTGATTCTCACAATTACAATAACAGTAGCAGTTTTGAGTGCCTGGTCTGTGCCGGCCACCATTTATGTAAATGACAGGTGCCATTTCATTTGATTTAATTTAATTCCTACAACTCTCTATTACAGATTAAAAGGAAAACACCAAGGCTAAAGCACAGCACCAAGGCCTATGGACTTGGAAATGATGAAGTGAAGTCCACTCCGTCCTCTGATCTTTTTAAACTTCTATTGTCCTAAACTTCCTGGAATGTAGTCAGTAAACTGGATCTTATGACCTATGGCCCTTAACTTAATCTTCCTGGATAATGACCTGGAACACTGCCCGTTATTTTATCATAAGCATTCAACATATCCTTTCATGGATGGTAACATTTTTGTAAGGCTTTAGATAAATTAATATTGCGTAGCAGTAAGATTTTAAAATCAGTTTATTTTCCCATCTTGAATATGCTCAGCAAGATCCCTCCCTCGGTTTCTGCCTCTCTCATCTTCCCAAGAGGTTCCTCTAGCACTTTCAATAAGAAAATATAAAGCTTTTATATCAGTGAAATATGCATTGCTTTAAATCTTGATGTTGTTCCACTTTGTTTTTTAATAGAGATGTTTAAATAAATATAAAGATCGGTGACTTAAGCTCACCGAATTATTGGCCTTTCTATATTTCTAAGAACATATTATACTTTTGCCAACCTTAAGATGGGAGAGAAAGGTGGACACTGACACCATTACTCTAAACATCTTATTATAGGTGAAAATCACAGGTATTTCCAAAGGCATATAGGCCAAAACCTTGTGCCTGAGAAGTACCAGCGGTGCATTTTCCCTTGGGTGCAGACTTAGAATAACTGTAGGTCCTCAGAACACGGAAGCCCAGGGCTTCCCAGGCTGAATCCTCCTGGGGCTCCATGGTAGAGTAGATTAGACCAGGAAGGACCTAGAGATCTGGAAACAGCTCCATAATCCCACCCTTGGAGGACTCTATGCCTCCCGACCCCCACTGTTTTATGAAGATGTTTGAGATGGCGGTGGTGACGCTGCAATGAGGCACACGCACCTCTCTGCAGGTGTCGAGGAAGGAATGTGAAAGCTCAGAGGTCAGGAGGACATACCATCTGCGTGGACCCAGGATGCAGCTGGTGCAAGTCACTAGGTGGGCCGCACTCCAGGCTGTTGGGGCTGAGGTTGTTCTGCTCGGGACACGTGCCAGACCTTAACCACACTGTGTGCACCATCATTCCCACGCACTGGGGCACAGGTCTGTGGGCCGTTGCTTCTGCTTTGTGGAATCACTCGTTCGGGTCAGGACCCCAGGGCAGGCTCAGGTTTTATTCGCATGAGCAGCTCCCACAAGTGCTTGGTAGCTGAGAGCGGCCTTGAGTTGGCCATTGCAGACGATGTTTCCGAGGCATGAGCCCGCTCACCTGCTCTCAGGAGGGGCCTCCTCACCTGGCGGGTGAGTCTCAGCTCATTTCAGTCATCCACGCTGTTGCAGTTCCCTCTGCAGAAGACAGTCTATGCTTTAGGGGAACTTGTCAATTTGAAAAATCTCAGTATGTATCACACAAAATGTTGATTTATTATCTCCCCCCAAAATTACAGTGACTTCAGGTGGAATCCAGTTGAGATGCCCCCGTATGGATGTGGTCTTATTTCCTCCCCTGGACTGAGGGCTTAAAGGCAGAAGTGTTCTCACCTTTGACAGCAGTGTGACATGGAATAGCACGTGACCTGAGGATTTACTATGTTTTTTTCATGCCCTTTGGAAAAGAATCCACACAGATATGGGGTGGTTGGATGAGAAATGTTTCATTAAATGAACAAAGGTGGGGTCTCTCATCCTCTTCCTTTCTCGGTTCTCTCTGGTTCTTTTTGGTGCAATAAGTCGTTTGTCTCTGAGTGCCCAGAAGTGAGAATAAGGCGTGAGTACAGCAGAAATGTGGGCTCCAGTAAAACCATAGAGAGCTTGTGGACAGATTTGTGTCAAGGACTCATATATTTATACTCCAGAAATGTCGAGAAAACCATTATTTTTAGGAAGAATAAATGAGTTGAGGAAAGCAGTAGAATTGAAGATGAGGAAAGGAAAAGAGGCGGTGTTAAAATTGCCACAATGGTGAAAGTAGGTAGCTTTTTAACCGCGGAATAACAGAAGCAAGCAAAGAGGGGGCTGGAAGGTCCAGAGACGTTCATTTAATCCTGAAAGGGGAGGACAGCGGGAAAGACAGAGGGTTTCAAACCGAAGTGGTCCCCAAGTTTGCAGTAAAATCTGCAGTGGGTGTGCAGCCTGTACTTTGGCAGTGATTAAGCACACCCGTGGAGGCGTCCCGAGGGCGTGGACTCCAACGCCTACCTCTGCTGGGTCTGACAGACAGAACTGGTGCAGCGGGAAGAGGGGGGACGTTCTTACGTGACACTGGCAGGCGGCGGCCCTCGCCTGGGCTCTGCTCCAGTGGAAACACAACCTGCCTTCCATTGTCTGCGCCTCCAAAACACACCCCCCGCGCATCCGTGAAGCTGTGTGTTTCTGTGTTACTACAGGGGCCGGCTGTGGAAATCCCACGCTCCAGACCGCGTGCCGGGCAGGCCCAGCCCGGAGGCCCGTCCAGGAGCGCGGCTGCGGGGACCCGGCCGTCTGGAGCTGCCCGTGGCCCGGACGCTGCGGCTGCGCGATTGGCGCTGCGAGGCTGACGCTGGCGGTGAAGCGCCCGGGCCCGTCTGTGAATCCGGGACGGCGGCAGGTGCTTCACATCAGGAGGACGCGAGACAAAGGCAGGGTGGGCGCGGGCTCGGGAAGAAAAGTCCTGTTTTGTCACAGGTTAAAATCAATTTTGATGATTGAAACCCTTGGAATGAAGAATTTGACGTTCCCACATAGCTCGTGAAAAATACAGTGTTTCCATCATGAGAAATTGATGCAATCAGCTCTAAAATTCCGTAGAGACACTGACCATCTTGGAAAACGCTTTCACTCAAAGGACTCTTCAACCAATACAGAAAAAATAATAATAAAATAAAAATTAAAAAATAAAAACCCCAAACGCTACAACAGGATTCATCTAAGTTAAAATTTTCCTTTAATAAGTTCCAGTTTTGTTTTTGGCTTCCCACAGGAGAAAGGGATGTAGTCGGTGTTCTGTTTTTGTCATTATTTATAGACTGAGAGGATTTGGGGCACTGAGTTTTCTCTTCCTTCCATTATCTCACAGGGCTTAGCACACAGAGGCCCGAGCTGGCGGAGCTGATCTCAGGAGACGCTGGAAACGTTCGCATCGCCAGCAGCATGGGGGAAATCAAACTCAGTGGACCTTTGCAGTTCAAGTTATTATTTTGAAGGAAATAATGTGTGTTAAAAGAACTTGTAGGATATTTTCTACTAATATCAGTTTGTCTGATAAAAGCTTCACAGGGAAGCTGCATCCCACTGAGAAGAAGGCTTCCGCACCACACTCAGAGCCCTTGGATTTAGGCTGTTAAGGATCCGATTTTTTTAATGAACATTTAATTAATATTAATGTTACGCTAACAAAACACATTGATTAAATAACTCCTGTAATTCATTAACTATCTTGCTAGAAAGTGGCTAAATATACACACTGTGAAAAGCCCCTTGGAAGTTTCAAAAGTATATAATTGTCAATTGAGAAAACATGGTATGTTGGAAATATTTTCGTCAGCTCCTCAGGTTTGAGCCTGTAAAATGCTTCCAGCTCTTACTCATCAGAAAGATCAATTTCAATGCCAGACCAAATATCAATTCTATGTCTTTTTTTTTTTACCAGATATAATATACTATCTAATATGGATTAGGCAATCATATTAATGAATACATTCTACATAATAAAATTAGCAAACATACTATTTTAAATCTCTATGACAACAGACTACATAAAGAGAAGAGTGTGAGATATTTAGACAGGGTTCTCCTGCCTGCCTTTTGTTTCTATGTAAGAGTATCTTCTAATGTCTTTGGAGAGAGTTTACACAGCAACTGTAGTTGAATACATGGGCAATTATTTTCAAACAGCAGGAAACGTTTTAAGGCTGGTGCTTCTGCTCCATGAAGTACTTCTGGGTACCCCTGGTCCAGTGGTGGATGGGGGCCCCACCCCAGGACAGCACCGCACACTCCGCTACACTCAGGGTGAACGCTGGAAAGGTCTGTAACTTCAACCACCCAACTATCAGGGTCCTCACAGGAGCGTCAGGATTGGACAAATTATTTGCCTTTGTTGCATTCATTTTTGTTTATAAAATACTAATTACCTCTTTTGTTGTTTGAAGAGATTAAAAGTTAATAGGAGAAACTAAATAAACAGAATGCCATTCTGCACAAACTATATAAGCTGGTAATTAATTTCTGGCCTCCTCTGAGCTAATTAACTCATATAAAGAAATGAAGTTAATGAACCATAATTCTAGTCATACAAGTGTAGATACAAGCAGTTTGACTTAATGAATTAATAAGATATTTCCTTTCTTAGAGGTTTTTCAATTGTGTTCCTAATCTGAAGGCCCCTTTAATGCGCCTCTCTGGTTAAAATGTTAATAAATGGCAGGACAACCTGGTGATGGTGTTGGTGTGTTGGCTCTGTCACGTGGCGAGAGCCAGAGCCGGAGCCCACGCCTCCGTGTTGCCTCCAGTCGCCACTGGTCTGTGCAGAGCCCAGTGTGACCCTCAGAGGGCACGTGACATGGAGGAGCTGCTTCCTCATGGGATCCGTCCCCGCTTCCCTTGGGAAACCGAGGCCACCTGAAGCACGTCCCTGTTCCTGGCCCACCCTGAGGTGCCAGCCGCACCTGTTCGCATGAGTCACGAAGGCTCCTCCCTCTGCTCGTGTCTCCTACATCTGCATCCTCACCTTTGAAAAGAGTCTCATCTGAAGTCTGGATCAATAAACTGCCAATAAACGGAAAACAGCCTTGCTTTTTGCCTTTTCCATGTTCAAGTCTTCTAATACAGGTGTTAAAATGGCATAAAGCATTTTTCTTCAATATTTTGGGACTGAACTGAAAATGGTATCTGGAGTGACACTGTGAAAGGGTTAAATTGTTTACTAAATAAAGGCACCATCCAGGGCATGGAAAGGTGCATCCTTTATTTAAAATAATTTTTAAAGGAAATTATCTATCTTAAACTCCATACTTTCATTCACTTGCTTCCTAGAACTTAAGTGTTTTCAGGATAAGTATTTGGGGCACGGGACTGGCACATGTTCCAGGCCACTCATTCTGCACAGTTTGAGGAATATGTTTACGGCGCAATTTTGCACACTCTCATGTTGCCACACGTCCGGAGCTTGGGTTGAACGAGCACAGCAGCAAAGATGTGCTTTGTTTTACAGTGAGGTCTGTGCCATGCTTACTGACTAACAAGGAAGCCTGGGCGTCCTACCCTTAGCTACAGATATTCGCAAGAGCTTGTGTTTGCCGTGGAAATGGGGGGAAAAAAGAAATTGAGAAGGGGCCAGGTCTGTGGCTCAAGCCTGTAATCCCAGCACTTTGGGAGGCCAAGGCAGGCGGATCACGAGGTCAGGAGATCAAGACCATCCTGGCTAACACAGTGAAACCCCGTCTCTACTAAAAATACAAAAAAATTAGCCGGGCGTGGTGGCGGGTGCCTGTAGTCCCAGCTACTTGGGAGGCTGAGGCAGGAGAATGGCGTGAACCCAGGAGGTGGAGCTTGCAGTGAGCTGAGATTACACCACTGCACTCCAGCCTGGGCAACAGAGTGAGACTCCATCTCAAAAAAAAAAAAAAAAGAAAAAGAAAAAAGAAAAGAAATTGAGAAGGAAGAGAGAGTGTGGGAGAGTGTGCCCAACTTTTGAGGGTCATCATTAGATTTAATTTTCCCATCTCCATGGGCCAAATGCTGCCCAGATCTTGCCACAGCAGATCTGAAGCTGAAATTTAAGGGTTAAGTGGGTGACCCGAGGTCACACAGCTGGTCACTGGGAGAACAGAATTTGAGCGGGGGTCATTTCTAAGCTGACAAGATGTAAGTAACCACCATCCTCTACTGCTTTCCTCTAGGCCAGTGGGCACCTCCGCCACCCAGGGCTGGCAGGGTTGGGTGGTCGTCTGTCTTCTAGGCATAGCCTGTGCCACTGCTCCGCCACCTGCCCCTGGGCAGAGCAGAGGGAGCCTCTTCAACAGGCTCTCCATCCTGCCTCATCCATCCCTACAGCCTGGAATTCAATAATGATTGTGGGAACAAGAACAATGAAAGTGATGACAACAACAATGATGGCAAAACAAGGATGGCCGCAGTCCCTCAGATTCCCATGAGCACGTGTGCACCTGAGGTCGCCGCCAGAGCAGGGGCACACTTCAGAGGGGAAGGTCCTCAGGCCCAGGCTCCTGGGGACGGCGTGTGTCCTGGCTCCACCCTCTGCTGGCGGTGAGACCATGCACACCGCAAAACCATGGACGTCACAAGACCACGCACACGGTGAGACAAGGCAAGAGCATAAACATAGAGAGACCACAGACGTGGCGAGACCACGGACATGGCGAGACCACGGACATGGCGAGACCACATGCAAGGCAAGACCACGGACATGGCAAGACTGCAGACACAGCGAGACTACGTACATGGCGAGACCACAGACACGGCGAGACAACAGACATAGTGAGACCACACACACGACGAGACCATGGACATGGTGAGGCCATGGACATGAGACCACAGAGGCAGTAGGGCACGAACATGCCACAGACAAGACCACCTACATGGGGACCCCACAGGCAAGGTGAGAACACTGACACAGGAGATCATGGATGCAGGGAGATCACGGTTGCAGTGGGATCATGGACACAAGACAGTGGACACTGTGAGACAATGGGGCTGCCAGCATGGCAAGACCACCACCACAGGGAGATCATGGACATGGTGAGGCCAGGGACATGGTGAGGCCAGGGACACGGTGAGGCCAGAGACATGGTGAGGCCAGTGACACATGTGTGAACCTCCCTAAGCTCCGTGTAAGCATCTCGGGCCGTGCAAGGAGACTGACGTGACAAAGCAGCCACGGCCAGAGGTGTGAGAAAGACAGGGGCCTAAGGACATCGCATCCTCCCCAGTCTCCCCAGCCTTCTCTGCCTGCTCCGCCTGCTTGGGACCTGACTTCCATCACAGCTGCAAATTGGGTTTGACGAGTTCAGTGTTTCTCGTTGGCCACAGAGAGTCTTCTAACCCAGGACTTAGTGCAGGCCCTTCTCAGCCTGGCTAGGGATGGAGCCCTAAGCCCTGCATGAGTTACTCTGTGGAATGCAGATGGAGAGTGGCTTCTGGGTGATGTTTAGGGCTGGGCCGCCATGTGCAGATGCCCAGTCGTTACCTGGCACAGGTGAGGATGCAGAATTGTTTCTCATGACTCAACTGATATTTTGTCCTCAGCAGGCACAGGGCGCTCCTGATGGGACATGAATCCACCCCTGGGGAATCACAAGAACCTGAGACCGGGGTGGGGACCAGCTCTGTGCCAGCTCCATTGTCAGTGACCACCCTTCAACAGCCTGCACTGAGCACCTTCTCTCCCACATTTGTCACTCCTTCAGGCTGAACACTCTATCAGGGGCCGTCAATTAATTTCCAGTGATGCCACTTCTCCTCCGGGGTGAGTTTCAGGAATTCTCCAAAAGTGGGGGCCTCGCAGGCCGAGTGATGAGGTGCAGGTGGCCTTGCGCTGTGGGGGCCAGTGCCTCTCGAGGCCACCTGTGCACTGTGAAATCCGGAAGCTGGACACACCCAGGAGTCAGGGAGCCACTGGCCCTGCCAGGTGTCACGCTGAGATGCAGCTGTGCTGAGTGGGTCCTCTCCTTTAAGTTTGTGATGGAAAATATGGATCTTCAGGATGTAGAACAGATTATACAGTTTTACGTTTTTCAAAATGGTAAATGCAAACTTTTATGGGCAAGGGCATATTTGTAATATTTGATTTCACAAAATTGTGTTTGAATAAGACTGTCCACTGTGGGACATGTGACAGTGTGTCTGGCTTGGCCACATAGGGGACACATGACAGTGTGTCTGGCTTGGCCTCACACTCGCTGCGGGGACAAGCAGCCCGTTGCCTCCGTTTCCACATTTACAAAGTGGAGTCAGTTTAGTGTATGCCAGGGGTTACCAGGAAGAATGATTAATGTGTGCAAAGCAGTTGGGTGACGCCCAGCCTTCGTGAGGCTCAGCCGTCGCTCTGTTCTGTTTCAGAAATTCACACTCAAGAGCACACCTGCTGTGTGACAGTGTTTCTAAGTCTGCCCCATTTTCTCTATTTCTTGCCGCCAAATGATTTCAATTTACAGAGATCTAAATTATAAATATGGAGAAGGTGTTTTATCATCACTAAAACTGAAAGTGCACGTGAAGTTTAAGAACCCCCGGAAGATTGGGAATTACCTCTGCAAACACCAAGCTCCCGCAGCAGCTGATCTGGGCTCTGCCTCGGACGTCAGAGGAGACTTGAGAATTTTTCTTACCTCTCCTCAGGAGACAGTTGCACAAGTACCCACATTTAAAGATATGTGTGCAAAACCTCACCATTGCGTGAGGAGAATAATTTATATTGTAAGCCAAGCAAATATGATTTTTGAGGTCATAATGACTAAATACCAGTCGGAATAGTTATTATTGAAAAGTCGGCTGGGCACAGTGGCTCATGCCTGTAATCTCAGCACTTTGGGAGGCCGAGGTGGGCGGATCACTTGAGCCCAGGAATTCCAGACCAGCCTGGGCATTGTGAAACCCCATCTCTATAAAAATTTTTAAAAATATAGACAGGTATGGTGGTGCCTCCATGTAGTCTCAGCTACTCAGAAGGCTGAGGCAGGAGGTTGGCTTGAGCTCAGGGTGCAGTGAGCCAAGACTGCACCACTGCACTCCAGCCTGGGTGCCTGAGTGAGACCCTGTCTTAAAAAAATAAAAAAATAAATGGAAGCTGGCAAGATTATAGAGAAAAGGGAATGTTTATACCATTTACACTGTTGGTGGGAGTGTAAATTAGCTCAACCTTTTTGGAAAGCAGTATGGAGGTTCCTCAAACAGCTAAAAGCAGAACAACCATTCCACCCAGCAATCCCATTACTGAGTATATACCCAGATGAATATAAATCATTCTACCATAAAGACACATGCACAAATGTTCATTGCATCACTATTCACTATAGCCAAGACATGAAATCAACCTAAATGCCCATCAGTGGCAGATTGAATAAAGAAAATGTGGTACAAATATATCGTGGAATACTTTGTAGCCATAAAAAAAAGAGCAAGAACATGTCTTTAGCAGAAACATAGATGGAACTGGAAGCCATTATCTTCAGCAAACTTACACAGGAACAGAAAACCAAATAATGCGTGTTCTCACTTATAAGTGGGAGCTAAGTGATGAGTACTCATGAACACAAAGAAGGAAAAAACAGACACTGGGATCCACTTAAGACTGGAGGGTTTGGGGCAGGGAGAGGAGCAGAAAAGATAACTTTTAGGGAATGAGCTTAAATACTTGGGTGATGAAATAATCTGTACAACAAACCCCCAACATGAGTTTACCTACGTAACAAATCTTCACATGTACCCCTGAACCTAAAATAAAAGTTAAAAAAAAGAAAAGCTTGAATCTTAGTCCACACTGACTTTTATCATATTGTCAGAAGAGAGATGAGAGTGCAAGAAACAATCAATCAACAACCAATAATAACTTATTGATTTACCAGAGATAATATTTTTCTTGTTCTATTATTTTAAAACATGTCATTAACTAAAGTGTAAGTGGCCTCCAACATAGACCTTTGCTCCCGAATTATAACCAGCTGATAAATTTTATTCCCATCCTCCAACTGAGAGCAAGGCTAATGCAGACTCAGAAATGTATTTCATCTTGATTTAGTAAATGTCATTTATCTGTCTCCATCATTGACTCAGATGCTAAGAATACAGCTTTTCTTGGCCATTTTATCCTAATTGATGAGGTGGCCACGTGTGCACATGCCGAGGCTCCAAGATGGACTGTCCCTGGCTTTTGATCGACTGTGTATGAAGTCGGCTTTTAGAACTTATAACGGCCTCTTCTCTGGCCACGGCAGCACTTGTTATTAATGAAAAGCATGACTATCAGCTACTGGAAAGCAATCTAATTAAACAGCAAGATTTTCATAAAATGAGCTTGAAATCAATGGGTCAATACAGAAGCCACTTAAGAAAACGTGTGTGTGATGAACCGCGATTGAGCTGAAGAAGGTGGTCAGCGTGCATTCTCACCAGCTCAACAGTCTGCCTGCATCTTGAGTTCCCCCAACCATTGTTAGTAAAAGTTACATCTTTTATGCTCAGAATTCAGAGGATTCAGGCAAATATCTTAGGCAGAATCATGGCCGTCCTCCGAGCCCTAACGGCATTTGAGATGTGTCCAGTGGGAGTAATGTTCCCCCAGCTCGGCCTCCACGCAAGGAGCCGGTTCCTCAGGAACCGTAAGCGGGAGAAACACTCAGCTTCAGACCTGCTCTGACTCGGAGACTGTCTGGTGAACCAGAGAACTGGGTTATTGGCATTTCCTACCTATACTTAACCGTTTGTAAACCCTATACATATTTTCTGATAAGCTACTTTGTCCACGAGCAAAGATAAATGTCTTAGATATTTCCATTATGTTTACTTGGCCTCATAAAATCAAGAACTCTTTATAAGAGGGAAAAAATTTATTAAAATCTTTTATGGTGCAAGATATAAATAATGCAGCCTGCAATGTATCTGCATGGTGAAATCATGTTCTGCCTGGGGAGAGAAAGATGAGTAATTAAATGATTATATTCAATCCTAATATTTGATATTTGATTGTCAATGTCTGTTTAGCTAGACTTACCTAAGGTATATCTGTAAATCAATTTTATATGCAAGCTTGGTTTATACAAAACTTTAAATGTTGAGACATTTATACAGTATTAGTGAAAAAGTTTCTGCCAGGATTAATCTATAAATGAAGGGTACATTCTTGCAAAATCTATAATTTTAACGTATAAAACAGTCAGTTGCTATTCTAATCATCCTCTTATCATCTATGCTGTCATCTTATCTGATCTGACCATCTTATTCAAACCTTCCTCTTCATCAATGCCTGCTTCTATAGGATGAGCTTCTTTTCCCTCTATGGTGTTTATCATATCTATTCAGTGTGGGATTAAGACGTCAAGCTGTCCTTGTCAGGGGGCTTATAATATAGCCCCAAACGTGAGTTTCCATCCTGCCCTGGCCCCAGCATGGGCTCCCAGAATTCAACAACCCTCTCCTGTTTGTCCTTGATTCTCTCTGGAGAGACATCCTTCTCTTCCTTCATGCTTTTGTTGATGTCTGCGTATACATACACAGGTATACATAAATGCATGTATCACACATGTATGCCTACACATATATTCTAAGTGTCTCATGCTAGCAGGTAATTCCAGTGTTTACTTATTCTGCCTGCAATGTGTTGACCTACAATGGGTTGGGTTTTCCTTTTTACGTAGATACATTTTATTAAACGAGAAGATATCTATAGTACAGAGGGTTTTCTTATGTGAACCTGACAGCCAGCACCTTAAAACATCACAAACTCTTACTGGATCTAGTTATTGTGTATAATCACTTATCCAACAAACATTTCCTGAATGTCTGCTAGCCTTCAAGTACTGCATTTATCAAGTGGCGAAATTAATCAGGTATTGATTAAATGCATGAATGTAAGGCAAGAACTTTGATCAGTCCTGGGATCACAGCGAGAAAAGAGAAGAGTCAACCCCTGTTGTTACCATCCTTTTCATGTTGACGGGGGCAACAGTGCAAGATGCAGATGCTGTGAACCTGAGGCTGTCATAGCCTGCGGGCGGTGACACAAGAAACCCTTACAAAGCACAATAGTAATTTTGATGATGAAGGAATTTGGGAGGGATTTCTACTCTGTCTGGAACATAGGGTAAAAATTCCCAGAGATGCAGCATCTGAGCTGAGCCGTCCACGGTGGCCCAAACATCTCAGGCCAGCAGCAGGGCTGACGTGGGCCAGGGCTGGATCACGCACCAGGCAGCTGGGCTAGAGATCAAGGGCCAACGCGGAGAGGGACTGGATGGGGTAATGGGCAGAACAGGCACTGTAAACAGTTGACATTTAACAGCAGAGATTCGATCATTTTCAAAGTGGGTGTTTTTGCCCTCGGAATCCAAGCTCTTGGTGAAACATCTAGCCTGCAGAACAGATGCAGACATCGCTACGTGAGAGGTGCAGGTTCATTGCTGGAGACAAACACAGGCTTGGTGATTCCTTGGGAGTCTCCGCGTGGGACCCTCTCTTCTCCTGCTTCTGCAGTGCGCGCTCCCTGAAGTCCCATTCTTGCTCTATGGCTTTCTTCCCATTTGGTCTCTAGGGGCTAGTCCAGCCAACTCCCTGGCTTCACAACCCCTGTCCTGCTGAGGGTTCCAGGCCACCCGCCCTTCTTGAGCCCCTGCCCCTGTCCAGCTGCAGCTGAATGTCCCACGGGGACCGCAGACGACACAGTAGCTCGCACCTTCCCACGCGCTGCGCACACTCAGTGCACCGACCTGCGTTCTGCCTCATTTCATAGCTGAATACACAACCGTATCATCCATAAATAGGAACGCAGTGCTTGACGGTATACTTTTGAGCTATAAAAACCTGCAGGATGGAGATGTGAATTTTTAAACGTATGAGCTTGAACCTATGAACGGGCTCCTTCTGCAGGTGGAGGATGGACAGCCAAGTCCCGTGAGAAGGTCGGCAGTTCCCTCGGTTCCTCTCCTAGGCGCGAAGCTCCACTCCTCGTCAGCTTGAAAATTCCCCATCGTCGCTTCCACTTTCCAAACAGAAACACACCTGTGAAGCTGTTTTTCATGTGCGATCGCCCCTTGAGCTGTCTGATTTATGGCTGGCCCTCATCCTTTGGAATAAAGCAGCCCTCTGCACCTTCCCTGAAACGTGGAAAATTTTGTTAGAAAGTGGGACTAGCTCCCCGCGTGGAGTTTCTCTGTTTTCCGAGACGGCTTACTCGGCGCCTAGTGAGCCGGTGCTTCTGTTTTTGTCTCTACTCCGTGTTCTGAGTGCACCCATTTATTCCCAGATAGCGTTTATACTTACAGAGGAGACAGGCGAACACTAAAACACAGCAGAAATATGACGAAACACCCTGCAACCTTGTTTCTTTTGAGTTCCTATCGCTCACTTCAATCTATTCTAAAAATAAAGGACTTGTCAGGCCTAATGATAAGGGAGAGTTTTAGGGAAATAAAGAGAGCTGAACTGACACAGACATAATAATGTCAAGATATAAATCACAGAGTCCTTCTGCCATTTTCATTATCTGCCTCGGAGGATTACGGTGCTTGCTATAAATGAGACGCTATGGGGACTCTGCCCGTATATACCAGTCTAGATGCAGGGTCAACAGTGGGCAAGTTTTGCTTAAATCCCAGCAGGCATTCTATATTTTAGTTTTGGGCATTTTGAAAAATTGCATTTGTTGTATTAATATCTATCTATTTATCTATCTATTTTCTTTTAGGAAAGACAAACGGACTCAAATTAGAGTAACAATGAATCAAATTAGAGGAAAAATGAATTCTTAAGCAGATAAGAAAAAGCTTAAATGCATCTTGATTAAACCATATGTCTCACACCATCATCTCTTAAGTACTATAAATCTTTACAGATGCACAGATTTGTGGGTTCCAAAGTGCCCGTGAATCCTTCTTCTACTGCGACACTCATCCTTTCCTGAGCCTTTCAAAATGGAAAACATTTTTTTCATGAATGTGAAAGTTTCTTTAGCAGAGTAACTTAAGATTACTCTTAAGAACCTTTCTTCCTTCCACCTTTATCAACTGATAATATTCTTATCACCTGAGATCTTCACCCATTCATTTGTTAATTGATTTATTTAGCTAAAATTTGTCTGCATTCTTCCCAAATGTCCAGCCTTGTGCTAATCTTCTGGACAAAGAATTAGGAATCATTTCTGTTGATGTCAAAGAGTTTTGATAGTTAGAAAAGAACAGCCCTAAAATGATTAAGAATATTTAGTTATTTCACTTCTACACTCACCTGAAAGTTAGAGAATATTTTTTCCCTGTTTCATGTTTTCTCCCAGGAAATTAAACATATTTTGTGTTGGACAGAGCGCCTACTGTGGCTTAGATTCCAGCAACCTGATTGTGAATAAACCTGATGAATGCTAAGTTTTTAAAAGTTATTGTTTATTACATAGTTGAATCTTTCAGAATATATTTAAACCACATTACATTTATCAAAAAAGTTAAATAAATTTGAAATGTATATGAATCTGTGGTGGCATTAAAGCTAATGAGTATTTAGTGAGAAAGCTTTGATACCAGTACAAGAATGCTTTAGCACCATAGTAGTTTAAATATTGAAAGATTTTTTTAAAAAGAAATGTGAACATTTTAGGAACATTAAGAGGTACTTATTTACTAATCGTCCTCATTGTGTAGTCTAGAGAGGATGTTTATTATAAGTAGTTATGGCTTGACCATATGTGTGCTTTAGCTATAATGATTGTTCCTAAATAAGAGTTGCTGTATTTAAAAATAAATAAAACATAAAGCCTTTGCTTGTTCTGCTCTGGTCATCTCTCTCTCTTTATGCTTATTCACGTATGCCTGTTCCTTCATACACGTGCACACACATGTGCACACATGGCACACACACACACGTGGACACACATGCACACACACACATGCACACACACGCACCAGACAAGAGAAGTGTACACAGACCTGATTTTTCTCTGTGACCCTTGAAATTTCTACCTCGGAGCTTTTCATATTCTAGGAATTCATAAATATTTCTGTTTCGAGTTGAATTAAAATTGATTCTGCTCTGTGGCTAATTTTGGCCTTGCTAAGCTAAGTCACTTAGCATGCAGAGCACTCCTGTGTGACTGGGCTGGCACCAATTTGTTGTTTACTGATTTACGCTAATTCAAACAGTTTATAATATGTCACAATTTTTCCAGGGGTTATAGAAGAGATGCTTCTGGGAGGCTTGCACAGCCACTGATAATTAGTACATTAGCCCTTAGGTTGTTTGCTCTTTTTGTTTCTGCAAAGGGGGAAAAAAACCACCAAAACACCTGGATATGTTTTTTTAAAAAAACTTAGATATTTACACAAAAAGCAAATACATTTAAGTACGCATGCAAACACACACTGGCACACACTCACATACCCTGCACATGCCAACATACACAAACACACACACTACTATAATGCACTCACACACATACACACACAAGCACATGTACACACTTGCACACATGCACCTGCTTACATACAGGCACACACCTCTCTACAAACTGGCGACCTTCTGATTTTTACACAAGGATTGAAATCACTATGCAAGCCTAGACTGACAAAGTAAAACCCATGATTTCATGTTGCATCAATTTCCAAGTAAAGCATCTCTCACACACACGATAACAAATAACCAAGATTTTGTTTGTCTGTTTTGCTTGATTAGACCCTCTCTTCCATTACAAAATGATGGTTCCTTCCGTTGGTCTTAGTTATGAAGCATCATTGCTAGGTTCTTCCTTGGCTCAATCACACCTACTGATTTAATAAATTAATATGCACATAGGGTCTCGTAACAAGCCTAGCTGGTGAGATGATTAAAACAAGTAATCCTTTGCTAAGTTTCTGCATTCGGAAAGGAAAGGTGTGAAAATGCATTGGAAAACAAATCGTAAACAAATGACAAGACAATGTGTGACACTAAAAATAATGTTCTGTTTGTTCATTTTTGTCTAGAAAAACTATTCAGGAAGAAAAATAACTTTAATTTTGTGACAAGCACTTTTTAAAAGGTGTGATTCTAGTTTGTAATTGCCAAGAAACATACATATTCCTCCTCTAGAGATCTATTTCATGGGGAAATGTAGCAAACTCATAATTGCCACTTAAACACCACGGCCACCTCCTATGTGCAACCACCTCTGCGTGCTGCTGCCTTTCAAGGCCTGGATCGCTCATTTCTATCAGAAGCTGTTACTCTTTTTTATCAAAGCTATGGAGCTGAATACAAAAACAGTTTGTTTAAATTATGATATCAAAACTTTTAGCTAATTCAACAGTGAAGACAACTTTCACCAAAGCAATGCTTATCTCTTGACTTCTTAAAATCATTTAAAAATATATTCAGAAATCATTTAAATGCAAATTTTAAAAGACATAGGACACAGACTGAATTTCCATGAGGTCCGACCACTCTGGAATCCCCTGGAAAAATAATACGATACACCAATATCAATAATATTTCTTAATGTTTTTATCACCGGTCATTTGTCAAAAGATTTCAAAGATGCTTTTAAATAAGTATCACGAAATTTCAAAATTTATACATAAATACGAATTGTAACCCTCATATGTATTGTTCACTGGTGGTATAGAATATTTAAATCTAGGAATTTTAAAAACAAAGATCTTGTCTTGCAAGCTGACATCCAAACCTCCTTCCCCAGACCCACTGTCTGGTGATCTGTGGGCTGGAGGCTTAGCCACCTTCGTCAGGTTTAAACTGCTACGGAGACCTCTTATGGCTTGCTAGAAGCAGATTCACTTCCTACATTTAATAAAAGAGCCTGAATCCTGCTGTGAATGTATTTTCTGAATTCTTATGCTGTTTCTAAAACATTAGCAATTGCTAATAGTCATATAGCTCAGAGAGGTTGTGGGAGCTCCTCAGGACACACAGCACCAGAGTAGCAATCTGGAAAGACTTCAATTCTCCCTGAATCTGTGAAGGAGAAGATGTAAGCCACTTGTCAGCTCCTGAAGGAAGGAGGGAAGCAAGAAAGGGAGGCAGGGAAGGGAAATGGTGATGGGAAGAAGAAATGAAGTGGGTAGGGCAGGGGAAAAGGGGGCAAAGGAGCAAGCATGGCTCCGATCCGTCGTCCCCTCCCTGACGGGGCTCATGGCTCCATGTCGGAGCAGATAACAAGAGTCACAATGTAAAACTGCCTGACTTTTATTTCTGCCTTTCCAAGCTATTGGCTCCTTCACTAATAATCGGGATTTATTACCAGACCCATCTGCTGCCTCTACAAGGTCAAAAGGTAAACCGCAGGCACGGCTGATGTCACCATCAAGGTGGCTGCTCGCAAATGGACCCTGACAAGTGTACTTTTAAGAGAATATTGTTGCCAGTGCTCTGCGGGCATGAAAGGCACGCTGATGAAGAAAATAAACCTAAAATACGAAAAAGGTGTTGAGTTTAACCCATTGATCCGCATGACCAGGGCTGTCAGGGTCCGGTCTGTGTGGAAGCCAGAAAGGAGCACAGGCCTCTGCACCCATCTGTGTGGGTTCTGCACATTGGAGTTTCCTGAACCCCTGGAAACACTCCCCAAAACATGTGGGTGCCATGGGGGGACGATGGGGATGGAGACACTTGCAGGCACGTACTCTGACTTCCCAAGGCTACATCAGACTTGTAAAAGCATGGGTGTTCCTTTGCTCTCTGCTGTGGGTCAGCCCTTACTTCCTGGGAGGACTGTCTGTAGCAGAGCAGAGCAGCTTTGGACACTCTCCAGATATTCTGGCTTCTGCAAATGTTGGAAGACTGGGCAATTTTTGAGAATGAATTTGTCCACATATTCAAAACTGTCAAAAGGATACAGTTAAGGTTGCACCTCAATGGCCGGACAAGGTGGCTCATGCCTGTAATCCTAGCACTTTGAGAGGCTGAGGCGGGTGGATCACTTGAGCCCAGGAGTTCGAGACCAGCCTGGCCAACATGACGAAACCCCGTTTCTACTAAAAATACAAAAATTATCCTGGCATGGTGCCATGGGTGCCTGTAATCCCAGCTACTCAGGAGGCTGAGGCAGGAGAACCGCTTGAACCGGGGAGGTGGAGGTTGCAGTGAGCTGACATTGTGCCACCGCACTCCAGCCTGGGTGACAGAGCAAGACTCCATCTCAAAAGAAAAAAATCATCCCAGATGATTTTGTTGGTGTGTTCTCTATCCCTTTCCAGCCAGGAACCTCCACTTTCCTTTTCACTTCCAGCTGAGAGTGAAAAGTAAAAAGAGGAAAGCGCTTGGTGTCAGATACAGCTCTCTTTCCCAGCGGAGATGGAGAACTTACCCTGAGGTTTCAGACCAAATTAGAGGCCAGCCTGGAGCTGCAAACTTGCTCTCAGCTGGTGCTTCCTGGAGATTTTCTGCTCCCACAGAGCATCACCAGAAACAAGCCTGGGTGGCCACACACCCATCCATTCTTACCTATCTTCTATTCTCTAGGGCAGTCATTGCCGGCATCATTTTCTTTTGTGTTTCCACCTTCATTCCAGGAACTCAGCAGAGACAGGTGTTTGTTGCCCATGTATAAAGGCTAAATCCCACGCACCCCAATAAAACAGAGGCCACGCTCTTTCCCTCAGGGTGACTTTGCCCTTCCTAGACCTCATGTCTTCAGGTGCTGATTTCATTGAAAGGCACCCTCCACCTGAGTGGTTATTAGAGTGTGGCACACCGGGCTGCCCCTTGGTTGTGGCTAGTTATGACCTGCATTGTAGGATGGCAGCGAGGAGTAAACATCTGTCCTTAAAACGAGGAAATGAGGGAAAAACACCAGGTGACCAGCAGTTGGTTGTACACGGCGTCAGCAACACGGGGCTTGATACAGCTCCATGCGTGGCACATCGCAAGCACCTGAGAAACGGCAGCGCCCATGCCAGGACCGTTTCTAGCTCTACACAATTTCCCAGATTCATCACCCAGTTCTCAACACAGTTCTTGTTTCACAAGATCAACAAGTGTGAGTTTTGTCTTCCATGGAAGGTACCATTTGTGACTTGACTTTCCCTTATCTTGCTTCTCCTTGGACTTGTATCAAGAGAGATTTACAGAATGATTGATTTGAATTGTTGCCAAGGTTGGTGGAAGATCCTTTCATAACTGCCTGGATGGGTGGCCTCATTCTGACCTTCTCCTTTGCCACCCTCTCACCGCCCTCCACAGACACACACACACACACACACACACACACACACACACACACACACACTGCCTGGGGACTTGCACAGGGTTTCAGGCCAGGGGCCCTAGTGGGTGCAGCTAATGCCCCAGAGCCCCCAAGATCTGATGGCTACAAATGAATAGGTGAGGTGTGCCCTTTCACCGGAAGTCAAGGGATAAGTGTCTTTAGCTCCTTGTATTAGTCTGTTCTCATATGGCTAACAAGGACATACCCGAGACTGGGTAATTTATAGAGGAAATAAGTTTAATGGACTCAGTTCCTCATGGCTGGGGAGACTTCACAATCATGGTGGAAGACGAAGGAAGAGCAAAGGCACACCTTACGTGGAGGCAGGCAAGAGAGGGTGTGCAGGGGAACTCCCATTTATGAAACCATCAGATCTTATGAGACTTACTCACTACCACTACAACAGCGTGGGGGAAACTGCCCCCATGAGTCAATTATCTCCACCTGGCCCTACCCATGACACATGGGGGTTATTACAACTCAAGGTGAGATTTGGGAGGGGACACAGCCAAACCATATCACTTCTTCAGCTGACTTGTGGGTTGCTATTTATGACAAATTATCTTAGGAATTAAATACCAGTTTATGAATATTGCACCATTAGGGCATTATCTTTTGCCAGCTTTCCTGCTCACCACTCCCTTGTCCTTTATTCCGAATGTGGACACATGGGTAGGAGGCCTGCAAACCCGTGATGACATTTCTCAGTGTGTGGGGCCATCTTGGATCCTGGCAGTGGATGAGAAAGGCGTGAAATGGCAAGGAACGGCGATGGTCAACTGAACAGTGCATGGTTGTCCGTGGGTTGAGGAAACGTGATGTCCGTGGATGTTGTTTGCTCTTTTCCAAAGATGCAAATGCCGCTGTGAATACGGAACCACAATTTGACCTAAAGACATGTCTGCACTCACATGCCAAAATAGTTTGTCATTTGCTGTCCTTTGATAATTCCATGTAAAAGACTATCTCACAGGTAGCCTAGAGATGTTTGACACAAAACCAAAAGATGAGGAAGGGCCACCCCAAAGAACTCAGGTACGAAGGAGCTACACTAGGAACCTTGCTGGTAGGTTCTGACGTGGATGGAAGTCAGCAACCAGTTCACGCCTCTCAAGCCAAAACTGGAGACAGAACAAAGAACTGCTTCCTCTCGTTCCTGATATAATTTTTCTGACAATATTCTAAAGCCCACAGAAACTTAGTCATTAAATGGATCTTTCTCACACAAAATTGCCAAGTTTACTTTAGGGGAGATTAAACATTAATTGCATAGATATGTATAGACGTCATGTATATTCTAATACGTGTATATACAATCATATATGACTTTAAATTTCACACATATATATGTCATTCTGCTGAGAATGGCCTAATTGAGGCACTTTGTGATGTATGTCAGTGGACATTAGTTGCCACATAGAATTTCCATACAGGACTTTTTTTCTATTTATACTGTTTCCAAATGAATTCTTTTTATAGCACTCATACATTTATATGTTATGTAAAACAAGTATCATGCCCCTTTTGTTGGATAGAAAAGGTACTGAATCCACCTCAGATTGCACAAGGCCCTGATTCAGACCCGGGGGTTAGAAGGGGCAGACCCATGGACATGGCAAGAGGCTTCAGATCCACCAGAGCCAAGGGGCTGTGGGACAGATGTGGACATCCCAGGTAAAGGCGATGCCTCAGAAGAGGTTCTGCAGTTCCTGACTTCATTTCTTTGACCTTTTGAAGGGCAGCAGCCAGTAGCTCCAATGGGTAATAGAGGCTTAGCCCAGAGAATGGAGACAGAACTCAGAGCAGCCTGCAGGGACAGGTTGCCTCCCACACCGTCCACAGCCTCCCAAGCTCCCCGGGCTCCCCGGCCTCCCACACCATCCGCCCCACTTCTCCTCACTGCCGGGCCCACGAAGCATCTCTTCAAACCCCCCAGCTGCCTGCAATGACCCTCTCACCACCTTGGTGGAGTGGGGTCTCACCAGGGAAACTAGCCAGGGGTTCAGCTTCTAATCCATGAAATTACACATTTTACATTCTTACGTTAGCAGGCCTAGGTTCCATCTGCTGCACAAACGGGAAGCATCATTTAGTTCCTAGCTACTTGTTCTATATAGAGCAGCTTTTATTTTTTCTAAATAACACAATGTATTTTAATGACCATTAATCTATTATTCCAACTCAGTGACGTCTTAACGTTTGTGTTCAGTCCATAAAGAAAATGAGTAACTCTAATATGTGTGAACGAGAACAAGTAACATGTCTAAGCAGTGATACAATAACATATTTGAACAAAAGTAAAAATGGTCCAGATATTAATTTCTGAGATGGGGAATTCTGTTGGTTTTTGAAAGATCCCAGTGTGTCAGAAAGCAGGACTGCCAAATTTTCAAGTTTTCATCCCTTTTGCATGAACTTTACTGGAAAGAGGGAGGGCTAAACTTAGTAGTAAGAAGGAGCTGACAACTGACAGAGACAAGTCTCTAGTGGAGACTTTTAATCCCCAATGAACTGGGCTAACCACCAGCGTTTGTCATGCCCAAGTCTGCTATTCAACTTTCTTTTCTTTTTCCTTTTCTTTTTTTTTTTTTTTTTTTTTTTTTGAGACAGAGTCTCACTCTCTGCCACCCAGGCTGGCAGGCTGGAGTGCAGTGGCGTGATCTTGGCCTACAGCAACCTCTGCCTCCTGGGTTCAAGAGATTCTCCTACCTCAGCCTCCTGAGTAGCTGAGATTACAGGCACGTGCCACCTCGCCCAGCTAATTTTTGTATTTTTGGTAGAGACAGGGTTTCACTATGTTGGTCAGGCTGGTCTTGAACTCCTGACCTCAGGTGATACACCCGTCTCTGCCTTCCAAAGTGTTTAGATTACAGGCATGAGCCACCACGCATGGCCTAAACTTTCAAGTTTAGAGGCAGAAAAGATTTCTTGCTGTCTGCAACCAAGGAATGCATAGACCTGCACACACACTGGAAAAGGTGTACAATAAGGGAACGCACACAGGGGAGGGAACGCACGTGGATCGTTACTCTTCTCACAACCACGGCTCTTCCCTGCCTGTAAGTGCATGCATGTGACTTATTAACAAAATGTAATTGTTTGTGATTCGGAGGCTCCTGGGTTCAAATCGCCTTGTGTCTTTGTTCTTGTGTTTTATACTACTTGGGAGGATTTTGGGTTTTTTCTTCCCAGTCTGACGAGTGTTTTCTGTGCTCTTCCTGGAGTCTAAAAAAGAATCTCTCAAGTCTATTTGCTCTCCTTCCACCATGGCAAATATCAGTTTAGCTAATGAGGCACAGGTGTAATTGTAGGCATTCCTTCAAGAATTCTTCAGCTATGAATCTGCCTCCGATTATGCAGTGCGGTTCCATAATTGCACTTTGCTGGGAAAATTCACAGCTCCAGAGGTCCTCATGCCTGTGCTTTGCCGGTGTGGTGGGCGCCTGGGCCACGTGTTAGTACACTGAGATGCAGGAAATAAAAACAAGCCCAGCCCTGGGCTCAGGGCCCCTGTGCTGTGCTCCTGCCCTGGGCTGGGGGCCCCTGTGCTGTGCTCCTGCCCTGGGCTCGGGGCCCTGGCACTGTGCTCCCGCTTTGCTCCATTCTGTTGCTCCGTTTCAATCAGATCCGGTTTCCACACTTGCAAAGAGCATTACTTTGAGAAGAAATGGCACAGTTGATCAATTTCTTTCCTCCCCATCAATCACTTGGGTGAGAGGGGACTGTCCTTCCTCCAGTTCTCCAGCCACGTGTGGTCTTGGTGCTGAATGTTGATGATTTGGTTTTGGGTGAATTCCAAACCATCATTTTCAAGTAATTTCTGTATGAACCAAACACCTGCATTGCACCTCCACCCGTGGCTTGTTGGGGGAAAGTACCAGATGGGTCAGATTCTGTGACCACCCACTGAAGTTTGAGCAGAACTGGAGAGCAGGTGGATTAAATCTGGGTGGTGACTCCAGCACATCTCTAATGAACACTTCTTAACGTTTAATTTCAAAGGGCCTGGTGACCCTCGGATGTGTCAGTGTGGAGAAGAGATAGGTATCCATAGCCTTGATTAGGATCACATGCCAGTTACCCAGAAATATAACAGCTCAATTAGGATCACATGCCAGTTACCCAGAAATATAACAGCTCAGCTCAAAAGTTTTAATTATTTTAAAGCATCACAACATATCAAAACACGGTGTCTCTTCTGTCTGTGATCAACTCATTATTCAACATAAAGACAGGAATAAAAAGCATTCTCTGAATCAGGGAAAATACGACATGGCTAACGTGTTATATATTATTTTATTATATGCAAAAGTTGAATTTGTAAAAGCTAATTTTATATTAAGTCATATTTGAAAGGAAAGGTCAAATTTGAAGCAAATGTAGATTTTTGTGGGTTTGGTGGTATTCACTGGAAAATATTGTTAAATAATATTGCAATAAAATTAGCCCCACGTACTTAACTTCTTCTTTTTAGCTTTATGGAAGTACAAGCGGGTGAATAAAAATTCTATATATTTAAGGTATACAGTGATGTGATATAATTCCACATTGTGAAATGATTATCATAATTGCTAATTAATTCATCCTTCATCTCACAGGCACTTTTTTTTTTAATGAGGATGCTTAAAATCTGCTCTGTCATCAAACTTTAAGCACACAGAGTTGTGTTACTGCCACCAGGCTGTACCTGAGGCCTCCAGAACGCACTCATCTTCACCTGGAAGTCTATGCCCTTTGACTGGCATCCGTCGGTTTCCCTGTTCCCAGCCCCTACTTTTTGATGTAGGACTAAGGCCTTTATTTTTCAAAGAAGTAATCTTCAAATTAATTTATTGCATAAAGCACAGCTACAATGCAGCCTCTGTCGCTTCCTCCTCTATATTCACACAGGAGAAAGGTCTCGAAAATTCAGCAAGCTGTGACTATTAGTGAGGATGTTCCGTGGGAAAAAAAGAGCATTAATGAATCACCGCGAGTCAGACAAGTGTGCGTCAGTGAGGGAGGTGCTCTTCCCCAACTCGGATTTATTTATTTTTGTAAAGTTAAATCACTCCTTCAGTCACCCCTTTGGCAGAGTGATGCCGTCAGCAACTTCATGACAGCTTCGAGTCTTTATGTGAATGACACATATTATCAAATGGTCCTAATGAAACCGATGGGGACTCCATTTATTACCTTTAGTGTGGCAAATACATGTACATGAAATTGAAAATTTTATTATTTTAATGCTGTTAATAATATATCCCTAATAGAATTACACATGCAAAATAAGAAGTGCCTTTGAAGTAGTAAGCCTATGCATATTTCTGTGTAACATGGAGTAAAAATGGAGTAATGCCCTTACAATTTCTGAAAGTGTTACCTCATTTTCAGTACTCGATTCCATCTCACAGTTCTTATTTTTCTGCCTGGGATCATATTACTTTCTTTTGCATTTTTTTTCTTTTCTTTTTTTTTTTTTTTTTTGAAACAGAGTCTCACTCTATCACCCAGGCCGGAGCACAATGGAGCAATCTCGGCTTACTGCAACCTCCTCCTCCCAGGCTCAAGTGATTCTCCTGCCTCAGTCTCCCAAATAGCTGGGATTACAGGTGCCCGCCACCACACCTGGCTGATATTTTTTGTATTTTTAGTAGAGATGGGGTTTCAGCATGTTGGCCAGGCTGGGCTCAAACTCCTGACCTCAAGAGATCCGCCCACCTTGGCTTCCCAAAGTGCTGGGATTACAGGTGTTAGCCACCACGCCTGGCCCTTTCGCTTTTCTTACTGTGTAATTATGTTGGAAACAAGTTATCTTAGCTTTTGTTTATGTAAAAATACCTTTCCCTTACTTTTATATTCAAAGGATAGTTTCCCCAGACTGCCTTGTGTGTTGGTTGGTTGGTTGGTTGGTTGGTTGGTTGGTTGGTTGGTTTCAGCATTACTGTTCTTTGCAGCCTTTATGGGCTTGCTGGTCCTGGATTAGCCCTTCCTGTAAACAACAATAAAACCGATGTGTTTTCTTTCTCAAATGTTAGACAACAGGCAGCAGAGAGAACAGAGAAGTCACGGAGTGAACCCCTGAATACCATGGCTGTGATGGGAGGATTTCCTGACCATACCCTGCAAGGTGCAGGGGAAGCACAGCATGCTGGATTCCCTGAGCCGAGGAGGGGAACAGAGTTTCGGGTGGGTGAAGAGGCCAGAATAGACGGGCTGGGGTCAGCACAGAGAGGCCCCAGAGGTCTACGTGGGGTCCGCATGAGTCCTTAACAGAGGAGTTTTGTTGCATATGCACAAGGGACTTTCTGAGGCTGGACAGAGCGGCTCCTCTTGGGGGGAAGGAGCAGATTGTGGAGTTGAGCAGGTGTGAAGGTGCTGACGTGCTGGTCTAGTCCCGTGGGAGGACCTCATCCACACTTTGTAACACCAAGAATCCACTGGGAGAGTCCAAGACTTAAAAGCAAGGATCATGTCCTAAAGAAAGGCCTATTTTATTCTACCTTAAATAGTCTGATGCCTCACTAGAATAAAAGAACATCCTGACAAGGACTACAAAATACACTGAGTTTGGAGGTTGAGACATGACGAACTACAGGGGCTTGGAGAAACCTGGGTTTTCTGCAGGTCTGTCATAACATTGTACAACCAAGCCTGCACAAGTTTGTAGTGTTGTCAGTGATTAATCTGGGCAGTAAAACAGAAACAACACTCTTCAGGGAAACACAGCAGGACCCAGAGTATCCACAATGTATAGTGTTTAATGCCAGTGATAAAAATCAAAACTCACTAGACAAAAAAAGCGTCAAAGAAATGTAACCCTTATTCAAGAAAAAAATAGTTTTAAAAAAAAACCTGACACCGAGATTGCTGAGATCTTAGATTCCTGTGTCATCCCATTCCTTTGCATTCCAGCTTTAATTTTCTGTTGGGAAATCAGCCATCAGTGTTATTGGTCCTTGAAATAATGGGGTCTTCTGCTTTGTTTCTTTTTAAAATTTCCTTTTGGTCTTTGATTTTCAGCAATTTGTTCATGATGTCCCACGTTCAAAATCAAACGTGGTTTTGTTTGATTGATCCTGCTTGTGAGTCACTGAGTTTCTTGAATCTGTGGGTTAATGCCTTTAGCCAGTTTTTGAAATTCTTAAAAATTGCCTCTTCTAATATTACTATCTCCTTCCGGGACTCCCATTACATGTGTGCCAGGCTGTTTTACCATCTTCTGCATGTGTCTTCCTCTCTTTCCTGTTCTTTCTATCCTTTGTTTTTTCTTAATAACTTATAAATTTTCGATTGACCTTTCTTCAAGAACGCTAACCTTATTTCCTGCTATTTTGTCTTCTGAGGAACTCATTCAGATAATTCTTATTTTCTGTTATCATACATATTTTTTTCAATGTCTAGAGTATTTAATTCTTTTCTTCAGATTCCACTTTTCTGGATTTCTGTTAAAATTCTCTATCTTTTCATCCATTTTGCCCATGATTTTGTCAACTATACTAGCATGGTTACTTGAAAGTTCTTTCCCACTGACTTCTGCTGTCAGTTTTTTTGTTTGCTTTTTGTTTGTTTGTTCTTTATCATTTATACTTTCCTGAGTTTTCAGATAGGTTGTTGTTTTTATTGTACATTGAATGTTGCATGTGGAATATTTGCAGAAGTGGAATATGGTCCTACTCTCTCCCAGGGAAGAAATCGTCTCCTCTCTATTAGGCAGCTAGGGTGAAGGACTCTTTCCTGAAATGCAATGAGAAACTGGTCAGGATTGGGGACAGATTGTACTTTCAGTATCCTCATCATTTAAAGATGGAGAAATTCATGTCTGCCATTTGGGAGTTTGAGCTCAGCTATTCAGCCTTCTAGACCATGAAACCTCTAAATATGAAAATGCCTAGGGGGATTGGCTATGTGCCTGAGGAAGGCCCCTTCCCTCTAGTGGGTCTTGGTCTCCTATGCACTGTCCAACTGGGCCCCTTCCCTCTAGTGGGTCTTGGTCTCCTATGCACTGTCCAGCTGCAAGATTTCCCACCGTGTCTTTGGGACATTTCTGAGTAGCTCCTAGCGCCCTGCAAGGCTCCAGATCTCAATGCATGGCCTTGGAGTGGGGGGACTGGCGTGAGCTTGGGAGTCCCTGGGTTCATCCCACCATGTGGCCACTGCAGCCATGGGAAGTGCTCACTCTACCTGCTTCTCTGTGCCTTGAAGAGTCCCTGCCCCTGATCAGAATCAGCACATTCCCCCAAGGAGGGTCCTTTGACGTCTGTCTGAATGTGACCACTGCGTCCCTTCCATCCCTGGTTGTGGCAGCAGGAGTGCTGGCTGGCAGAGGCAGAGTACTGCTGCCTCTATTCGTTTATTTTCTTCACTTTCCCAAAATGGCTATTCGGCATCTTTTACAGCTATCAAAAGCCACATTTTCATAAGATATATTTACATTTATGTGCTAACAAAATGATTTTCATATGAAACAAACATTCAGACACAAGAAATTGCCCTTTCAATGATGGGGATTTCTTCTATTTGCATGTAACAGCTATTTTTCTTAGTAATTTTAGCAGTTGTTCATTTTTCTTTTTTAAGTTCAGCTTAGGGAAGTAGTTCTCACATGTAATCCCAGAGATTTGTTTGTAAACAACAACAAGAGAAAGCACAAATATTAACCCCTTGATGAAAACCCTTCTGTTGTTCTGCAATCCCTGAATTATAAAGTGGAAATCCTGAATGTGGCATCAATATTCTCTCACATTCTAGCCCCAAACTCCTGTTTCCAGTGCTATTTCTCTGCATTGCCTCACTGCAGTCTGAGGCTTTCCCAGATTTTGGTGTCATTTTCCCCTCTATGCCCCTGTGCACGTTGCTGGCTGCACTCCGTGGTGCTTCTCATTATTGTGTCCAATAAACTCTTATATGGTCTTCAAGGTCAAGGTCAACTGCCCCTTCTCTGTAATGCATTTCCAGTTTAGACAACATCTAACCATTCTTTCTTCTGCCATTCAATTTCTGATATCCATTCAACTAGCAAATATGTGTTGACCTTCTTCAAATGGCACTGCTCAGGGTGGCAGGTCCAGGTGGGAACCACACTGATGTGGCCCTTTAGCTACCTGTGCTTATGTTCTAGGGTTACAGGAAATAAATAGGTAAACACACACAAATTCATGTGTAATAAGGTATATGAGGACAAATCAAGTAAAGAATGGAGTATTGAGGTTGGAAGCCATTTAAATAAGGTGATCAAGAATGCATTCCTTAAAAAGGTAAAATTTGAGCAGAGAATTGAATAACATGAGTGAGTAAATTATCTGAAAACCCAAGGGAAAGCATTCCAGACAGAAGTGGATGACAGAAACTTTCTGAGACTGAGAGAGGAGTGAGCTGAGTAGGTGAAGGCACAGATGAGAGGCCAACGGGGCTACAGGGAGGAGGAGGAGGGGCAGGTGAGGGGTCTATGGGGAGGGAGGAGGTTAGGAGGAAGGAAGAGGAGGGGTAGGGGAGGGGCCTATGAGGCCAGAGGGAGGAGGAGGAGGGCAGGTGAGGGGCTTATGGGGCCAGAAGGAGGGAGGAGAAGTAGGGCAGGTGAGAGACCTACAGGGTGGAGAGAGGGAGAAGGAGGAGGGCAGGGGAGAGGCCTATGGGGAGGGGGGACAAGGAGCGGAAGATGAGAAGCCTATGGGGCTGGAAGGATGGAGGAGAAGGAGGGCAGGTGAGAGACTATGAGGCAGAGGGAGGTAGGAGGAGAGGGGACTGCATGGGGCAGGGGCAGCAGATCTGTTTCCTGTGGATCTTGTGGGTGGGGTTAGGGCTCTCTGTGTTTCAGTTTAGAGGTTGGGAACTTATCACAGGTTTGTGCACAGATGAGAAGTTACTTGTTTTGTGTTTGGAAAGGTCCATGTAGGGGAGAGAGGGTGGAATACGTCAGCTATGTATTGTCATTACTGACCGAGCGATATGGTCAGCCTTCACTATTCATGGATTCTGACTTGTGAATTCACCTACTCACTAAAACCTACTTGTTACTTCAAAGTCAACATGCACAGCACTTTTGTGGTCATTCACGTGTGTGCACAAAGAGATGAAAATCACCCAAAATGCACATTCCCAGCTGAGATCAAACAAGGCAAAGCTCTGCTTTCTTGTGTCAGCTGACACTGTAAACAAGTTTCTTTTCCAATGTCCAGTTATTTAGTGCTGTTAATACATTCTTGTGCTTCTTATTGGAGATTTTTTTGTTTAAACACCCCCAGGTGTGGTGTGGGAGCTTTGTCTGGTGTCCCAAGTGCAAGAGACTGTGACCTGCCTCACAGAGAAAACCCATGTGTCGGAGAAGCTTCATTCAAGTGTGAGTTCAGTGTTAATGCATCAGCAACAGATATTAACTAAAGTGTCATCAAACAGAAACACACATTATACAAGGTTGTATATGGATTTATGCATAAAAACGCGGTGACCATAGGATCACAGGAACCTGACCCTCCACATCCCCTGGGAGCAATGGCTTTGTACTTGCCACCTGAGTGTTCCCAGTAACTTTATAGAACACACCTACCATGCATAATGAGAATCAGTTTTACTCTCTATTTGCTCACAGGCTTGTGAGCTTTCACAGAGTCAGAAAAGGTTCTCATTCGTCTTCATATCCATAAAGCCCAGCGTTGTCAAGGGAGGCTGAGTCAAGTAAAGAGGTTTTTCCACACCTGTAATCCCAGCACTTTGGGCGGCTGAGGTGGGAGAATGGCTTGAGCTCAGGAGTTTGAGGCCAGCCTGGGCAACATGGTGAAACCCCCCATCTGGGGGTCTTTTCCCATCTTTCAATCCTGCACTCTTTGGGAGGAATTAATTGTGTGCAGCCTATGCTTGGGGAGTGAAGTTCACTTCACTGAGGTCAAAATATCCACATAAATTGTTTGAAAATTTATTGGGGGGATTTGTCTATTCTCCTCATTCATGTATTCAATCCTTTATTTATATATGAGTGGACTGTGGATATTTATTTTCTGCCATGGCTTATAACCCAACACTAGTTTATTCCATTTCTCACATTGTTATAGTCTTGTTCTTTGAGAATGCTTCCTACTGGTTTCAGTGTCTCTCTGGCATGGCCCAACATGCTGTTGTTTGTTTTTCTTTTATAGAACTTCCTTCAGCTCATCTTGTATATTTCCTGCCCAGTTTTATAACCTGCTATTTCTCCAAAGAGCCTTGGATCGTTTACTGGAGAAGGGTGTTAGAACAAAGAGCAACCAAGAGCTGAGCATTAGGGGTGCTTTTTGCTACTGGGATGCCATTTCTTTTAGCCCCTCTCAGCTGACAGAGCAAGGAAATGTCTACCAAACCCTGCAGATTCACGTACACTTATGTATACATACGTTTCTAGACCTATATATCCATATCCATGTGAAGCTAAGCATGAGTTCTGTATCTATGTAGCTGTATCTATTTGAAGCTAAGCATGAGTTCATACTGATGTCTCCAACCCTAATCCAGGGCCACAAGCACCATGCCGGCCTCCTGCTGCTCCTACCTCAGCAGTGAGAAGCTGCTGCCAGGATCTGTCATCCGCGCATCTGATTGTCCAGTTCCAGCGCACCTGCATCCTGATTTCAGAGCTGCTAACCTGTACACCCATGAGAAACAACCTCATCAGCTACTATGCCATGCTTGGACGCAGTTACCCGTGTCTTTAGTCTCACAGACTAATATTCCGAAAGTCAGGTAGGTCAACATCATTTTTCTTCACTCCCTTTAGTGAGGTTGTTTCATTTATGTGTAATACACTTACACTTTTTTGTCAAATTTAGCATTCCTTCTTAGAATGGTTATTTTTTAATTTGCATACATTAATGTTCACACTTGTACTTCATAATTTTGTGGGTTTTGACAAATGAGCAGTGTCATGAATCTACAGTCACAGTCTCAAGCAGACTATTTTTAACACCCTAAATATTTCATTTACATCCTATATCTGATCTCTCCTCCCTCTGAACCTCCAGAAACCACTGGTCCCATTATTCTCTGTAGTTCAGCCTTTTCAAAATGTCATATAAATGAAATCACACATTTAGACTGGCTCATTCACTTAGCATGGTGTTTGAAGAGACATTCCTGTATTTTTGTGGCTTGCCAGCACATTACTTTTAGTCACTCTATGATATGGGTGTAATGATAGTTAGTTTATTCATTGAGAGGCATCTTCATTGGTGCCAGTTTGGGTTATTATGAATAAAGTTATCATATTCATTTCTATACATGTTTTTCATGTGGGTATACATTTTCAAATCAGCTAGGTAAATCCACAGAGGCTCAAATCCTGTATCATACGGTAAGACTACGTTTAGCTTGGTTGAAAACTGCAAGCTGCTTCCCAGTGGCTGTGCCATTTTGTGTTTGCATCAGTTACACATAAGAGTCCCTGTTGCTTTGCACTCTCACCAGCGGTTAGTACCACCCACTTCCCAAATTTCAGCCATTCTGATGGGAGGGCAGTGGTGTCCTACTGTAGTTGTAGCTTTTATTTTTCCAAGGACACATGTTGTAAAGATCTTTTCTTACACTGATCATCCACGTGTCTTCTTTGCGCTTCATAAGTTTACCCATTTTTACATGGGTTTTTGTTTACTTATTGTTGAGTTTTAAATGTTCTTTGAAAAATTGTAGATACAAGTCTTTTATTAGATATGTGTTTTGCAAATACTTTTTTCAGTTCCTTTGGATTTTCTTTTTATTCTCTTGTTTCTTTCACAGAGCAGAAGCTTTTAATCTTAATATATTCTAACTTAGGAATTTTTCTTTTATGGCTCATGCTTCTGGTGTTATATCTAGAAACTGACCACCAAACAAAAGTCATCAGATTTTCTGTTTTTTTGAAGATGTCTTGGAGTTTTGCATTTTATGTCTTAATCTATGATCCATTTTGAGTTAAATTTGGTGTAAGATGTAGTCAGTGTGTAGGTTCAGCATGTGAATGTCCAATTATTCCAGCATTTTTTGCATGTGAATGTCCAATTATTCCAGCACCATTTGCTGAAAAGACTATCATAGCTCAATGAATTGCCTTTGCACCTTTGTCAAAAATCACTTGCCTGTATTTGTGTAGGTTTGTCTCTGGGCATTTTATTCCTTCTTTTTGGTACATTTTTATTCTTTCATTGGTACCACACAATCTTGATTAGTGTAGCTTTATAGTAAGTCTTAAAGTCAGGTAATGTCATTTCTCCAGCTTTGTTATTTCTGGTTATTTCTATTTAGTATTGTGTTGACTATTCTAGGATTTTTTCTTTTTTATGTAAATTTTGGCATCATTTTGTCAATATTGACAAAATAATTTATGGGAATTTAGATTTGATCCCAATGAATCTATAAATCAAATTGTAGATAATTTTCATCTTGACATTGTTTTTTAAAAACTGCTACATAAATGTGTATATTTTGGGGGGTACATGTGATATTTTGATACCTGTATAATGTGTAATGATCAAATCATGGTAATTGGGATATCAATCACCCTCAACATTTCTCTTTGTGTTGGGAGCACAACAATTCTTCTGGCTATTTTGACATGTACAATAAATTATTGTTAGCTATAATTTCTCTACCATGCTAGTAAATACTAGAACTTATTCCTTCTCTCTAACTGTATTTTTGTGCCCCTTAACCAAATTCTCTCCATCCCTCCTTCTGCCTCCCACTCCCAGCCTCTAGTGACCACCGTTCTATTCTCTGCCCTTATGAGACCCACTTTTTTAGCTCTCATAGTTGAGTGAGAACATGTAATATTGTGTCTTTCTGTGTCTAGCTTATTTTATTTAACATAATGATTTCCAGTTCCATCCATGTTGCTGCAAATGCCAGGATTTCATTTTTTATGGCTTAATAGTACTCCACTGTGTATACATGACACATTTTCTTTATCCATTCATCTGTCAATGGACATTTGGGTTGATTCCAAAACTTGGCTGTTAGGACTAGTGCTGCAATACACATGGCAGTGCAGACATCTGTTTGATATATTAATTTTATTTTCTTTTGTATACATACACAGCAGGGGGATTGCTCGATCAAAGAGTAGTTCTATTTTTAGTATTTTAGGAATCTCCATACTGTTTTCCAGAGTGGCTCTTCTAATTTGCCTTCCCACCCACAGTGTATGATCATTCCCCTTCCTATACATTCTTGCCTGTATTTATTATTCTTTGTCTTTGTGATAATAACCTTTTCAAATGCGGTGAGATGAAATCTCACTATGGTTTTGATTTACATTTTCCTGATGATGGGTGATTTTGAGCCTCTGTCCATATACCTGTTGGCTACCATGTGTCTTCTTTTGAGAAATGTCTATTCAGTTCTTTTGTCCATTTTTAAATCAGATTATTTGTTTCTTTGCTATTGAGTTGTTTGAGTTCCTTTTATATTCTGATTATTAATCCTTTGTAGGTAGTTTGTGAATGTTTTCTCGCATTCTGTAGACCAGTGGTATCCAGCCTCTTTGGCACTAAGGACTAGTTTCATTGAAGACAATTTTTCCATGGACTGTGGGGAGAGGGAACGATGGTTTGGGGATGAAACTGTTCCATCTCAGATCATCAGGCATTAGATTCTCATAAGGACCACTCAAGCTAGATCCCTGGAATGCACAGTTCACAATAGAGTTCATGATCCTTTGAGAATTTAATGCTGGCACTGATCTCATGGGGGGCAGAGGTCAGGTGGTAATGCTTACTCACCCACCACTCACCTCCTGCTGCGTGGCCCATGTCCTAACAGACCCTGGACTCATACTGGTCCACAGCCCAGGAACTGGGGACCTGTGCTGTAGACAACATTTTCTCTTTGCTGTGCAAAAGCTTTTTAGCTTGTTGCAATCCCATTTCTCTATTTTTGCTTTTGTTACCTGAGCTTCTGAGGTCTTACCCAAAAAATCCTTCCCCAGGCAATTATCCTCAATGTTTCTTTTAGTAGTTTTATAGTTTCCCATCTTACGTTTAGTCTTTAATCCATTTTGAGTTCATCTTTGTCTATGGTGAAGGAGAGAGATCTAGTTCTATTCTTCTGTGTATCGACATTCCATTTTTCCAGCACTATTTATTAGAGTTGAGTCTTCCAGTCAATGAACACAGAATGTCTCTCTATTATTAAGATATTTGTTGGTTTTAAATCACTGTATTATAGTTTTTCTCATAGAGATTCAGTACAGATTTTGTTAAATGTATAAATCTCTCTCCCTTTTCTTTCGATACTATTACAAATAGTATTGGTTTTTTGTTTGTTTGTTTTGTTGTGTTTTTTTTTTTTTGTAATTTCAAATTCCACTTGCTCATTGCTTGGATCTAGAAAAGCCATTGTCTTTTGTGTGCCCGACATCTTGCTAGGCTCACTTATTCATTTCAGCAGTGTTTTGTGGTTTGTGGTTGTTGATTCTTTATGGTTTTCCATAGAGATAATCATTTAATCTGTGAATAAAGGCTGCTTTATTTCTGCCTTTCCAAATTATGTACTTTTTATTTTGTTTTCTCAGCTGACTCTAGGTGAGAGTTCCAGCACAATGTTGAATGGGAATGGGGAGAGAGCCGAGAGCACGTTCCTTTCTGTTCCCAGTCTTAAGAGGAAAGCATTCAGCCTCTTACCATTTAGTGTAGTGTTAGTTGCATGTTTTCTGCATTTATCTTTTATTAAGGTAGCATATTTCCCATCTCTTCCTAGTTCCTTGAGAATTATTACTTGAGAATGAATAGCTGTTATATTTTTCCTATGCCTTTCCTGCATCAATTGATATGATCGTATGTTTTCTCTTCTTTTGCCTGCTGATGTGGTACATTATGTTAATTGGTTTTTGGATGGTGAACCAGCCTTGAATACCAGAAATAAGTCCCACTTGATCATGGTGTATAAATCTTTTCATATCGTATTGGATTTCACTTGACATTTGCAGCTATGCTTCTGACAGATATTGATCTGTAGTTTTTTTTATTTATCTGGTTTTGATATTTGGGGGTCTCATAGAATAAAGAGGGAAGTGTTTATTCTGTTTCTACTTTCTGGAAGGAATTGTAAAGAACTGATATCACTCTTCCTGAATTGTTTGGTAGAACTCATTAGTAAATCATCATGGCTTGGTTCTTTCTTTCCTTGAAATAACTTTTGATTTTATTTTATAATAAATATAAGGCTATTCCTGTTATCTGTTTGTCCCAGTGTGAATTTTGGTAGTTGGTAGGTTTTTTTTTTAAATAATTGATTCATATCATATTAGTTATCAAATTTGTGGGCATGAAGTTGTTTATATTATTCCTCTGTTATTCTTTATTCTTATTTTCTGAGGCAGGGTCTGTCACCCAGGATGGAGTGCAGTGGCGTAGTCCATGGGGTCACATGCAACGCTCTTATTTTCTGATATCAGCAATTTGTGTGTTCTCTCCCCTGCCCTCATGTTTCTAGGTTAGCCTGGTTTATCTTGTTTAAAAACCAACTTTAGTATTTTGTTTTCATTGACTGTCTCTTTTGTATTCTTGTTTTTAATTTTGTTGCTATCCGTTCTAATGTTTATTATTTCCTTTTATTTGCTTAGCCTAATTGCTTTTCTGTATCTAGGTTTCTGAAGATAGATGCGTGTTTTATACATTGTAGATGTTTATTCTTTCCTACTATATTCATGGAATGCTATTTACCTTGATAATGAGTCTGGCTCTGGCTTTACCTGACACTTCCGCTGCTGCCCCAAAGCACAGGTGCTTCACGTCCGCATGCCCCTCCTCACTCCCCACCACCTCATGGCCTGACTGCATTCGATGTGCTTATCCATATGCAGCAAGCGCCCAATACATTGTTACCACTACTGCCTTAAGCAAACAGCTTTTAGATGAGTTAAGAATAAGAAAAATAGGCCAGGCACCATGGCTTACACCTGCAATCCCAGCACTTTGGGAGGCCAAGGCAGGGGGATCCCCTGAGGTCAGGAGTTGGAGACCAGCCTGACAAATATGGTGAAACCCTGTCTCTACTAAAAATACCAAAATTAGCTGGGCGTGGTGGCATACACCTGTAATCCCAGCTACTTGGGAGGCTGAGGCAGGAGAATTGCTTGAACAGGGAGGCGAAGTTTGCAGTGAGATGAGATGGAGCCACTGCACTCTAGTCTGGCAACAGAGCAAGACTCTGTCTAAAAAAAAAAAAAAAGAATAAGAAAAATAACATGTTTTACTTCACCTTCATTTATTACTTCTCCAATGCTCTCCTTTTGTTTATGCAGATACAGGTTTCTGACCTCTATAATTTTCCCTCGGCTTGAAGATGCTTTGCTAGTGATTAATCACCCAAGTCCCTGTTTGGCAAGTTCCTTTCTCTCCTTCACTCCCTACAGAGAGTTCTGATGGATACACAATTCTAGGCTGATGGCATGTTTCTTTCAACACACTAAATATTTCACTTCATTTTCTCCTTTATTGCATAATTCCTAGTAAGAAGTTGGCTGTAATTCTTGTCTTTGTTCTTCTGCAGGTAATTTATTTTCCAAGATTTACTGTTTGTCACTGTTGTTCTATAATTTTATATGATCTGTATTAATGCTGACTGGTCTCTTCTGAGGCACCTGGATCTGTGGTTCTGTGTCTGTCACTGATTTTGGAAAGTTCTAAACTACAGTTCTTTTCAGTATTTCTTCTGCTTTGCTTCCTCTACTTCCTCTTGATTCCAATAATGTGCCATTGTCCCTGTGATGTTTTGGTTGTATATATATTGTTTTTGTTCATAATCCCAACAGTCCTTGTTACAGTCTTTTGTTATAATGTTTGGGTACTTTACGCCTCAGAAGCAGTCCTTGAGAAACAGTATTTCTGACCTTCTCCTTCTTCCTTTTACCTACCCAAGGCAAGACTCTAATCTGGTTGTGGGTCAGAAGAGGCTCATTCCAGAGATGGTCCTGCTCCACACTCTGGAGGAAGGTACAGTGCACAGAGACGCCAAGAAAAGTCTGAGCAGACAGGCCCTGTTGGGTTTAGATCATGGGCTTTTTGTCCAGGCACATTTCTACATGGTTGTCAAACCTGCCTGTGTCATGAAGCCTCCACACAAACCCGAAAGGACACGGTTTAGGAAGCCTCTGGGTTGCTGAACACATGGAGTCTCCTAGAGGGTGATATCCAAGGATGGCATGGAAGTCCTCGGCATCTTCCCCACATCTTGCCCTACTTGTCTCTTCCTCTGCCTCTTTTGCAATATCCTTAAATAAACCAGTAAACACAGGTGTTTCCTTGAGATCTGTGAGCCACTCCAGCAAATTTTTCAAACCCAAAGCAGGGGTTATAGGAGCCCCAACTTGAATTCAATTGGAGGCCTGGACTTGTGACTGGTGGAAAGTGTGGGGCAGTCTTCCGGGACTGGGAGCTCAATGTGTGGGATCCGACATGCAGTTGGGGTCTGCTGAAGAATTGGTTGCTTGATTCCTGATGGGGAGAAATCTCCGCATATTTTGGGATGACAGAAGTCTTCTGTGTTGACTGTCGTTGTGTCAGCATGAGAGCAAACGGCAAACACGGCTTGAGTGTTTTTTGGAAACAGCACCTTTCGATATCGTCTCATGGGACTTAAATTTCCATTCTGAGGTTTTCGTTTTTGTTTTTGATTTGCATTTTTGTTTGGGGAGTTTCTTCTTACCTGTCATCAAACTCAAACTCACTGATTCTTTTCTCGGCTGTGTGCAGTCTACTGATGTTTTCACAGTGTTTTTTTGTTTTATTTTGTTTTGTTTCATTATTATTTCTAGCATTTTATTTTGATTTTTTCTTAGACTCTTAAACATTTCTTTAAAAGGTTCATCTTTGAGATCTTATTTTGTAGAGCTGATATGCTCCCCAATGTGATTTTAAATTACGTGACTGCTGGGTGCAGTGGCTCACACCTGTAATCCCAGCACTGTGGGAGGCTGAGGTGGGTGGATCACAAGGTCAGGAGATCGAGACTTTCCTGGCTAACACGGTGAAACCCCATCTCTACTAAAAATATGAAAAATTAGCCGGGCGTTGTGGTGGGCGCCTATAGTCCCAGCTACTCAGGAGGCCAAGGCAGGAGAATGGCATGAACCCAGGAGGCAGAGCTTGCAGTGAGCCGAGATCGCACCACTGCACTCCAGCCTGGGCAACAGAGCAAGACTCCATCTCAAAAAAAAAAAAAAAAATTACGTGAATCATTCGTAGACACTTGCACCTTCATTCACACTCACTGTTGCCAATTTCTTTACTTGTCTGTCAATATTGCTCCAAACACTACTTCCTTTCTCTGATTCATTATAAGCAAAGCCCACTAACTGCTCCATGATTACATGACAGTTGTTCCACAGCTATATAGTTGATGATTTTGAATTCAGCAGCAGGCTAATGTTATAGTTTTGAGACTATTTGGTGCTAAATCACTGGTGAACAGCCATGCATCATTTAACCACGGGGATGCAGTCTAAGAAATGCGTTATTAGGCAACTTTTTGTCATTGTGTGAGCATCGCAGAATGCACATACACAAACCTAGATGGTGCAGCCTACTACAAACATAAGCTGTATGGCGTAGCCTGTTGCTGCCAGCCTACAGACATGCACAGCTGTTACTGTGCTGAATGCTGTGGGCAGCAGGAACACAATGGTATTTGTGGACCAAACAGCTAAACATAGAAAAGGTACCGTAAAGCTATGATATAAAAGATTTTAAAAATGGTAAACTTGTTATAGGGCACTTAGCATGAGTGGAGTTTTCCAGAGTGGAAGCTGCTCTGGGTGAGTCATGAATGAGTGGTGAGTGAATGAGAAGGTCTTAGACATCACTGGACACTGCTGTAGCCTCTATAAACACTGCACACTTAGGCTACACTACATTTTCTTTCTTCAATAATGAATTCACCTTAACTTACTGTAACTTTTTTACCTTATAAACTTTTTTTAAATTTTTTGGCTCTTTTGTAATAGCACAGCTTAAAACACAAACACATCATATAGCTCTGCAAAAATATTTTCTTTCTTTATATCCTATTCTATAGACTTTTTTCTATTCTTTAATTTCATTTTTTACTTGTTAAACTTCTTGTTAAAACCTAAGACACAAGCAACACATTGGCCTAGGCCTACGCAGGGTCAGGATTATCAATATCACTGTCTTCCACCTCCACATCTTGTTCCACTGGAAGGTCTTCAGGGGCAGTACCATGCATGGAGCTGTCACCTCCTGTGACAACAATGCCTTCTTCTAGACACCTCCTGAAGGACCTGCCTGAGGCTGTTTTACAGTTAACTTTTTTTAAAAGTACAAATAATAATGAAAAGTACACTATAGTAAATACATAAACCAGTAACATAGTCATTTATTATCATTATCAAGTATTATGTACTACACTTGTCTGTGCTAGATTTTTATATGATTGGCAGTGCAGTGGGTGTGTTTACATCAGTACCACCACAAACATGTGACTCGTGTTATGCTACAACGGACAGCCCTAGGTGATAGGAATATTTCAGCTCCATTACAATCTTATGGGACCACTGTCATATACGTGATAGGAACATTATGTGGTGGTTGGCTGTCTTCTTTTACAAAGAGTTTTATAGCACGTTCGCATTAGTCTGTTTTCACGGTGCTATAAAGAACTGCCTGAGACTGGGTAATTTATAAAGAAAGGAAGTTTAATTGGCTCACAGTTCCTCATGGTTGGGGAGGCCTCAGGAAACTTACAATTATGGCAGAAGGTGAAGCAACATGTCCTTCTTCACACGGCAGCAGGGAGAGAGAAGAGGGAAAGGAGAAGAGCCCCTTATAAAACCATCAGATCTTATGAGAACTCACTCACTATCATGAGAACAGCATGGGGGAAACTGCCCTAGTGATCTAATCACTTACCACCAGGTCGCTTCCTCTACACATGTGGATTACAATTCAAGACGAGATTTGGGTGGTGACACAGAGCCAAACCATGTGAATGTTCTAACTGGTTAACTTAATACATAACATATACACAATTGGTTTATTTCTTCCTTGGAAGAGGCAGTGTAGACAGAGTCTAGGAACCCCTGCTGTGGAGACAGAGGATCCTGAGTTTGAATCCAAGCCCCTCCATTTACCGACGGCATCCTACATGTGTGATGGCACCCTACGCAGGGTCAGGATTATCAATATCACTGTCTTTCACCTCCACATTTTGTCCCACTGGAAGATCTTCAGGAGCAGTAACACGCATGTAGCTGTCACCTCCTGTGACAACAATGCCTTCTTCTGGACACCTCCTGAAGGACCTGCCTGAGGCTGTTTTATAGTTAACACACAGTTTACAGTGCCATCCACATCACAGCTGTTTCCCTCAGCATCCTCATCTTGGTCAATGATGGTGATAACAGCCCACATTTCAGGCTGATTAAGAAGAACAGGTCAGCTGGTGAAAATGCAGCGAAGTGTCACTGAAAACAGTGCCTGGCTCATAGTGAGTATTCGATATGTGCCATTTATTATTCACACTCATTCAGAACAACCTAAACTAGGTCCAATTATTCAAATTTGCAAATACACTTGGAATGGTGGCCACTTGACTTCTTAACTCGTCATAGTACCAGTATTGTAAAGATCATTTTATTTCTCCAACCTCACAATATTTTTGTTTGAAAATTGACGGGTTTTACTGATGTGTCACTGTGTCTTTCTGGGACTTACTGAAAAGGTACTCACATTCATGAGAGTTCCAGAGAGACTGTCATTACCTGTCTGAAACATTATCTCCTAAAGTTAACATGCTGGCTTTCTAAAGACAACTTTAGGAATAACCACTAATACTGATGGGGTCAAAATCAAGGCTACCCTAAATAGCGTAATTCTTACCACTGAGGTTTGCACTTAACATCATTCCTGTAAATAATGGGTCTTTTGTGCTGTAGTGCAAACTAGATGAAAAACCGTCAACTATAACTTACACACATCAAACCACATGAAATGATGTCCAGCAGTTTCTGATTTTATTGGTTTGCCTTAATCCTCAATTATTATTCTTTTTTCTTTTGAGATAGAGTCTCGCTCTGTTGTCCAGGCTGGAGTGCAGTGGTGCAATCTTGGCTTACTGCAACCTCCACCTCTTGGGTTCAAGCAGTTCTCCTGTCTCAGCCTCCCAAGTAGCTGGGACTACAGGCATCCACCACCATGCCCAGCTAATTGTTTTATTTTTAGTAGAGACGGGATTTCACCATATTAGTCAGACTGGTCTCGAACTCCTGATCTCAGGTGATTTACCTGCCTTGGCCTCCCAAAGTGCTGGGATTACAGGCGTGAGCCACTGTGGCCATCCTAATCTCCAATATTAAAATGTATGTAAATATGGAATATAGCTGGTAATAGCATTAAGGGCTAAACTATTGGGAATATGAACACTGTCACAATAATGTATGTAGATTTAAGTTTCTAGTCACTTTGTTTTCTCTGAAGTGTTTCAGTTGATGAGAACAGAGAGTGTATGTGTTTACATTCCTTTCACAGCCCCTCAGCACCGAGCAGCACCTGCCACAAGTAGATTCCTCTTTGTTGCTGTTTATTTTTGTTTTTGTTTTTGTTTGGAGACACAGTCTTGCTGTGTCGCCCAAGCTGGAGTGCAGTAATGTGAGTGCGATCTTGGCTCACTGCAGCCTCAACCTCTGGGGCTCGAGTGATCCTCCCACCTCAGCCTCCCGAGTAGCTGGGACTCTGAGCACTCACTGCCACATCTGGCTAATTTTACTTTTATTTTAGGTAGAGACAGTGTTTCTCTGTGTTGCCCAGGCTTGTCTTGAACTCCTGGGCTGAAGCGACCGCCATGCCTCAATCTCCCAAAGTGCTGGGATTATAGGCATAAGCCACTGCGACCAGCCTTAGATTCTTTTTTTTTTTTTTTTTTTTTGAGATGGAGTCTGGCTCTGTCTCCCAGGCTACAGTACAGTGGCATGATCTCGGCTTACTGCAGCCTCCACCTCCCTGGTTCAAGCGATTCTCCTGCCTCAGCCTCCCGAGTAGCTGGGATTGCAGGTGTCCACCACCACACCCAGCTAATTTGTTTTTTTAGTAGAGACGGGGTTTCACCGTGTTGGTCAGGCTGGTCTCAAACTCCCGACCTCAGGTGATCTGCCCACCTGAGCCTCCGAAAGTGCTGGGATTACAGGCATGAGCCACCACACCTGGCCCTGATTCTTAACAAATAAATTTTGAAATGAATTGAACAAAATTTGCTTTCCAACTAAATCTGGATTGTCATGGAATCCACATCTTATGCTTCAATATGAGGCCATTCTTCTTTAGATGTGGTGTGTACACTCACAATCAGAGCAGCAGAAGTATCAGTCCTGACTTGATTTTAAACAAGTAGAAGGTTTCAAGGGAAAAGCACGTTCTGACAGCTTCACCGTTTAGCCCTAAAACATGACAGCACTCATGTCTGGACAGGAGGGCTGCTGGCCTCTGTTTGCACGCAGCGCCAGGCCTGTGCAGGTCCACACAGCCATTCTGCCCCCACCTGCCATCCCAGACTGAGTTTTGTTGCTAACCCCTTCTCTCCTCAACACTTGACACTTCCTCAGGCAGCAGAGACTTAGGAGAGAACTTTCTACCAGAAAATCTTGGGCTCATGCTGAACAGCCTCACCTGATTATCTAGGAGCATTTCCAGGAAATCCCCAAGAGCTGCCTGGTCTCTGTTCCTTGCTGGCTTGCAGGCTGACCTGAGGGGAGCCCCGAGGTCTGAGGGAGCATCAGCTGGAGATGAAGACTCTGCGTGTCTTTGTTTTCTCTGAAGACCCACTTAGCTTACTGAGTCCTTTATTTTTTCAGCTAATTTGTTGGTATCTGTGCATCACAGGACACTGATTTTCTGAGAGGGGTCACTTGGAGCTCTTTCTGCCTTTGCCTTCAGTGAGGGAGCACAGCTGGCCTCAGGGAGGGAGCACAGATCATGCGGGCCTCCTTGTGGCTTTCTCAGGACGCTGCCTCCCTCCGTGTGATGCCTTGGGTGCTGCCAGTGTCCCGTCTATGCTGGTTGCCACATCTGTGACCTGGGTTAAGAGCCCTTCCCCTTCCTCAGGTGCTGCGGTGAGGATTACAGGTCCAGTGGGGACAGCTGGGCATGCTTCTCTCTCTCCTTTAGATCCAGGAATTCAGGGTGGGAGACACTTCCTGTCCTGTCCCGCCATCTCCGCATGCCTAGGAGACACCCTCCTGCCTGGCCCTCTCCCCAGTTAGGTGGACACCAGGTCTTCATGGCTGGGACATGCCCTGGAGAGCCTTGGTGGCAGGGGCAGCCGTGGGCAGTGGCGCTGCTGTGGCTCAGAACAGTGCAGGGAAAGGGGAAAGCAGTGGCTCGCAGCATTTCGGAAAGAAGCCTTTCCCCACGTTTCAGTACAGGTCTGCACGTTTCCGTCTTCTCTTTGATCGGCTGTGTTAGGAACACCCTTTGCTTCTCTTTGAGCTTCAGTCACCACGCCTCCCCCTTCCACCTCACACCCCTTCCCACAGCTGCCTGAACCCACCCAGGCCTGGGTAACACGCACACCTTCAGAAAAGAATATAACTGCCAGTTCGACTATCTATTTCCTTTTAATGTGTCAATAAAACAGTAATTACATTTCATTTGTGCTTAGAGTTATAATTGGATAGAAGCACAAGTTCACTTGGTGGAACCAAACTCACATATTCAACCCAAAAACAAAAACAGTGAAAATCGACAGTTTCTTAATACAAAGCTAACTTGTCATATGTTTTTTAAACATATCAATAATTTTCTTTGGAAAATTAATCAGCTGAGGGCTTCGGAGAATTCTTGACCACGCAGCTACATCAAGGCTCTGGGAGTTCCTGCAACAGGGGCCAGAGCAGGTGCGGTGCCCAGCGGGCTTCTGTGCAGCTCCGGTCCCAGCTCCCTGCAGCCACACAGGCTGACGTGAAGGGTAAAGAAACAGATTTCCACTTTGAAGGCTTCTAAATGATGCTACCAAACTCTCCTTGCTAGCTCTGAATTTCCAGTCAGTCGTTTCGGTCTTTTTAAGCGACTCCATGAGATGAACCGAATGAGGAGGAATGAGGGAGCACTTTCACCTTTTCAATTGAAGAAATAAGAAATACATTGTCCACAAATTTAATTTTCAGAATCTTTTCCTCCATAACGTCAATTATTTATGCTCAGTGAAAGAAGAGCAGATGCACAGAATTGCTTGGATATTGGTTATTTTTGTTTAAATTATTTTCATTATTTATATTTTGGCCCTATACTTTTGTGGCACTCTATTTTTTCACTATTTTTCCTTATCCACACAACACAAAGTATGTATCATCTGTTTCTCACATTTTTTATTTGTTTTTTACACATATGGGTTTATTGTGTTCACAGTAATAAGCTGTTTTTAAAAACTGAAAACATTTTACTAATTACTGAAAGAGGGAAATAAATACAGTACCAAGAAAATGTCATTTAAAATATTACATCTGTTTTCTATTTTTAAACCTTCATTACTTCCAATTCAACCCTCTAATCACAACTTACACTGCATATTAACTGTTGAACCAGATTTATCAGAAACTGTCTTTTATATAACATCATCCAAAAGATAATTCTAGAGAAGGCTGTAAAACAGATGATCGCGATGCACCCTCTCCCAACAGATGCACTGTAATGACACAAATATTGTTCTTATTAAATACTCTTTTTCTAATCCATGTGATTCTCTCTTATCTCTTAAATGTCTGTTTGTAGCACATTTTTCCGGGCTAATGAAATACCATGTGCTTCTGCAGGCATAAGACAATATTTGCGCTAATAATGATGATAGTCCAATATGCTTCATTCAATATTTGAGGATAGGAGTGAAGGTTCAAGCCCTAAAGAAATGGTATTTTTTATGGTTGTTAGCCTTTTTAAAATTTTTGATGTGCAGCCTAGAAGGGAAATTATACATGAACCCACACTGAAAAGGAGGGGTTTGAAGTTATGAGTGTAAATGGGAATATAACCAAGAATCATGAGGGTAAATGGGAATATAACCCAGAATCATGAGTTAAAATATATTAGACCAAAAACAATGCCGAGCTAGAGAAAGAAACATGTAGAATATAAGATATTGGTTTTTAATATTGTTGGGTGAACATCCCAAGTATCTAATAAAAATCTTCAAAGCCTGAAGCCTGGAAAACTTCCTTTATGACCAAATATGCAAAAAGTTGTCTATAATTTCAAGTTGACAGACCCTCTGAAATTCATCTACTAGTCCCATAAACCCCATGTTAATTATACTAGATATAGAGCTATCTAATGAAAGTTCTTCACATATGATATCTAACCGAGAGCTCATTGTATCTGTCGGAATACTTTCAATGGGAATCCTGAAACAATCTGACTCTGAAAGAAATTAATCTTCTGGCTCTTTTCTGAACTTTCTAACTATTCGTTCTCAGCATCTTCACATTTCCTGATATTTTAAAAAGATTTTTAAAGTCTATTATGCATAATTTAAGGTATATAACACAATATTGTGGGATACATATGTATCATTAAATGGTTACTATGGTGAAACTAATTAATAAGTCTGTCATTTCACATTGTTGCCATTTCCCCCTCCTGTGGCAAGAGCAGCCGTCATTTACTCATTTCACAAAAGTCCTGAGAGCAACGCACGATTATCAACCACAGGCCGCATGTTGGCCATTACATCCTGAGACACGTTCATCCATCATATCTGCTGCTTCACTCCTCCATCCTGTGGAATATGCAGGTCTAGGACTTTCCACCCATCCAGGACAGAATAACAGGGGCCAGACTTACCCTCCCTGCTCAAACAACTGAAATGTTGATCAGAACATAGAAAACATAAATACATGTTTTTCAGACTTTGAAAATACATGAAGTACCAGGCAGTGCAGAGCAGTGATCCTTGAGAGAATGAGCCATAAATGAGGCAACCCCTCCAAAAAAATTACACCAGCTTAGGGCCTAAAGAGAGTCTCGGGGCAGAACTACAGGGAGTGGCTGGACAGATCCTGGACTCTCTCGGGGTGAGCTGAAGAGCTCTGGAGGAAGAAGGCTGGAGCAGCAGGAACAGGTGGAATGGAAAGGCGAGTCTAGAGGGCACTCTCAGGTCCCCTGCAGAGGGCTGACCAGTGTGAACAGGTGGGGAGAATGCTGGGCTTGGGGCGGAGACCCTAGAAGGAGCCTGCAGAACAGTGACTGCAGCAGCAGAGGGCCGGGGAGACCTGCCGTCTCACTGGCTGCAGGGAGAAGCCTTGCAATAGCCCTGGTTTCAGGCTGAATACTCTGAAGTGAGGGTTTCCATGATGGGGACAAGCCAGCTCCACTGTGAAGGCTGCACCGGAATTGCCTATTTCACACAACACCACACTGTTTTGATGCCTGTATCTTTATAATTATTGACATCGGTCAGTTTCAATCTTCTGATTTTGTTCTTTTTAAAAATTGTTTTCTCTATGTTTGGTACTTTGCATTTTTATATTTATTTTATAATCAGTTTTTCCATTTTACACACACAAAAAAATACCTGCTGGAGTTTTGATTGGAATTGCACTGAATTTATTACATATTGCTGTAACTTTCTTTGTTATATAATCTGATAATTTCTGTTATTTAACTACAGTTTTTAAACCATTTGCATTTAATGTGGTGAGTTTGTCTACCATACTGCAGTTTATTTTATATTTGTCCCATCTTTCCTCTGATTCCTTTTTCCTTTTGTCCCTGCCTTCTTTTGAATGTATTGTATATTTTTAAATAATGTCTTGTTATCTTTTGGGGGGCTTATTTGCTATATCTCCTTTTTTAATTTTTACTGTAGAATTTATATTTTAAACACTTTTTAGTCAAGAATTAAGAAATACTAGTCCACCTGACATGTGGTATAAAATACGAGCTACTTCCATTTCTCCTCTTTTGGCCTTTGTGCGGGTGCTGCCGTAAATTTTACTTCTTCAAATTTGATTTGTTGTAAACTCCACAGTATGTTTTTCAGCTTTGAGTTATTTATTACCTTTTTAAAACATTTTTACAGATATAATTTTGAAATGTTTATATTTACATATGTATTTATTATTATAGATGCTCTTCATGTCTTTGTGTAGATCCAGATTTTCATCTGGTAACATTTTCTTTTTGCCTGAAGGAGATTTTTAAGCATTTCTTGTTGTGCTGGTTAAGTGTTTCTATTCCTAAAAAAGTTTTATTGCATCTTCATTTTTGAAAAATATTTTAATGATATTGAAGTAAAGAATCCAGAAATAAACCAATAGATATATGGCCAATTTGCTATTGACAAAAGTGCCAAAGCAATTTAACAAGCAAATGATAAGCTTTCAACAACTACAATGTGGTCCTCAGACATCCATCTGCATAACTATTAACACGAACCTGATCTCACACCACATAAAACATTTAGTTCAAAGTGGGTCACAGACCTAAATGTAAGAGGTAATACTGCAACACGTCTTCAGTAAAACACAGGTGATAATGTCAGTACAATTGGGTTTTCACGGAGCTTTCTTAAAACAAAAAATAATAATAAAATACAAAAGAAAAAAGTGATCAATTGGACTTCTTAGAAACGTAAAGCTATTTTACTTTAAATGACGCTGATACAATAATTGAAAGGCTGACATACACTGGGGAATATATTTGCACAATATATATCTGACAAAGAACTTGTATCTAGAATATATGAATAACTGTTACAATCAATAACAAGACAGCCTAATTAAATAACAGACAGAACTTTGAACAGACACTTTAGGAAACACTTCATAAAAGCTTTCTGAACATCGTTACTTGTTAGGCAAATGCAAAGTAAAACCACAATAAGATACCACTACACTAGAATGGCTAAAGTTAAAAACGCCAACCAAACTAAATTTTGGTGAGGATATGTAGCAACTGGAACTCACTTACTGCTTTGAGAATATAAAGTGGTTTGAACACTTTTGAGAACAGTTTGGAAACCCTTCCCTGGGTGAATGAATGAACATCTGAGGTACATCCATGCAACAGAACATTATTCAGTGACTAACAGAAATGAGCCCTGGAGCCGTGAAGAGACATGAAGGGATTGTAGCGCAACTCACTAAGAAAGGAAGTGGGTCTGAAAAGTCTCCACACTGTGTGATTTCCATGATACCACATTTTAGAAAAAGCCACGGTGTGAAGACAGTCAAATATCAGCGGTGCAGGAGTTCGGGGGGAGAGAAAGGTAAACAGGTGGAGCAGATGGAAATCTTTTTTTTTTGTGATGGAGTCTTGCTCTGTCACCCAGGCTGGAGTGCAATGGCATGATCTCGGCTCACTGCAACCTCTGCCTCTCAGGTTCAAGCGATTTTCCTGCCTCAGCCTCCTGAGGAGCTGGGATCACAGGTGCCCACCACCACGCCTGGCTAATTTTTGTATTTTTAATAGAGATGGGTTTTCACCATGTTAGCCAGGCTGGTCTTGAACTCCTGACCTCAGGTGATCCACCTTTCTAAGCCTCCCAAAGTGCTGGGATTATAGGCCTGAGCCACCGCACCCGGCCCCACATGGGAATTTTAGGGAGTGAAATCACCTATACTACAATGGCAGACACGTGGCATGGCACATTTGTCAAAACCCACTGAGTGTACAACACCAGGAGTGAACTTAATGTCAACCATAGACTTCAGTTAGTATCCATATTGGTTCAACGCTTATAAATATAGGACAACAGTTCATGATGTTAATGATACAGAAAACTGGGAGGAAAGAGGGAGTACATGGCAACAATGTACTTTCTGCTTAATGTTGCTGTAAAGCTAAAACTTCCTTAAAAATAAATTGTATTAGAAGTTTGGCAATTTTATAAAGTATGCAGCATACACCGACCATATGGCAGCCATTCCATTCTCAGGGGGTTACCTGGAGAAAGTGAAACGTGTTCACAGAAAGACTTAGACATTCATGCCAAACCCAGCTTTATTGGTAATAACCCCAAACCAGAAAGACCAAAACTGGAAATGTCAACAGGTGAGTGAACATCATTTGGACATAATATCTGTATGGTGGAATTCAACCTACCCACGAAAAGGAATGAACTATTAGCAATGTAGCAACATAGATACATCTCCAAATAATCGTACTGCTTGAAATAATCCACACACTAAGGGTCATACACTGCATGATTCCATTTGCATACAATTAAATTGTACACTTTAAATTGGTGAATTGTACAGCATGTGTATCTATCTCAATAAAGCATTTACAAACAAACTTTCTACCCCTGCTTCAATTTCAGCCTTAACCACATGACAGCAAAACTCACCACGTCTGCACCCACCCTGTGAGGACGCCCTGGGTACCTGCTCTTCCCATTGGCTGTCTTGGCCCCTTGCACAGTGACTCATTGTTTAAGATCCAGTGGAAATGCCACCTTCATGGTGAAGGCTCAAATAGAAATTATTTACTCCCCCTCACCCAAATCAAAACATTCTCTTTATATCAGTGGTCCCCAACATTTTTGGCACCAGGGACTGGTTTCATGGAAGACAGTTTTTCCACAGTCGGGGTTGAGGGTGGTTTCAGGATGATTCAAACCCATTGCATTTATTGTGCACTTTCTTTCTACTATTATTACATTGTAATATGTAATGAAACAATTATACAACTCACCATAATGTAGAATCAGTGGGAGCCCTGAGCTTGTTTTCCTCCAACTAGGTGGTCCCATCTGGGGGTGATGGGAGACAGTGACCGATCTTCAGGCATTAGATTCTCATGAGAAGCTTGCAGCCTAGATCCCTCACAGGCACAGTTCACAATAGGGTTCACGCTCCTATGAGAATCTAATGCCGCTACCGATATGACAGGAGGTGGGGCTCAGGCGGTAATGCCAGTGATGAGGAGTGGCTGTAAATGCAGATGAAGCTTTGCTTGCTCACCCACCACTCACCTCCTGCTGTGCTGTGCAGCTCCGTTTCCGACAGGCCTCGGACAAGTACCATAGCCTGGGGTGTGGGACCCCTGTTTTATCCTTTTAATTTTACTTATTAGCATACTATACTTACAATATTTGGAGGTTTCTTCAGTAGCACAACCTATCAGACACAGCATTGACTGAAGAACCCTCTACGTTCTTCCTGAGTATTCTCTTTGTACACATATAGGGAGTCGTGAGGACTTAAGAAGGTCTCCCTTACGTGTCCAGGTCCCCAGAATCTGCAGGTCAGTGAAGGGCAAATGCACCAGCCTGCCCTCCCCACAGCCTCACCCCAGACACTGCCTGCCACTGAGGAGCTGCAGGAGGGCCCTACCATGTGTGTAGGTCTTTTTGCTAGTACCTAGCAGAGTACCTTGCATATAAAGAGTGATAAAAAGGTGCAAAATCGAATGGAATTTTCGTGATATGAATACTTTGCTTCTGTTTTTTAAACAAATATCAACAGTAATAACAAACACTGCAGAGACCATTCTAGTTCTTTCAGCAAATCACTTTTTCTTCATCCCAGACCTAAAGAAATAATTATAACTTTTTATATTTAGGCATATTCTATTTTCATGTGTCATTCTTAATACACTACTAAGGTCTATACAGGCAATTTTAAAATCTAGGACTGTTGTTTATGGTGTTAGCCACCTCCAGACTGTGGCTATCTGCAAATTGAATGAGCTGGTCTTGGTTCATTTCTAAATAATTCATATATATTTTTACTAAGACAGGGCTAAGAATATAGCTCAAAGGAAGAAAATTAGAGGCTCCTCCTAAAATGGCCAAAAATCATTAATGAATACACTCCAGGTGGCTTAGCCAGCGAGGAGCCTCTTCTGAACACAACCAGCCGAGGTTGTAAGAGCAAACGCAGGCCACGTGCAGCTGGAGGAGCCCACGTCTCCCGCCATCTCCTTCAGCTCGTCCTCCACCTCTCCAAACGCAGATTTCATTGAGCAATAAAAAGGAAGGGAAATGAAAATTCATTTATTATTGAAAGCAAAAGAGCAGAGTAATTGAATCAAAACAAGATGATTAATACGTTTGCTTCATTTAAGACTTGTAAACTGCTGTTGTGCTCAGCTGTTTTTATTTACGATGAATATCGTCCCATAGTTGCTTTGAAGTTGAAGAAGTTGGGAAAATATAAATGAAAAGGCATTTTAAAAAAATAAAAGAACAAAGAATATATTAGCGTTCTATCTTCTTGAGCTTTTAGTGAATTACATTGCTCTAGGTTGATTTTTTTTTATAGGAATTAGAAAAATAGTGATTTCCTCTGTGATTTTCTCCCATGGACCTGGCCTGCTGCAGGCTTGGCACCTCTCTCTCTTCAGGTCCTGTTTCAAGCCTGAGCATGCGCAGCAAGCTGCCTTGGGGGAGGATTCCTGAGCAGTCAGGGCTGGGAACCTGGGGAGAAGGCCAGGAGTGCAGAAGGTGCTGGAGGGACCCACATGGAACCAGGCAGAGCATCTGCGGGGTGGGGAATTGAACCAGGAAGCATGAGCGTGGAGAGTTTGCAGCAGCAGAGATGGCACACAACTCCCTACAAGACCACCCATGGCCCATCCTATGGTGGCAAACAGCTTCCCATCTCAAGGCCACAGCTCTGCATTCTGTGACAGTGCAGAGGTTGCCATTGTTAAAATCAAGGGGAAAAGGAGACAATGAACCAGTGAAAATTATCAAAGAAATAAAGTTAGAAAATCTCCAGGAACCATAGGGACCACACAGGCAGAGCAGCTACCCAGGAAAGAGAATTTTACATGGAGTCCACGGGGCCTTTCATCCAGGGAGGGCGAGAGGGTCCTGAAAACTTCGGGAGAATAAGGGTGAGGTGTCAGAAGGGCATCAGATCTCTCCAAAGGATCACTGGACACTGAACAACACAGAGCAGTCCTTCAGAATTATCAAGGAAAAATTTTTTAAAACTTAGAATTTTATACCCAGACCAAGTATGAATATGGGATAAGGGCATTTTGAAGACATGTAAGGACAAAATAAACTTAACTCCTATACAACTCTGGAGGAAACACAAGCAGAGAAAACACTGTGGCTAAGAAACCCCGGGTTTTTATACAAAAATTAACTCAAGATGGATTAAAGACTTAAATGTAAAATCCAGAACCATAAAAACTCTAGAAGAAAATCCAGGCAATACCATTCAGGACATAGGCATGGGCAAAGATTTCATGATGAAAACACCAAAAGCAATTGCAACAAAAGCAAAAATTGACAAATAGGATCTAATTAAACTAAAGAGCTTCTGCACAGCAAAAGTAACTATCATCAGAGTGAACAGAAAACCTACAGAATTGGAGAAAAATTTTGCAATCTATCCATCTGGCAAATGTCTAACATCCAGAGTCTACAAGGAACTTAAACAAGTGTGCAATAAAAAAAAACTACTCTATTAAAAAGTGGGCAAAGGACCTGAACAGACACTTCTCAAAAGAAGACATTTATTTGGCCATGAAAAATAGCTCAACACCACTTATCGTTAGAGCCACTCAAATCAAAACCACAGTGAGATACCATCTCATGCCAGTTAGAATGGTGGTTATCAAAAAGTCAAAAACAATAGATGTTGGTAAGGTTGCAGAGAAAAAGGAATGCTTTTACACTGTTGGTGGGAGTGTAAATTAGTTCAACCATTGTAGAAGACAGTGTGGCAATTCCTCAGAGATCTAGAAGCACAAATACCATTTGACCCAGCAACCCCATTACTGGGTATATATCCAAAGGAATATGAATTGTTCTATTATGAAGACATATGCACAAGTATGTTCATTGCAGCACTATTCACAATAGCAAACTCATGAAACTCATGGAATCAGCCCAAATGCCCATCAGTGATAGATTAGATAAAGAAAATGTGGTACATATATACCACGAAATCCTATGCAGCCATAAAAATGAACGAGATTATGTCCTGTGCAGGGACATGGATGGAGCTGGAAGCCATTATCCTCAGCAAACTAACACAGGAACAGAAAACCAAACACCACATGTTCTCACTTATAAGTGGGAGCTGAATGATGAGAACACATGGACACATCAGGGGGAACAACACACACTGGGGCCTGTTGGGGAGGGTGGGAGAAGACAGAGCATCAGGAAGAATGGCTAAGGGATGCTGGGCTTAATATCTAGGTGATGGGTTGACAGGTGCAGCAAGTCACCACGGCACATGTTTACCTGTGTAACATCCTGCACATGTATCCTGGAACTTAAAATAAAAGTTGAAGAAAATAAACAAACAAACAAGGCAGGGCGTGGTGGCTCACGCCTGTAATCCCAGCACTTTAGGAGGCCAAGGCAGGTGGATCATGAGGTCAAGAGATCAAGACCATCCTGGCTAACACATTGAAACCCCGTCTCTACTAGAAATGCAAAAATTAGCTGGGAGTGGTGGCGGGTGCCTGTAGTTCCAGTTACTCAGGAGGCTGAGGCAGGAGAATGGCATGAACCCAGGAGGTGGAACTTGCAGTGAGCAGAGATCGCGCCACTGCACTCCTGCCTGGGCGACAGAGCGAAACTCCGTCTCAAAAAAAAGAAACAGACAAACAAAAAGAAACACCAGGCACAGAGAGGCAAAGGGAACATTTAACAAGAAGATGTGAGGAAGGTGCAGAAGAGAACAACAGTCACGCGGTGCCTGCAGTGCAGCCCCAGTTGCAGTGGAGATTTTCTGGAAGAATAAAAGAGCTTTAGTTGCAGTGACATAGGACCGTCAGTTTGACCATATCGAGAAAATACAGGATCCTGTCGGAAACGTTAGGGGTGAATTATTGATAAACATACAGAAGAGTAAGCTAATGAAAAGACAATTACTAATTCCAAGAAAAAAAGAAATTGGCACAGAAGAGTATCTGTACTAGGAAGGTCAGCAGTGAATAAACATACAACCATGTGAGAGTGTTTCTATTATGATTTAACAAAAGTATCCTAATGTGCATTTGGAGAATGAAGAGAGAGGATGTGTGCTTGTGTGTTTATAGGGAGGGTTAAGAGAGCTAAATTCTCTTCCTTGGTCAGATCCCATGGATAATGTTTGAAATGAGAACAGAAGACAGTATGAGGATGTGATTTTCATATTAGAAACCAAACGTCAGATGAAACAGCTTCTGGGTTTGAAAACGGGTTCCTGTGGGTCACAGATTGGCACGCTTTTTCTGTGAAGAGGCAGACAGCAAACATTTGTGGATTTTCCACATTCAGTGGAAAATAATTAATTCTAGTGTTACAGCATGAAAACAGACTTAGACAATACAAAAGAAATGCTCAGGACTGCAGTCCCCAAAGAACCATGATTTACAGAAATATCTGCTGATTTGTATTTGGCCCTTGGAGGGCATTTGCTGTCCCTGCCTCTCAATAGGAGGTGAAATCTGGGGACTAGGGCCGTGTCTGCTGCTGCTTCACTGGTCTCGAGAATCGTCTGACTTTTAATAATATTTTATATATTCCTTGGGAAAGAAATCTAAATTTAATTTTTTTAAATATGACATTTGGCTGGGCACAGTGGTTCACACCTGTAATCCCACATTTTGAGAGGCCAAGGAGGGAGGATCTCTTGAGTCCAGGAGTTTGCCCAGCCTGGGCAATACAGTGAGACCCCATCTCTACAAAAACTTAAAACTTAGCTGATGTCATGGGCCTCCCTGACTGAAGTTCCAGCTACTTGGGAGGCTGAGGTGGGAGGACAGCTTGAGCCAGGGAGGTTGAGGCTGCAGTGAGCTATGGCCACGCCCCACTCCATTCTGGTCTGGGCAAAAGAGAAAGACCCTGTCTCAAAAAAAAAAAAAGGTATTTGTCTTTTCCTGGACTAAAGGAAGGGAACATATTTTGGATTAAGAGAGCACACTGTGTTTCAGGGAAATACGATACAATCAGCAGTGGGTACATATCACATGCCTTGTGGTCGAGAAGAAGAAAAAAAAAGTTTTTACAATTTTTAATGGAAATACTGTAAAAAGAAATATTCCGGTCATCAGAGCCTATATATCTCCTTTAATTACATATTATCTGCATGTGTTAGATACTGTTGGAGCAAATAGCTTAGCGGAAGACAGAGTAACTGTCAGAAAGAAAAGCTCTGCCCCTCCTGCCTCTCCGTCTGGGAACAACTGTTCCAGTCCATTGACAGCGTCAGGACCTTCTAGAGTTTGAGACCAAGCTGAGCCTAAACGCAGCACAGAAGAGGGGCTTTCTTATAAAGCCTGTCTCCTCAGAGTCCCCTTCTCCTGCCCAGATCTGGTTTCAAGCCCAGATGTTTGAGTCTCGGGTTTTGACCTGTTCTTCTGTGTCCACTTCACGACAGTGGTTCTGTCCTGTGCCCAACACTGGACGATTAACACACGATCTTGGGTTCATGAGTCCACCGGGGCTCAGCCTCCACCGTGGAGGGCTTCCTCCCGCCACCCCTGGAATCGCTCCACCTGGACCCCAGGCCCCAGACAGGAGTGTGGCCGTTTGACCAGGCAGCCTGCTGGACTAGGCACCGCTCAGGGTTCGGGCGGGAGCAGCTCCCTGACACACTGGTGCTTGTGCACTTCGGGCTTGGCATTGTGTGTGGACTCCTGTCCCAGCCTTAGTTGCACCGGCCGCTCCTGCTTCAGAAATGATTTTTGGGGAGCTTAGCGCCTAAGCAGGCCTCCTGCCTCCCCCAGGCTTGTCAGCAGGATGCCCAGGCATAGCTGGACACTGCCCCTGCTCTTGTTCCGTAGCCCTGAGCCCGAGGCCTGTCAGCAACTGGTATCTCCTGGGAGGGGGACTCTGACAGTAGCAATGAGTGTCTGGTCTGTGGGACAAACAACTCTCATCAAAGCATACTGTCGAACAAACAAAGCATACTGTCGAACAAACAATTGCTAGTTTTCTTTCATTTCCATGTTACTGATGTGATTATAGGTTAATATTACTATTGCCATTTAAAAAGAGTATAAATCCACCAAGACAAGGGCAGGGACAAAGCAGTCTACTCTATGTTTCCTGGACTTTACTGTGAATTGGTTTGGACCTTTGCCTTTCTGCCTTGGCCTCAATGAGTTTTCTTACATCACAAGTCGGTTATTATAGGTATTAAAGTCAAAAGCATTTTACAAATGTTAAAACCATTCCAGGTGCACCAGAAATAAGGTTTATCCCCAACTCCATCTTTTAGCAAAGCCTCCATTTTTCTTCTCAGAAATATTTTGCATTCTGCATGAATTCTGACGGCAGTGGATTTTGTAAACTTGATTTACATTAGAAGTGCGGGTGGAACATCCCATCTCAGTGGGCATCGTATGAGAGACCTGGGGTAGGATTCGGGGCAGAAGGCCGGGCCCGCAGGCTTACTCCGACAGCCTCAGAATCTCCAGCCCAAGTGAGACGGCGAGCTTGAAAGTGGCATTTTTTGACAGAGTTCCACCCTATGAAGAGAGTCAACCAAGTGGGGAGTGAAAAATTCATTTTCTGACAGGGGTGTCAGCACAATCATCAGACGCCAACAACAACAAATCCATCGCGGGGTGAAAACCTGACAGGGTGGAAAACAAGGGCCTTGGAGGCTGATCTTTCCCTCTCAGCTGTCCAGAAACATCATTTCACAGCTATTATTGCCCCTGCTGGTTCGACAGACTGTGGACCTCAGAGTCTCTTCTTGTTATTGAACTCACACAAGAAACCAAACAAATGTAAGAGCAATTGGGGCTTATCCGTGATCCACAGAAATGATTGCTACGTTCCCTGCAGAACGGACGGCAGTCGCTGGACAGGGCCCCAGAGCGCCTGGGTGCGGTCAGCTCCGCGGACTCCCCCCGGGACACCTGCCCAGCTGCGGCCGACCCCGGGGCGCACACCCTCCGGGATGAAGACGGCACGCCTGCTGCGCACGGTGGCTGTGCTGTGCTTTCCAGAGACACCAAAGATCCAGCAAGCCCCGGTTTGTGTCGAGTGTCACGGGAATGGAGATGCCTTAAGGCTCCGGCTTGGACGGCCTGTTGTTCGCGTGCTGAGTGCACTCTGTGGGCCCGAGCGCCGAGGGTCCCATTTCGCACACAGCATGGAGTGGGTGAGCTCCTCAACTGTAAAATGAAGCCGTCAGAGCACAGCGTGAGAATGTATTAGAGACAGTTACACGAGGGGCCCCAGCACGGCGCTCACACTTTCAATTGGTAAAATAATGTCTGTACAAATTGTTTTTGGTACATTAAGTACCTTTCACAGCCAAAATTAATAAAAGAAGAAGAAGGAAAAAAAAAGAAGGAAAAAAACAAAACGACACAGAGACACAGATCGGTACACACGAAACACAACCAGTTTCTTCTCCGGCAAAGTAATTTCATGCAGAAATTTTTTATTGAGATTGTTTCTCCAGTTGACAGATCTAGTGTACAATGATAAATGACAATGTGCCAGGCAGCTTGTCAGGCTGTGCTGAGGGAAATCTCACCGAAACTCCTCGATAATAACGGTAAGTACGCGTTCCTTCCAACAGAAGGTATTTTAAGCTTGTAAGCACAGGGGCCGAGCAAAGTGGTATTAAATAGCAGTGAGATGAAGCTGAGCAGAGATTTATAAACGTGTAGGAGTCTAACAGCTCTCTACTGGCTATGACACTCTGACAAGGAAACAAGGGTTATGAAAAATGACCTGACTGTGTCGCTAAATTATGTATTTCAAAGGTTTCAGCAGCCCGGTGTCAGAGCTCCTTCAGTGAATGCGACGGAAAAGCTATGAATATGATCACAAACCCTCAATGCGTCGGTGTCTGGAGGAGGCCTGCACAACACCATTGATGGGCAATGACACTTTGCAAAGTTGCCCAGTTCAAAGGGAAGATTAATTACAGTCTGAGACCTTAAACCGCATGCAAGTAAGTGGCACTTAACAGCCAAATCCTGAGGATAGGAGGCTGGTCTTGAGCAAACTTTCTGCAGCCTGGCTCCCGACGGCAGGTCTCGGTCATCCTGGGTTTCACTGCTGGGTCCTCCCTGTCTGGATGATAACAGGCCAGCATGTCAGGGAGAGCTGGTTTCTTTGGGGAGCGTGACAGGCATGCCAGCCAGGTGTCCCCTGTGAAAGCTGTATCCCAACAGACCTGTCTTACCAGCTACACGCGTGGGGCAGTATCTCCCTGAGAAATATCCCTGCTATGATGGTAGATCAAAGTGTGGCTTTCCCAAAACTACAAAGTGAAACAATAGGTCACTGTCTGCTCTGTGGGGCGATTGGTTTAAAAGCAGGATGAAGAGAATCAGGGCTCTCTGCAGCCACGTCAGAAGCACTGCATTTTACTGAGCAGAAATCAATGCAAATCAATGACAAATCCTGTTGCATGACGAGAACCTTGGATTCTGGTCTTTTATCTGATCCCAGTGAAAGAACAAGACCCTCCATCTCTGGGGCATCAGTTTCTTCATCTGTAAAATGAGAGGGTGGGTCCCTGAGGCCAGAGCCACCTTTAGAGTTGGGGAGAGAATTGGTTTCCTTCACAGGCCAATTGTTTTCAAAGTTCAGCACACATATCCGGAGGAGTCTGTGCTTTCTATTCTAGAACTAACTGGAGATATTTACAACTTTTATGCTCATGTGTAAAATGGAAGCATGGTCCTGAAATTGGCAGGCTCCTCAGAGGTTGAGTTTAGACAGAGTGCAGAGTTCTGGTCTACCCCACCTGGTCCTCAGGGCAGTGGCTCCAAGGAGAAGAGGGCTGCACGTCGGCAGCTCGGCACCTCACAGGTGCTGGGGGGATCGGCCCTGCTGAAAGCCTGGCCATCTGGCTGGCCGCACAGACCTGAAAGGCTTTGCTCTGGACACACTGCAGCGGTCAGTACTGGGGAACCATTGTCCAGTGCAGGTGCATCGTCTCACGTGAACCTCTACACAGCAATCACTCTTCCCTCTACAGAAGGCGTGGCCAGGAGGTGTGGACTGTGGATAAAGCCATGATAGTTAGTAGAGAAGGCTGCAGCTGGCCAGGACCCCAGAGGCCTGGCATTCCAGGTCCTGGCATTCCAGGTGGGTAGGCTTATCCCTCATCAAAGTCAGCGTGACCACATCTTTTCATGAGCAGAGAAAAATATGGTCATGGAGTCAATTGTAGTCTTACATGTCAAAAGGGTGCAAACGTGTTAGGCACCAAACACTGGCCTACAAAAATTTAGCAGTCTAATCTATGCCCAGAAATAACTAAAATAAGTAAAATACAATTCATTACTACCTCTCCCAGCTAAGTTGTGGATCCTTAATATATGTTTTTATAAAGTCTATATTGAACACCAATCAAAATCTTAATATGAAATATTTGAATCTGTAAAAAATGCCCTTATTGACAAACAATAAAAAATGAACTATTTAGAAAGAGTACGAGATAAAATATAAGATTAACAGGAAGACGTGAGTACATGGTGTAAAGAGTCAGGAAAAATGGCTACCTTTCCACCAACTCACTTCCCTGTTTTCGTGCTCATTATGTTAACATTTAAATTGAATATTTCATTTGTGCTCGACATCATTTTTAGCAGATAAACACTGGAGGAAAAAAACACCATTTAAACCACTGTTTACTCTTTGCTACCAAGGACCTCTGAAATTACCCACTTTGAAGAATTTCTTCCACAGAAACTGACACTTTCTTGTTACTAGTTTTAATGATAATTACTCTTTTCTGATCTGACCTTGGAAGGAATCTGAGAACAGTACATAAAGCGTTTGATGTGAATCAAAGTTCTTCTAAGAAAAGAGATATTATTTTCTAAGGCACCATGGTAAAGAGTTCGTCAGTCTTCCTTGCTGATAATGCTGCTGTTCTTGGAGTAATACCTCCGAGACTGAAACTTTCGCTAAATTCTTAATATGTTACTTAAAAATGAACGGACATGATGGCAGTCATTCTGAGTGAATCTTAATGGGAAAGGTGGAAGTTTCTTGTACATTTTGCTTGTGTACTATGGCTTCAAAATATATTTCTCCCAAATAAGTTAACTTTAGCAACCACTGGAAACTTTATCTACTAATGTTAAGAAAAAACAGGGAGCATCATATTAACACATCGAAATCAAGAGATTGACAAGTATTATCTTTTAATCCAAATAATACTCCATTAAATCTATGCCTGCATCAATAAGTTATTCTGTACAAGTGAATACAATTTATTCTTAGAAACTGTATACACCAGCCAGCTAGCACGGTGGCTTTCTTTGCCTCTGAGAAGTCTTCTTTGCCATTTATATTTCAGTGTTGACAACGACACTTTCCTTTGGTGCAGAGTCTCAAATGCATGTTTGAAAGAGATAGGATATAAAAAGAATTTTTTGAAAAAAAAAGAGGAAAAAAGAATCAGACCTGGCCATGTTGTTTCTGATGAGAACTACTCCTTTAATATTAGACCTCAAGTTTTACAATTACTGAAAGTTTCATGCTCTACTCTAATAAGAGCACTGATACCTCATGTTTGAGAAGAGAAAGAAAATAGCCCACTTAGAGTGGCATGACCTGACATGTTTAATGTAGCTGTTTGAGGGCATAGTGATATGTAACTGTAGTGGGCATCAGTTTGTCTGTGAATGTCTGGGTAAACACAAATCTACTTTAAAGAGAAAAATTTTTAATATATTAATAAATTACAGAAATGTTAGTACAAATGAATGTACTTAATGCAAAACAATGTGTAAAACATGTTGATGTTTAAAAGAATCTGCATTTCTAAATTTTAAATGACCTATAAGAGGCATTATAATTTCTGTCAATTTTCAGAATTTAAAAATATTATGTTTTGTCAAAACATAATAGTCATTTTTCAGATGGCTTGAGACTTAAATAAGTATAATTATTTCAATTATTGTATTTCCTTTTAAAAGCAAAACAGAAATGGCATCTACCTATATTTTGAAAACCTACAAACTTATCCTCTTGTATGTTTTAAACTTATTAATGCATTCTCTAGTTTCAGGAAACAGTGTGTTTCTATGCATATGTATGTGTATACACACACATAGATAGATAGATGATAGATAGATAGATGATAGATAGATAGATGATAGATAGATAGATAGATAGATAGATAGATAGATAGATAGATAGATAGATAATGTAAATTGAGCCAAAGGCCAGGACCTACTTTATAGGATGAGAACCTATCTGTGTCACAGTTACCTTGAAGCCTCAGCCCTGTCGACATGATACCAAACATCTGGTCAGGATTCCAATGAACCAGCAAATCAGCCAGCCATCCAGATGTTTTTGATTCCTTGACAGTCAACATACAGCTGTGATATCACACAGAAACACGTTTATCTCCTCCTTGCCAAGCCCCATTAATAGCCCAATTCTTTGGTCTACAAATTTGAGGCTCATGATACTTATTCATACAAATCCCAGGCTCCTGCATTTGCTGGAGCTGGAGTGAGGCGGGGGAGCTTCCTCCCCTGGGCCCAGCCCTGCCTCCGTGTGCTGCTGCTTTGGGGACAGAAGAACGGGGAAGGCCCTTCAGGGCACCCTGGCTTCGGGGCTGCGAGCTGCTGCCCAGCACAGAGCAGCTGGGATCGTCACTCTGAGGGGGCCGGAGAGGCCCCTCTCCTATTGCAGATGGGAGGTTTGGGCCAAAGTCCAGGAGGCTCCAAGTCCCCATGTGGGAGGCTCCGGAAAGCTGGTGGGGTGGGACAGTGGTCCTCAAAGAGCGGACTCAGGTCAACATTTTCAAATTGTCTAGTTTTTCCATTTAAAACTCAAATCTACCCACGGAGCCCTTTTGTCTCATGCACGAGGGTGTGGCAGCCTGGAGATGTGGCTGGAAGCCCTGGTCTCTGCCACCAAGGCCAGCTCTTCCCGCCCTCCCTCAGGTCCTGGAGCAAAGCCGATCACTGCTCACAGCACCCAATGGTGGAGCGTGGGAGGAAGTGGCGGGATGGGACATTGGGAGGTAAAATGCATAACAGCAGGGGACCCTCGAGAGAAAAGCAAGTGAACTTGTTTCATGTAAATACACAGACTGACTTCCACTGGAGCCATCAGAGCCAGGAGAGGACAGCCCCGGCACCGGCCACAGCTGCCCCAGCTGTTGTCATCCACATTCACGCTGGCAAACTTCCATTCCTTTTCCAGAGGCCATGGAGCAGAGGAGGCACAGCACCATGCTAGAGTCACTCACCCGCGATTCAAACAGGCCAGGGCCAGCTTTGTTCCATGAGTCAGTTACTTACCCTGCCGAGGCCTCAGTGTCCCATCTGTAAAGTGGGGCTAACAGAGTTCCTACAGCGGGAGAGCATTCTGTGATTCCGCGTGATGATTTAAGGGAGGCAGGGAGCACTCACTGAGCACGGGTTACGACTGTTACTAAGCTGCATTGTTTAAAAGGCACGATGTTAGACCCTGGCACATCTGAGGTCTACATTTCCCTGTATTTCGCAGTAACACACGGCACAGACCGCGTGCCTTTCCTCCATCTGCTTACCGAGTCGGCGCGGCCACTTACCACCCATGGCAGCACATTGCAAGGTTTGTCCGTATAAAAGAAAGTGCCGGCAGATCGTGACGTGGAGGCCTCGGACCTGTACACTCTCCCGTGACTCTGCCACAGGCCAGGCTTTGCTGCGATCACTAAAACCTGGTTCGAAATGAGCCACTTTAGCCCTCCGCATGGTGGCCTCCTAGGCATCCAGGCAGAGGGACCCTCCCCGACAGCGCTCTGGGGGCAGCCCAGGAAGGCTCAGTGCTGCGGTAATTCGGGGCCTCCAGGTCCACCTTACGCTCATCCACGGCCTTGAAGAACGGCGTGAGCTCTGCCCAGGGCAGTGGAGCAGCTTGAATGCAGCGTGTCCTCCACCTTTGCTGAATTTAGTACACACACGCATGAGGAAAGCACAATGACCTTTATATATATATATATATATATATATTATTATACTTAAAGTTCTAGGGTAATGTGCACAACGTGCAGGTTTGTTAAATATGTATACATGTGCCATGTTGGTGTGCTGCACCCATTAACTCGTCATTTACATTAGGTATTTCTCCTAATGCTATCCCTCCCCTCTCCCCCCACCCCACGACAGGCCCCGGTGCCCTTTAAACAGAGATATAACCACAGTTGCTAGAACGACCCCTAGAACTGTGACCTGGGCAGAAGGACCATCATGACCCCTACAACTGTGACCTGGACAGAAGGACCATCATGACACCTAGAACTGTGACCTGGACAGAAGGACCATCATGACACCTAGAACTGTGACCTGGACAGAAGGAGGACCATCATGACACCTAGAACTGTGACCTGGGCAGAAGGACCATCATGACCCCTAGAACTGTGACCTGGACAGAAGGACCATCATGACCCCTAGAACTGTGACCTGGACAGAAGGACCATCACGACACCTAGAACTGTGACCTGGGCAGAAGGACCATCATGACACCTAGAACTGTGACCTGGGCAGAAGGAGGACCATCATGACCCCTATGACTGTGACCTGGACAGAAGGACCATCATGACACCTAGAACTGTGACCTGGGCAGAAGAACCATCATGACACCTAGAACTGTGACCTGGGCAGAAGGACCATCATGACACCTAGAACTGTGACCTGGACAGAAGGACCATCATGACACCTAGAACTGTGACCTGGGCAGAAGGACCATCATGACACCTAGAACTGTGACCTGGACAGAAGGACCATCATGACACCTAGAACTGTGACCTGGGCAGAAGAAGGACCATCATGACCCCTATGACTGTGACCTGGACAGAAGGACCATCATGACACCTAGAACTGTGACCTGGGCAGAAGAACCATCATGACACCTAGAACTGTGACCTGGGCAGAAGGACCATCATGACACCTAGAACTGTGACCTGGGCAGAAGGAGGACCATCATGACACCTAGAACTGTGACCTGGACAGAAGGACCATCATGACCCCTACGACTGTGACCTGGACAGAAGGACCATCATGACACCTAGAACTGTGACCTGGGCAGAAGGACCATCATGACACCTAGAACTGTGACCTGGGCAGAAGGAGGACCATCATGACCCCTACAACTGTGACCTGGACAGAAGGACCATCATGACACCTAGAACTGTGACCTGGACAGAAGGACCATCATGACACCTAGAACTGTGACCTGGGCAGAAGGACCATCATGACACCTAGAACTGTGACCTGGGCAGAAGGAGGACCATCATGACCCCTACAACTGTGACCTGGGCAGAAGGACCATCATGACACCTAGAACTGTGACCTGGGCAGAAGAAGGACCATCATGACCCCTACAACTGTGACCTGGGCAGAAGGACCATCATGACACCTAGAACTGTGACCTGGGCAGAAGGACCATCATGACCCCTAGAACTGTGACCTGGGCAGAAGGACCATCATGACACCTAGAACTGTGACCTGGGCAGAAGGACCATCATGACACCTAGAACTGTGACCTGGGCAGAAGGACCATCATGACCCCTAGAACTGTGACCTGGGCAGAAGGACCATCATGACACCTAGAACTGTGACCTGGGCAGAAGGACCATCATGACCCCTAGAACTGTGACCTGGACAGAAGGACCATCATGACACCTAGAACTGTGACCTGGGCAGAAGGACCATCACGACACCTAGAACTGTGACCTGGGCAGAAGGACCATCATGACACCTAGAACTGTGACCTGGGCAGAAGGACCATCATGACACCTAGAACTGTGACCTGGGCAGAAGGACCATCATGACCCCTAGAACTGTGACCTGGGCAGAAGGACCATCATGACACCTAGAACTGTGACCTGGACAGAAGGACCATCACGACACCTAGAACTGTGACCTGGGCAGAAGGACCATCATGACCCCTACGACTGTGACCTGGACAGAAGGACCATCATGACACCTAGAACTGTGACCTGGGCAGAAGGACCATCATGACACCTAGAACTGTGACCTGGACAGAAGGACCATCATGACACCTAGAACTGTGACCTGGGCAGAAGGACCATCATGACACCTAGAACTGTGACCTGGGCAGAAGGACCATCATGACCCCTACGACTGTGACCTGGGCAGAAGGACCATCATGACACCTAGAACTGTGACCTGGGCAGAAGGACCATCATGACACCTAGAACTGTGACCTGGGCAGAAGGACCATCATGACACCTAGAACTGTGACCTGGGCAGAAGGACCATCATGACACCTAGAACTGTGACCTGGGCAGAAGGACCATCATGACACCTAGAACTGTGACCTGGGCAGAAGGACCATCATGACCCCTACAACTGTGACCTGGACAGAAGGACCATCATGACACCTAGAACTGTGACCTGAGCAGAAGGACCATCATGACACCTAGAACTGTGACCTGGGCAGAAGGACCATCATGACACCTAGAACTGTGACCTGGGCAGAAGGACCATCATGACCCCTATGACTGTGACCTGGACAGAAGGACCATCATGACACCTAGAACTGTGACCTGGGCAGAAGGACCATCATGACACCTAGAACTGTGACCTGGGCAGAAGGAGGACCATCATGACCCCTACGACTGTGACCTGGACAGAAGGACCATCACGACACCTAGAACTGTGACCTGGGCAGAAGGACCATCATGACCCCTACGACTGTGACCTGGACAGAAGGACCATCATGACACCTAGAACTGTGACCTGGGCAGAAGGACCATCATGACACCTAGAACTGTGACCTGGGCAGAAGGACCATCATGACCCCTAGAACTGTGACCTGGGCAGAAGGACCATCATGACACCTAGAACTGTGACCTGGGCAGAAGGAGGACCATCATGACCCCTATGACTGTGACCTGGACAGAAGGACCATCATGACACCTAGAACTGTGACCTGGGCAGAAGGACCATCATGACACCTAGAACTGTGACCTGGGCAGAAGGACCATCATGACACCTAGAACTGTGACCTGGGCAGAAGGACCATCATGACACCTAGAACTGTGACCTGGGCAGAAGGAGGACCATCATGACCCCTATGACTGTGACCTGGACAGAAGGACCATCATGACACCTAGAACTGTGACCTGGGCAGAAGGACCATCATGACACCTAGAACTGTGACCTGGGCAGAAGGAGAACCAACATGACCCCTACGACTGTGACCTGGACAGAAGGACCATCATGACACCTAGAACTGTGACCTGGGCAGAAGGACCATCATGACACCTAGAACTGTGACCTGGGCAGAAGGAGGACCATCATGACCCCTATGACTGTGACCTGGACAGAAGGACCATCATGACACCTAGAACTGTGACCTGGGCAGAAGGACCATCATGACACCTAGAACTGTGACCTGGGCAGAAGGACCATCATGACCCCTACGACTGTGACCTGGACAGAAGGACCATCATGACACCTAGAACTGTGACCTGGGCAGAAGGACCATCTGGGACCTGCAAAGAAACCAGAGCGAAGTGTGCTGGGGCTTCCGGGGTCTACGGTGGATCCAGCACGGGGCTCCACTTCCCGTGACATGGCACAGACACGCAAGTGCGTCAGCTCGGACACCATTTGTTGTGCACTCAAACTAGGCTAGATCCCATAGTCAGTAGGTAGGTGTTGAATTTTCACTCAGCAGCAAGGATTCCTCATGCCAAACTTCGGTTGTTTCTGTCACACCCCCGAGAAAGGTGTGTCATGCAGCTTCCATTGTGTTTGTGAGCCTGAAATAGTCCCTGTTCCCCAGGTGAAGTGTGAACGTTAAAGAACTACATTTGGGATGTCCCAGACACTGATTCCCTTTGAGGTTTGTACAAGTGTTCAATTATCTCCACGGACTCAGTTTAACTATCTATAAAATGGAGTTGATCTCATCCAACTCACAAAAAGGTGGTGTAGATTCATTTAGCTTATTTATTTATTTTTGAAAAGCACATGGCAGGTGAATAACACTACTGGAGCACTAAGCTTGAAGAGCGGAAGGCAAGTTGTTGGCCTAGGGTTTGCGCCTGGCTCTGAATTCCTAAGCCCCTGCTCAGTGAAGCCCTTCATGTTACTTTAATGCAGTTGAGGTTATGTGTTTGCTTGTTTGAGTTAATTGAACCCCCATTGATAGTGAGATGCTGCTCTTATGCCAGCCCCGTGGGCAGGCCCGAGGACAGTGGAGTGGGTGGTGCCCGCCCAGCGGATGCAGGCAGAGCTTTCCAGGAGGCAGCAGGGGCTGCACTTGGTACACCCTGTGTCAGAGCATTGAGCTCGGCTAATCCTCTCCCCTCTCGCTCCCCCTGCTGAGTTCATCATACTTCACCTGGTGTCTTCCTCCCACTCTTCTGAGTTCTGCAGACATCTTTAAGAAACTCAATGCATGCCAATCAGTGAGCACACGTTTCCACTGTGCTCTGTGTTGCCACTGTGTTGGCAAACGGATCCAATGCCAACAGCAACCCAAAACAGCATATTTTGAAATAAAAGCAAAACTGAAAAGTATACTTTACAATGTTAATAGTTACTACAAATAATTTTCTCCAAAAAAGATTCCATTGTTTTCCTCTTGTGTAAATGCAGAATAGAAACTAAAATTAATTTTAAATACTTTAAATGCAGTTTTCAGTTAGTGATCTTTGTAAAAAAAAAGCATTTTAAGTGCTTGAGGCACTAAAAAACCTATTATTGTGTTACTGACACCACATGTGTCTATATATGTCTGCCTGTAGCTCTAGCTTGCCAGCTGATAATGGCCGACATCTCATCTCCATGCTTTAACGAGAAGATCAGCCCAGAAAGTATCATTCCAGGAGCACTGAAAAAAGAAGAAAAAGAGATTTTAAATGGTCTTTAGTTAGAACAGCGTTGTTTTCGTTATACATTCCTTTATGTTTTGTTTCCTATTTTTAAAAAATAATAATTGGTGACTACAATTCTAAAACTCAGGCATCATTAAGGGTGTGTACAATATAAAGACAAAATTAAGTTATTACACTACTAACTAGTACTAAAATTATAGTAACTACATTTTTAAAATTTTAGTTTTACCATTTTCTGTTCTCATGGAAATTATGCATAGGATACAAGTTAATGTCTTCCCTATTAAAAATAAATACAATGAAAGGATATCATAGCTGTCAACAAAATGTAAAATTACTAGCTTTAGATCTCAAAAGCAAGAGTTTCCAGAGGAGGCCTGAGCTTCTGTACTTGCAGAAGGGCCTAAGAACACAGTTTTGTGATGTGCCAAATAGCACGGCAGGATTGGTCGAGCGTAAGGTTAATGGATACATCACTATCTACTGGGCAGGCCTCCAAAATATTAATTCCTTTCCAATGAAGTTTATAAAAGAGTCTCTGCAATCTTGTTCCTTATTTCCAATTTCTCCGCTGCCTCTCCAGTGACTATCATCACAGCTTTTGAATGCACCCCCATTGGAGGACGCTCGGTGTCTCCCTCAGTTTCCTGCCTTGCATCCAACTTCAAACAGGCAGGTTCCCTGGAGAACAAGCCCATCGCCATCAAATCCATGTCTGGGCTCTGGGTGGGGGTCAGCGGGAGCCCCACGGGCAGGGTCTCCGCCATGGCACTGGGATGCTGAAATAGCAGCATTTGACACATTTAAAACTTGCTGTTTGTGCAATCACTAAAAACTGCACCATTAGCTGAAAATCTTGCATGAGTGCAGATCATTAAGTGTTATTACAGTATTAATTATTAGAAATGTCCTGTACTGCCCAAATTAAATAGGGATAGTCAACGACCTGCGAGTTTCCAATACCATGGATAATTTAACCGGAGATCTGCTACGCTGGGTAAGGTGTCTTCATAGGCCACTCACATTATTTCACATTAAGTACCAACTGGGTATCTCAAAAGAAAATGAACAAATCAGACCCTAATATTTTCCTATGGCAACGTTGCCACAGAAACTTTTAGGGAAAAAGAAAAAGGTGAGATGAGGCAGGAACTGATGTTGATGTTTCCATGATAACTTCATGCTGGATACAGAAAGTTGACTAATTGTGATCAGCATTTTCACAGTGAGGCACCTCTCACCATCGGAGTGATTTCACGCAATTTCTGTGTCTAATAATCTGTGTTAAGTTGATAAAAAAGAAAGTGAAATGAACATCAATATTAAGGGCCAATCCAGTCAAAATTGGATGAATATTTTTGAAAGCACCTTTGACTAAATACACCCAGTCACTTCCAAATTGTTACAGAAACCGGGTCTGAAAATCCCATCAATCACTTCTTTGTGGTAAAGTGTGTTTTTGCAGTTGCAGGGAATGACATCCAGGTCCACGAGGAAGCTGAGAACTCCTACCCCTGGGTACAGCCCAGGCCCGGCCTTGGTGGACGAGGGCAATGTGGCCCGCTCAGCTTCTGGTCCCCGGCTCGGAGGCCTCTTCCCTCCTCCCTGGTGCGTTTCCATGGCAACCACCCAGCCACCTAGACACGTTCAGCTGGTGCTCCCACTGCAACCAGAGCTGGTGTCTGGGCATTTGTGCATCTTCCTAATTAAAAAGGAAAACCAAGAAAAAAATCTGTTTTTTAAAAATAAGGGGGAATTTTTTCATCAGATACATAGTATCAATGTTTATACATAATTAGATAGTTTAATGCAATAATTTAGCTCTGATGTAGATGTGTTAATGTACAAGCTACTTAACATTTTGTGGCCCAAGTTTTCATATTTGTGGAAAAAATATCTCCAACGTTCCTTCCACGGAGGGAGGCTGGCATGAGGCAAAGGGCCAGGACAAGGCTTCTAAACCTGGCTCCAGCGCTTTCAGCAGCCCGCCAGCTGTGCTCCTGGCTCCACTGCCGTTCTTACCTGTAAAATGCTCTAAGCATTAAATAAGAGCATGGAGACAGAGCTCCCGATTGCACAGCCCTGATCAATGTAAATGCAGGGTCTTCCTTCCTCATGTGCCTTCTCTTCTCAAATGTGAAATTCAAGCCTACAGTGACCCACAGAACAGTTGAATGGCCACAGAAGTCATTCACAGCAGCTTTAATTTAACAAAGTCCTTTATGGTAAGTAACTTTCTGTCCCGAAGAACGCCACACCTGCCTAAATGGGCCATGTCTTATCTACAAGTTAAAGCAGAAAAGGATCGGAAGCAGGCAACAATGTCAACTGGGTACAGAGGATGTGGGTTCAAATCCAGCCTCTGCCCCATGGGGTTTTGTAAAACAAAATGGATCAAAATTAGCTCAAAGCTTTCACAACAGGGCCTGAGAGTTGTTAGCTGTCACAAATAATAGCTTCTGACAGTTCTATCTGATGATATAAATGGTATGGAAAGGTAGAAGCTTCAAGTTGGTAAACTATAAGCTCTGTTAATATTGTATCTCCCTAGAGTCTCACCATAGGAAAAGAGTCACTATTATTCCCTTGCCCCAGTAAGGAATGTTGAGGTCACAGAACTTAAACTTCTCCAAGGTCACACGTTGAAGAGCACTTGAACTTGGGCCTATGCAGTCAGAGCCAGCCTTCCTTCCATTAGTTCACAGAGGGCTTGTTTGAGGTCTCCAAAAAAAAAAAAAAGCAAAAAGTGGAAACAATTGTAGATTTTAAGAGGAAAATGTGTTAAGGACAAAATAGCAAAAGAAGTAAATCTATGGCAATGAAAGCCTCCAGGCTGATGTTGGTTCCCTGGAGCGTGGTTTCAGTGAAATACAGGTTCATCAGCCCCAGTGGCTACATTGCAGGGAGACACCTATCAGCTTCCTACGTCTAGAAATTCATAGCCCTTTCTAAGAGCATTCAGATACGGTTTGCAAAATCTCTGTCTGGAGCATAGGCAGTATTATGCCAAGCACAGCAAGCCCCTTAAACTGCACAAACATCTTTATCCCTCCTCACTCCTGTCTTGCCCTGATTTCAAATCTGCATCCTGCCTCAGGATCCTGGAGAGCCAATAGAAGATGCTGGGTGGTGTCCTGGGTGCTGGTGGTTGGGCAGCAGGGGGAGGCCAGGGCTGTGGGTAGTAACTGTCACGTGGCCAAACTCAGAGGGGGCAGCGTCAAAGAAGTGTGTTCCCCCCTCCCCCTCCCCATCCTTCCTTCTCCCTCCCTGCTCTGCAGCACCCAGTATGTGGGGTTACATGGAGAGGAAAAGATGAGATGGAGAGGAGGAAGAAATGCTGCAGGAACACAAAGGAGATGTGTTGTGGGCTCAACAGACAATGGCTCTGAGAAGAGCAGGGGACAGCTGCACCTGTGGGTGCTCAGGGCCCCCAGAGCCTGTTAGACCCAGGCAGCCCCAGACCCCTGCTCCAGGGATCCATGGCACGTTGCTTGGCTGAAGAGCTCTAACAGCTAAAAAGAGCCGAGGCAGCCTGACCAGGAGGTTCAGTCTTACTGCATCCATTGGCCTCTTCTTAAGTTTGGTTGCTCACACGCTGTTGTTAGAATTTTAATAATACAGGGTGTGTGATGGGTTCAGATACTTTGGTCTGATCCAATTCAATCCACCCTTAGTTGGACAGAAATTAAACACATTTTCTATAATTTTTAAATTTTTTTTATCAAGGGAAGACATGCTATCTTAATACCTTCACCACAATGTTTGCACTATCATCCTTTCTATCAAACCAAAACTTTTTAGAAACGTAGTCTTCATGTTTTTTCAGTTGCACAATTCCAGACAACAGAACAAAATCCAATGTGCTGCTCAGAAGGTAGCCGGGCAGAAAACCACCTCCTGCTGCAGGAAGGCAGGAGCTGCAGGAAGGCAGGAGCGGCAGGAAGGCAGGAGCGGCAGGAAGGCAGGAGCGGCAAACAGTGGGTTTTCCTTCCTCAGTCTATTCAACGCCATGAGGTGGGAACGCCACAGCCCACACAGGCAATTTAAAAGCAAACACTGTCAAGCACTGTCAGTTTCTTTCTGTTATTTCAAAAGATGGAGAAGAAATTAAACATAAAAACTTGTTAAAGCAAAGTTCAGATTACAAATTTAAGCACAAAATGTCAGTAAATGCAAATGCCAATGATCTCACTGTAACATTAACTTAAACACATTTCACATCCTGGGCACGTTAACTGTAGGTCTGAAAGGTCTAATTAGAAACTTAAGGTATTATGGGCGATAGGGATGAATTCTTTTATTCTGAGTGCATGCATTTCTTACAGCTTTACGCCTTTAAGTAGTAAGCACCTTGAAAGCAGGGATTTTCCTTCCATTCATCCTGTGTCGTGTCAACCAAAACTTGTTGATGCAACAAAAATAAAGAACTCTAGGAAAATATTCCCTTTACATCCCATTCCTGGGCAGATTGAGGAGCCAGAAGCAGTACAGTCTTGTATTCTATCAGGGATCAGGTGCTGTTTGACTCACAGTGCGTTCACCCATCTCACTCTGACAGCTAACGGCTCCACAATGTCTCTGCCTCTGCAGGCACTGAGTAGACTCTCCTGTATTATATTTAAAAATATTTTCCTAAAAACTATTTTAGCTTCAGTTTGAGCTCCTCTTTTTTAAAAGTTATTTCTTATTTTGATTTTTTTAGGAGAAAAAAATTTAAAACACCAGTAATGATATTAGAAAAAATATATATATAATTAGAAAAAATAGGCCTGTAAGTACCATACCCTAGAAAATCACCCATTTTTCTGTCCTCATTTTTTCCTTCCTTTCCTCATTAATATAAAGCATAACTTTGCACAGTTGACAAATAATAGTACAAACATATACACGTTATATTTATTTCAATAGCTGCACACACATCCATGTTTGATCTGTCATTGTCTAACTGTTGCAATACCCTTGGACATTTTGAAAGTGTTTTAAAAAATGACACAGTGGACAAGCACTGCACTAGCACTTTGGGACTGATTTTTCTTTATGTCTTTTTTGTTATTTTTTTATTTAATATAACCCTTGAAAGCCCTCATAAGCTTGCAGAGTTTTCTTAGAATTATGTAGATAAATCAGAAGAGAGCCACATTTCTATCATGGTTACAATTTATTATAAGTTATCTATTTGACCAAAAGTTCTAAAACTTCATAAAAAGCACATGTAGAACTGTCACCATCTTTTCAAATAGACCTAGAATTGTCTCCAATTTTTATGATTCATAATAACTAAGCTACTAAAAAAATTCTGAAATATTTTTAGGTTAACATTTTTTAAGAACCCTAAAATATATACTTATTACAAATATGATTAAGAATTAATAAATTTAAAACCCTTAAAAATAGTAATTCTATTATTTCTAGGTGATTTTCTAGGGTATGGTACTTATAGGCATATTTTTTCTAATTCTTCTTTTTTTTTCTAATATCATTACTGGTGTTTTACATTTGTTCTGCCAAAATTACATAAACAGATAATTAGATAAAGTGAAAAATAAGTGAACTGAACATTTTTCAGTTATTTCACTTGCTAAATGCAAAAATGCTAAAAAAAAGATAGCATTTTTCACCTATCATATTAAAAACACTCTGATATTAATCAGTAATGCTTAAGAAAATATTATGGAGAAACTTGAGGAAGACTTTTAACTTAGCTTGAGTGAACCAATGATTCTTATTCTAGTGATCTACCCAGATGGAGGAGATGATAGTAGATAGATAGACAAACAGACAGATTGATGATAAATACATAGATAGATAGATAGATAGATAGATAGATAGATAGATAGATAGAAAATAGATAATAGAGATATAGAGGTAGATATTCACCTCAACATCATTGATAATGGAAAAAATTAAAATTGCAACATTTCAGAAATAATTCCATAAATCCATAAATTACGCATACATTCTTGTGAAAGATTATGATAAGACAGGGAAAACATATTTACGATAGTTTTTAATGGTGTGGCAATGCTGATTATATAATATTACTTGAAAAGAGCAGAGTATGAAAAAGATAATTTTACCTAGAAAAGACTAAAGGGAAAATTTCCAAGTAGTGAAACATTTGTCAAAATATCTAATTATGGATTTTTTTTCTGATTCTTTCCACTTTTATAGAGATTTTTTTCAATAATAAGAAAGTCTTATTTTGATCACTCAGGAAAAGGTAATTTATCCATAGTATCATTCTAGTATCTCTCCCCCCTTTAAAAAATGCATTAGTGATTGTATTTATCTTTTACTGTCTAATTCTTGCATTGAAATGATCAAATGAGGATACTTTATACTATTTAACTGCAAAATATAACATTCATATGGAAAAGTGCATAAATGTTTTATTTTACAAGTAATTATAAACAGAACATCTATAAAGCCTTAAGTGAGGTAAAAATTACCTCGTTATTATCATCCCACCAACTAACTTGTAGGCTGGATCATATGTTACATATATTTTCAACTCTGTGCATCGCAAGACCTGATAACCATGCTCCCATCTATGCTAAGTCTTCCCCAGGGCCTGAGCCTCAGGCGTCCCTTGCCTTGGTTCTCCCAGCATGATATGGTTTGGCTCTGTGTCCCCACCCAAATCTCATCTAGAAATGTAATCTCTACGTGTCGAGGGAGGGTGGTGATTTGATCATGGGGGCAGCTTCCCCCATGCTGTTCTCATGGTAGTGAGTGAGTTCTTACAAGATCTGATGGTTTTATAATTGTTTGGAAGTTCCTCCTTCACACTTCTCTCTCCTGTCACCTTGTGAAAAAGGTGCTTGGTTCCCCTTTGCCTTCCACCATGATTGTAAGTTTCCTGAGGCCTCCCCAGCCATGTGGAACTGTGAGTCAAGTAAACCTCTTTCCTTTATAAATGACTCAGTCTCAGGTATTTCTTTATAGCAGTGTGAGAATGGACTCATCCACAGCACTTTGTCCTGGCTCCTCTTGAGACAGCCCACATCGCCCTAGGGCCAGGCCTGCGTGCACATCTCCCTGTTAAACATGACGTCAAGCACACTTTGAAAACCTGAATTATAATACCTTGACCCTTCCTATATGTATATGTTTCTCTCCTTCCTTTCATAAATGGGCTTCTCAAAGGAGGCATCAGTAAGGTATTTAACTCTCCATTTTCCTCACCTTGATGGTTTTTAAACTTTTTGGCTTCAGAATGCCTTTGCTTTCTGGACAATTACCAAGTTCTCCAAAGGGCTTATGTTTATGCAAGTTTTAACCATCGATATTTACCATATTAGAAATTCAAACTGATAAAAATGTTAACTATTTAATAACTCAATGAAAAATAACAGTGGTAGGCCAGGCACGGCGGCTCATGCCTGTAATCCCAGCACTTTGGGAGGCCTGGGCTGGCGGATCACAAGGTCAGGAGATCGAGACCATCCTGGCTAACACGGTGAAACCCCCTCTTTACTGAAAATACAATAAATTAGCTGGGTGTGGTGGCAGGCGCCTGTAGTCCCAGCTACTTGGGAGGCTGAGGCAGGAGAATGGCGTGAACCCAGGAGGCGGAGCTTGCAGTGAGCCTAGATTGTGCCACTGCACTCCAGCTTGGGCGACAGAACGAGACTCCGTCTCAAAAAAAAAAAAAAAGAAACAACAGTGATAAATGTAGTACATATTATCATAAATATAATTTTTATAAAACTATTTTTCAACAACTAAGAATAAATAGAAGAGTGGCATTGTTTTACATATTTGCCAATCTCTTTAATGTCTGCCTTAATAAGACAAACATATTGGCGTCTGCTTTCAAAGTTTTCTTTTGGCTGAAGTAGATACGGAAAATGTAGCCTTGCACAGATGCAGAGCTGGAAAGGGGAGTATTTTAATATCTTCTCAGATTACTGTGCACGGTGTTTCCTGAAAATACACTAAAACTCAGTAAAGTGTTAATTTCTTAAGATGAGTTGGAATCAGACACAGCAATGAACTTTTCATACTTGGAAAAAACAGTCTGTCATGCACATGGAATGAATCTTCTATTGTGATTTTGTGATACCTTCCAAATGTTGACCCATTCAATATGCAACATGAAAACACTGCATTAATTAATATCACTGCCAATCTCATCAGATAAACATGTAAGTGTTGGGGTGCTGTTGAACCGAGTCATGCACACTTGCAATGGAACAAGAGTAGAAAATAATATAACTAATGTCACAATAGGCCTCGTGGTTTTGGCCTCGTGGGCCCCTGAAAGTTCTCACAGTCCCCCAGACATCCTTGAACCATACTCAGAGAGTGGTTTATCTAATCAATAATTCCACAAAAACAATGTTTATTAATTCCTGAAGAACCTCCATGACTAGGTCCCAGGCATGCTTCTGTTATCAACTGGGGGAATTCTCTCCATGGTGAAACAACCTCTTCTCTTAGCTTCTGTTCCAAAGGTTCTCCAGGTTTCCTCTTACCCTTCTAGAAAATTTTATGTTTTCTGATGTAAAAGTTTACATCTTCCCTTATCAGACATTGAATTCTCAGGTTCTTCAGATGTCTGCCCAGGTCCTCTCTACTCACTCTGTGCTGTCCCCTAGGAGAAAATCTGATTTTACTTCCTGCCCAAGCAAAGAGAAGGAACTCACTCACTTCTCTCCTAGGCTTCTCCCAGCTCTAGGTCTGGCTAAACTCCACCTGTGACATAGTTGTGTGCACATCGTAAAGTTGAGATCCCCTCCTCAGCTCCCAAACTTGGTCACTTTTACCTTCGTTACTAGCTGCATCACCTCATCCTGTCTCCAAGCCATTCTTGAAGTCTGCTCCTTCGCTCCTCTCCCAGGTCATTGCTAGTCTGAGCCCCTCTCTTCCAGCCTCTGAGTGGTCTTCTCAGTGGACTCCTCAAGTTGGCTCTTCCTCCGCCCTTCATGTCCGTGCTTGGCTGGCACAGGTGACTCTTTCAAGAGCATGAACTGGTTTCCATCTGTTGCTCCACATTCTGGCTTCAGCTGAGTGTGACATCCTGAAATCCACAAAGGACAGGGTCCTTCATGAGGTTTTCAGGCTGCCCACTGCCCAGCCTTGCAGCCTCTCCAACTCCTGTTCATGCCACGACACCCCAGGGGTCTCCGCTCTCCTTCAGTTTCTGGGACATGTGTGCACCCTGTCTTGGATGGTCTTTCTCCAAATCTTTGCTCAATTGTGACTTTATCATGGAGGCCACACCCATGGGCCCTGAAAGATCAAATCCTTCTATTCTTTGCTCCTTGGTCACACAGGGATCCACAGTTAGTTTATTTACATGATTCTTTAACAAAACTGTTTTGAGTTGAAGGAGTTCTTTCTGTGTTCTTGGGACAAAGGATTTGTCAGATGTATGTTTTAGAAATATTTATCTGGATGTGTAGCTTACATTTTTTTTCCTAACATCATCTTTCAAAGAACAAAAGTTTTTAGTTTTGACTCCAATTTATCAAGGTCTTCTTTTATGATTTGTACTTTCTTTTGTACTGCATGGAAACCTTTGCTTATTTTATTAGTTTGTTCTCATGCTGCTAATAAAGACATACCCGACACTGGGTAATTTATAAAGGAAAAAGATTTAGTTGACTTACAGTTCAGCATGGCTGGGGAGGCCTCAGGAAACTTACAATCATGGCAGAGGGGGAAGCAAACACATCTTTCTTGTTTTTTTTTTTCTTAGACAGAGTATTGCTCTGTTGCCCAGGCTGGAGTGCAGTGGTGTGATCTCGGCTCACTGCAAGCTCTGCGTCCCACGTTCACGCCATTCTCCTGCCTCAGCCTCCAGAGTAGCTGGGACTGCAGTCACCCACCACCTTGCCCGGCTAATTTTTTTGTATTTTTAGTAGATACGGGGTTTCACTGTGTTAGCCGGGATGGTCTCGATCTCCTGACCTCATGATCCACCCATCTCAGCCTCCCAAAGTGCTGGGATTACAGGTGTGAGCCACCATACCCAGCCAAACACATCCTTCTTGACATGGTGGTAGCAAGGAGAGGTGCAGAACAAAAGGGAAAAAGCCCCTTATAAAACCATCAGATCTCGTGAGAACTCACTCACTGTCATGAGAACAACATGGGGTTAACCACCCCCATAATTCAATTACCTCCCACTGAGTCCCTCCCACAACACATGGGGATTATGGGAGCTACAATTCAAGATGAGATTTGGGTGGGGACACAGCCAAACCATATCACTTACATAAAGGTTCAAAGATTATCTCCTGGATTTTCTTCTAGATGTTTCACAGTCTGAACTTCTCTGTTTAGATTTATGTTCCATGTGGGTTTAATTTGTGAGCCTGATATAACATTTGAAGTTAATGCTTTTTAATGCTATGATCTACAGCATCATCTGTTGTAAAAATGATCATTTTCCCATTGTATTACTTAGCAACTTTGTAGAAAAAACAATTGGCCATATGTGTGGGTCTACCTCTGGAGTGTCTGTCTGTTCTACACATAGATATGTTTATTCTTAAGCCAATACTATACTCCCCTAATTACTGTAACTTAACAGTCTTGAAATGAGGTGGCATCAGTCCTCAAACATTTTCTCTTATTTCAAAATTGTTTTGGGTATTCTTCGCATTTGCACATAAATGTATGTGGGGATTCCCAGGAGATTCCATTGCACCTACACACCAGCTGGGAGGAAACTGACCTCTTCATTCAGGTCTTACTTTGTCTTGTGGTTTCTATTGTACAGGGCCTGCACATGGCTTGTGAAATTATCTCCAAGACATTTATGGCTTTGATGCAATTGTTAACACTACTTTTATTCCAAACTCCAAATATTTGTTGCTAGTCTATAAAAACATACCTGACATCTGTATGTGGACCTTGTGTTCTGCTAGCCTGTTAAACTGGCTTACCAGCTCTAGCAGTGTTTCTGTAGGCTCCTGAGGTGTTTCTGCATATTATCATGTCTTCTGCAAAGAGAGATTAATTTTTCTTTTCATTCTGTATTGCTTTTATTTATGTATTTTTGCCTTATTGCACTAGCTCGGGCCTTCAGTTCAGTGCTAAATAGAAGTGATGGAAGTGAAGATCTTTGCTTGTTCCTGACCCTGGGGAAGCACTTAGTCCCAAGCAATTAGTATGAAGGCAGCGGTGGGATTTTGTAGGTGTCCTCTCTCGGGGTGAGGTGGTTGCTTTCTAGTCCTAGCTTAGTGAGAGTTTTTATAATAAATGCCTGTTGCATTTAATCAAGTACTTTTTCTGCATCTGTTGAGATGATCTTTTTCCCTTTATTCTGTTAATAAGGTGAATTAAGTTATAAAATTACAAATGTTAGATTCATGAGATAAATATCACATGGTCATGATATATTATTTTTATATTCTCTGAACTTTGATTTGTTAAATTATGCTAAAGATAGTTGTATCTGTTCATGAGAGAGATTTATCTCCAGTTTTCTTCTTTTGTTCTATCATAGATTGTACTGGAGTAAATGCAGGGGAAGAGAAAACCTCTCTCCTGCTCTCTGAAGGTTAACTGAAATGAACTGACAACAGACAGATCAACAGGAGAAAAAGTACATGAATTTCTTAATGTGCAAGTGTGCATGGGAGCAGTACAAAGTATCAATTCAATGAAGGGCCAGATGGTTGAGGCCTAAATACCCTCTACCTAGGAGACAGGGAAATGTGGAGGAGGCGTAGGCAGTTCTGAGGGGTAGTGAATGTGTTTTCAGGAGAGTTGAATGGGCCAAAGAACAGACAATGGCTTGTGAGAAAGTCAGCCTATGTTGACAAGATTCCTCACTCTTGCCGTGTGAACTGAGTTGAATCCTCTTTAGTTAATGAAGTGTCCCGGTGGGGATTGAAGAAAGTTGTGCTCTTTCTGCATGGGTTTCAGGAAAGGACCTTCAGAGAGTGAGTTCCACCCTGAGGTGGAAGGAGAAACAGGGAAGATCAGAAAGTCCTTTGTCCCGAGGCTGCTTCTCAGGCCTTTTCACTTCCTTTAGTTCAACATTCTCAGTGTGCCAAGTGCCAGACTGTGGAGTGTCATTTTCTGAGCTCATAAAACCCACTGGGAATTGCACCCATAGAAGTCAGCTTTCTATGAAGTTTGTATATTGTTATTGTTTCTTCCTTAATGGTTTAAAAGTATTCACCAGTGAAGCATGCTAGATATTAATCACTCTTTATGGAATATTTTTAAAAGAAAATTAAATTTATGTAATTACTACAGGCTTATTCCAGTTTTCTGAATTTTCTGAGTTTGGATAATTTGTTTCATTAAGTTGGGAAAACATTTCATCATTCTTTCTTGTCCTCATCTTCCTCTTTCCTTCTGGGGCCCTAATTATACCCAGGTAGTGCATCTGAAGATGTCGTACAGCTCACGAGGCCTTTGTTTGTCTCTTAGATACCTGACTAGATATCAGTTTAGATATCTCCTCTTGCTGTACCTTCTAGTTGGCTGTTCTTATCTTCTGGAGTATCTAATATTCTGAAGCCTTCAGATGAATTTTTCACTTCAGATATTACAGTTTTTATTTCTAGAAATTCTATTTGTTCCATGTGTGCACCCTTTTCCCCATGTTTTGCCCATGTTTTATCTTAAAACCTGGAGCATATGGAGTATATTGACACTAATTGTTTATGAGCTAATCCCACCATTTCTCTCATTTGTGAGTCTATTTTCATTTACTTTTCTACTACTGATAAGGGCTCACACTTCTGCTCTCTTACATATTTGATATTTTTGTTTGGATCCTGGGCACTATGAATATTATGTTTTTGAGTGCCTGAGATTTGTTTTCCTCTTTAAAGCTGGCCCTTCCTGTGAAGGGTAAGATGGTAAATTTTAATATCTCACACTTTGCAAGCCATCTGGTCTCTGCTGCACCTGCTCAACCTCACCACAGCAATGCAAAAGTAACCATAGACAACATGCAAGCAAATGAATGCTGCTGTGTTCCAATAAAACTTTATTTAGAAAGCCAGGTTGTACATCCAACTTAGCCCTTGTGCCATAGTTCGTCAACTCTTGCTTTAAAAAGTGGTCAAGCATGTTTTAATTTAGTTAGGCAATTAGTTGCTCGTGAACTTGCTTGGTCCTTTCAAAGGAAGAGATAGACTACCCTTTGCTCGAGGAATAGTTTAGCCCAAATGCCAAGATGTGGGTTCTTTTTTTTGAGGATATCTACTCTATGTACCAGTGATCAGCAGGTAGTTTTTACTATGCTGATTGGAATGTGAGTTCCTCCCACCCAGGAGAGCTCCAAGAACCGTTCAGTTCACCACCCGTGGAGTCCACCCTGTGTGTGTGGGACTTAGTGGTATTCAGTCAAAACTCAATGAGGTACATGTTCCCAGGGCTCATTTTCTGGATTGCTCTGCCCTCTTCAGCCCTTAACCCTGCAAATTCCACCATCCGCGGCCTCCACAGACTCAGATGTTCGTCTCTGCAACTCTCAGCAAAATACACTTTGCTAGAGTTGCCCTTCCTTGTCCTGAGACTCAGAAAGGCCCCAGGGAGACAGCGGGCAATTTCAGGGCTCACTTCTTTTGTGTCCCTCTCTCAGCAATGGCGGTTCTGTGCTGCTTGCAATCCACTGTCTAAACAGTTGCTGCAAAGTGTGTCCAGTACCCACTTGTTCAGAGCAGGAAGCAAATCCTGTCCCTGGCTCTCCCTGACTGCACAGAAGGCTCGGTCCCTCTGATTGTAGTTTATTCAGTGTGTGATTCATCTCATCATTCAGTCAGAAAGGAGTTCAAGTCTCTTCCTTGAACATAGACCTTGCAAAGTGCTGTTAGCTCTTACCATAAAGGAAATACAATTTATTTGTGGTGATCAGCCACACACACAGGAAGTCACCTAGGAGCAATATAAGAGTTAACTTTTCCTGGAACATCAACCAGTGCTGCTTAGAGAAGAGGGAGAGGTGACTTACACTGAACCCTGCAGGATGCGGGGATTTGGGAGAAACAGAGAGAAGGGAATGAATTCCAGATGACAGAAACGGTGCTAGTGAACATGCAGACCCACTTAGAACCCATGGCAAACATTCGAAACCGTAACAATGAGTGAGTACTTAGCTGAAAACCACTGAGAAAAATGAGACCCGGCACTGCATCTAACGGATCCTCCTCTTCCTCCCTCTCTCCCTCCTCCCCTTCTCTTCACTTCCTCCACCTTGTCCTTCTCTGTCAACCCAATTTAGCCACTTAAGTCTTCTCTTTCTCCTTCTGTTTCAAATGTATTTCTCCCCAAGACTTTCATCTCAGCGCCTCTCTTCTCTTTATAAAAGATATGTTTTGGACTTCTTAGCTCAGGCATTTTATGCAAATGCCTACCCAAATCTATTTCTCCCCAAATCTATTGCTATTGTTAGCTTAGGCATTTTGTGCAAATGCCTCCCCAAATCTATTGCTCCCTCTCTAATTTTGACCAAGCATAAAGTGAGCATTTCCACTTAGTGGTAGCGGGTGCCACTATGAGCCACATCCAGGTCCAGCCACGTTCTGTGCATGCCGGTCTCGCCCATGATGGGGGCCTCAGAGCAGAGCTGATGGTGCTGCTTCCACATCTTCCACCCACGCCAAGGGCCACGTCCTTCCTGCTTTGGACAACGCATCCCACAGCCACGTTCTTTTCCCAGCTCCCTGCCCATCATCATTCTATCCTTTTCATCTTTTTGATGTGATTTCAAGAACCCCTCCACTCTTATAGACTCTCTTTAGACCCCTGAAGTAATTTTTTTTTTTTTGAGACGGAGTCTCACTCTGTCACCCAGGCTGGTGTGCAGTGGTGTGACCTTGGCTCACTGCAAGCTCCGCCTCCCGGGTTCACCCCACTCTCCTGCCTCAGCCTCCTGAGTAGCTGGGACCACAGGAGCCCGCCACCATGCCCGGGTAATTTTTTTGTATTTTTAGTAGAGACGGTTTCACAGTGTTAGCCAGGATGGTCTCGATCTCCTGACTTCGTGATCCGCCAGCTCGGCCTCCCAAAGTGCTGTGATTACAGACGTGAGCCACCGCGCCCAGCCTAGACTCCTGAAGTCACTTTTGAAAACCCCTGCAAGATTGCACTTCACAGAGATTTAGTGAGACCTCCCCATATATGGCTCCTGCATGCTCAGACATCTCCCCATTGACTCGAAAATTAACACGGAGACACCCATCAGGATTCAGGATGCCGCACACATTGGGCTAAGCCTCGCAGTCACCCAGGAGGCCCGTGCTCACCTCTGCCACCCACGGATCTGCTCAATCCTCCCGGAAGACGCTCCACTCTTGCCCCTCAGCACTCCTTTGCTCCCTGCACCTGCTGTGCCTGCAGAGCCCCAAGGCCCTCCCCACTCCCACTCGGCTCATGCCCTGTCTCACCTGCCTGCTCTTCTCCATCCTCCAGGGCTGAGGGGCAGAGGACATACATTCTGCACGGAGCAGGCAGAGGCCTCCGTGTGACCCTCATCCCAAAGCCGAAAGCTCCATGACCTTGATAAGTCACAATTCCCCTTGGCCTCAGTTATCTCGTTTGTAAAATGGGCACAGTGGGATAATAAAATGTTATTGTACCAGCAGACAGTAGGTGAGTCCCTCGGATCAGGCTTATGAAGTGTGTGTTTACAGCAAGCAGTAAAGAGATTGCTAAATCGCTTTGTACAAGAAATAAATGATGGTGCTGCAGTAAGAAACAGCTGAAGAGAAACAGGGAAAGACTGAGTAGAGGAGGGAGAGAGGGAGGAGGGGAAGGAGCGGGGGCCCACTGTGTGGCCCTGCCCTTGGTCTCCCTGCGCCCCCCACACGTCCCGCTCCGTGGGCTCAGTCGGGTCTGCGTCCTAAGTGCAGTGCGGTCAGGGGCCTGGGCGCAGCAGGAAGAACCAGGAGAAGCCAGGATCCAGGAGAAGCCACGATCTGACTCCGGACCTGGGGAGGCGCAAAGCCACGGTGGCTGCGGGCCTGGGGGTGACATGGGGCTGGCCCACGGCAGCAGCCTGCGCTCCACAGCCCTCCTCAGCGCTGAGTCCCGCCCCTACCACGTCGGATGCAGAGCCCAGTGCTGCAGCAGAACACAGCCCTGCAGAGAGCGTCCCCGGCTGTCTCCCTCCCCTTGACCTCACAGAAGCGGAGAAGGAGGTGCAGGAAGATGAGCTGGCTCCGGAGGACCCAGGGCGGAGCTGCCGGCCTTTGCAGCCTTCAGAGTCTCCAGGTTCTTCCTCCGCACTTGTGGGACTGAAGGCCGCTGGAGCAGATGACTCACGCTCCCACAGGCTTCGGTCCACACTTTCAGAGAACACGGTGGCTGTGACCGGAGGCTCCACGCGCCTGTCTGAGGAAGATCCTGCTTCCTCCCTGCAGTTTCTGCCGCTTCGCTCCGGCCTCACCGTGCTTTCCCCGTTTCCCTCCCACTGCCGGTGCCCTGTGGCCCCGACCTCGCGTCCCCCTCGCCAGCCCCTAAAGGAGTGGACAGGTGTCCGGGGCTCCCGTCCACACAGTGCGCAGGTCAACACTAGGAGTCGGTGGCTTCTGCGGCCTGGCACGGTCCACGGTGCTGCGGGTTCCAAAACGCCAGGCGAGCCCCACGGCCTGCGGGTGCCCGGGAGGTGCAGACTGAAGGGCAAGACCTTGTCAGAGAGAGAAAGAAGCAATAACGCATCCGATTTCACCTGCTCGCGGAGAGAGCTACACAGCCCACCCCGACACTTTTACACGACGAAAGGGGCTTCGCGGTCCGGCAAGCCTGAGCTGAAACGCAGGTCCATCGCTTACCCTGCAGCAGTTCTTCAAGCTTCGGGGCTTCGGTTTCTTCCTCCACCCCAGGGGGACGGCTGTGCAGGGCCGTGGTGTGGCCTGAGCCGGGCTGCGTTTGTGGCTTCCTTCCCGGCACCTGCTGTGTCCTCGGGGTCTTCGGTGGCCGCTCCCATCGTGGACAGAGGCCAACAGAGGCCACTTTCCATGATACACATGTTCGTCTTGGTGTTTTCCCCGCACACAAAAATAAGACAGGAGTGCCTACGAACATTTTTCTTATATTTGGGGAATTCCTTTTTCCAAATTAGCAGTCTGTGCAATCTACCTGTACACACCCATTTCAAAAGAATGTTCCCGAATGCCAAAGTGAGGATGCTCAGGAAACTCAGGATGATGAAGAAGTCTCTGAAATGGGAGCAGGGCTTCATGCCCTGTTCTGGACATTTCTGCTAACAGACACCAACTCACACCTGACGACCACTGGGAAAAGGCTGTGAGCACTGGGAATCCCATTGGGTGGGGCCCCTCCGACGCAGGAATCCCTTGCTCACGGAATCTCGGTGCTGAGATGTGCCGGAGTGGCCCTGAACCCCTGCTCTCAAGGTCACAGAGCAGGCTCTTCACCAAGAGCCTCACACAGCAGTAGTGGGGGGCGCATCATGATCACACAATCACGGGTGTCCGTGTGCACCCCTGCACGCCTGTCACCCACAGCCCCCCTGCGTGTCTCTGAGTGCCTGTCTGGGGAAGAGCGGTGGGCTGGTTTCAACAGTACCAGAATTTGATGACTTGTATATCAATGCCTTATGTGATGGTGTCTCCACGAGGAATAAAATAAAATGGGGTTGTAGAAGGGGAACGAGAAAGGAACAAATCAGGCTCCCTGGGGAAGCAGCGAGCCACCTGCGGCATAAATACAGAGCCCCACCAGGTACACAAACACCACGGCAGCCTCTACCCATTTTGGAAAGACTGGCTTTCTTCATTTTCTGTCAGCCCAGACTCCGAGAGGCCATGAAGTATAATTATGGATGGCTGAGGTGCCCACAGACGGAGGCGGGTCTGCAGGGACGCCGCAAGGCCCCGGTGAGTGGCAGTGCATTGGTCGTGAGTGGCGCTCAATCACCAAGGCTGCGCTTATGAGGGATCAATGAACAGGAACTCATTACATCCCGACCAAAACTGGCCACAGGACCGGGAAGCCCAGGTAGGCGAATGCGGGTTAAATTATATATTGTCTTTACTGTTGTTTCATTTCACAAAACTGCAAAAGTCCAGGCAACATTTTGTCAGTAAAAAACAATAAAGAATATGAAAAGCCCATCTTCACAGAACATTGGACATTGCAAAACAACCTACAGCTATTATCGGATATATCAAAACTGACACGTAAAACTTTGGCTGTTGATTGGACCATATCTCATGGGGACAGCACCCGCTCGTCCTCATCCCCTCTTGGATGGCGCTGCGTATCCAGAGGACCATAGGCAGAGAGCTGATGAGTTTAATTGAATTGGCAGTATTTGGATGATTGAAAAAATTGGTGACATTGCAAAGCTGGTCACTAGACATTCAGGAGCAGAGAGCTGGAGGAATCGCCTGGATGAGAAGGGATGTTCACTCTGTTCACATACCTTTTATAAAACCAGCACTGCTTTGTGGATCCGTTGTGAATAGATTGACTATTCGTAACTGTTTACATTTTTAAAAAACTAAATAAACTGATATACACATTCACTCTAAGGTCATCAAAAAGGAAATTGTTCACAAAAAGAAAAAAATGATTCCTGTATTTTGTATCTCATGTTTCACTTCTACCCATGGGATACGAGTTCTGTGTTTTCATACGATTTTCCTTCTTTCTAGTACTGCACCAGCAGCTGTGTGTGTGTGTGTGTGTGTGTAAACTATAGCCAAATTAAATCATGAGGAAATCATTAGGAACATTGCATTTTCTTGTGCTGCCTAGAGAAGGAGAAAAACGAACGCACAAAAAGCCAAACACGGATCTGATCCTCAACTACAGATGTGCGAAGAAGCTGGTTATGCAGAGCCGACACCCTGCAATTCCCTCTGGCACACCTAACTCATATCAGGTTGGGCTCATCATTGTATTATATGGCTGCACATCTGCTTCCTGGGTTTCTGAGAGACTGTATTTAAAACATAAAGGTTTGATATTAAGGGAAATAATTAACATGTTTCTTGGCACCTGGCCCGCCGGGACAGAACACCACACCACCTGAAAATGGCAGCCTCTCTAAATATCTCACGTTATCTGGAGCACTTCCTGGAGTAATACAGAAGAATAATTGTGATCATATGCCCTCCCCAAAAAGATAGTCACGTTACAGACACATCAGATAGCTATGTGATCTCACAGGTGCGGACGGTAGGCATTTGGTCACCTTAGTCAACATGCCGGAGGTCAGTTCCAGAGCCTGCTTGACTTGGTGTGAGTTTACTTTAGAAAATGTATCCTATCTCATGGATAAGACATTTACATTTTTCAACTAACTCTGAAAGCCCAAAAGATTTTCGTTTGGAAACATACACCTACACATACCTCAGAAACTTTCACGAAAAGACCATGCCCTGAAATTTACTACCACTTTACGAACATTTACTATTTCCTGCAGTCTCACTGGAGAAAAAGTTTCTAGATTTATCAGGCATCCTTTAATTTTTCATTTCCTTTGATTACACAAAGAAACTCATTCTCATGGGATGTGTGACTTCTCAGAGCAGAGTAGGAACAGCAGAAAGGAGGGTTAGCTGCTGGGCTGTTCATTTTTTCCTTTCCCTCCCACTGTTATGATTATTCTAACATGTGAGTAACAGAATATGTATTTATGCAATCTTCCCCTCTGACATTATTATGACATATTTTAGACTTGATGCATTTTTTCTAATTTTACTTTTAAATGTATAAAACATGTTTATGGCCAGGCATGGTGGCTCACGCCTGTAATCTCAGCACTTTGGGAGGCCAAGGTGGGAGGATTGCTCGAGCTCAGGAGATCGAGGCTGCAGTGAGCTTGATCACACCACTGCACTCCTGCCTGGGTGACAGAGTGAGACCCTGTCTTAAAACAACAACAACAAACAACAACAACAACAACAAAAGAAAACATTTTTATTTTGTTTTAAATTTAGGGAAACTCAAGAAGATATTTAGGGGGTAATTGCTCATCCAGCAGACGCCCTATTCAACCATCTCTGAAGAATGCTGTGTGGCAGTGACCGTCCCCTCAGAAGGTGGTGATCGGTTCCCCAGCAGAGCACATTTGGAGAAGGTTGGAGGCTGGAAAGCGCCCTTGCCCTCCGCACTGCACCATGGTGAGTTCTATTTTTCACCTGTGGACCCCGTGGAATCTGCCCCTGCTTTATTTCTACTAGTGGTTTGCACGGTCAGCTAGCTCAATTCTGGTGCATTTCAGTATTTCCATTGCAATTAGCGTTGCTGCTTTCCCTGTGCAAAGGTGGGAGAGTGACAGGGAGCTCAAACTCCTCCAGGAGAACAGCCGGCCAGTAGAAAGTGATTGAATGATCTCATTTCAGGCTTTTTGTTAGACAACAGGCAGCACTCTATGAAGACTGATACAGAAGTGCTGGGCTTGGCTGGCTGGATCATCAAATGGATTGATATTATACTCCAGCAGCAGATGAAGACAAAGTTAACTGTTATCATACTCAATACAGGGGCTTGTCAGGGGCGGAAAATCACCCCGTGTCACTGATTATGGGAGCGTTTCATGACTGTCATGCGAATTTAGTGGCCAGATGTCCTGGCCAGGCTGCTGGGCCAAAAACTCTTTATTTGTAAGAGAAGTAAAGAACGCCTGCAAGTTCAGCCCGTGGAGTCCCAAATCAAGGCGGCTCTGGCACTCCTGAGACCCCAGATAAAAGTGCAGAATGCCAGGTGACTGATTCGCAGAAAACAGAAAGGTATAAAAACGTCTGCATCTCGGCTCCTAGAAGATGTCCAACTGGATTCCACTGGCAAAGATTTCTGTGTGTTCCCATCTCTGATGCACGTTTCAGGGATAAGAAAGATGCCATGCAGTGAGCTTGATAATTTTGGGGGCAGTAGGAATAACACTGACCACTTATTATATGTATCTTGCTCACTCCTCTCATCGGTGCACACACATACCCCAACAGCAGAGAGGATGTTGTTTCTAGGCTGTGATGGGGAATGGAGACCAGCAGAGACTAAAGCGGCTTGACCTGAGTCACACTCTGTGCTTATGATACCAGCAGGGCTTGAGGGGGGGTTCCCACATCACAAGTGTCATCCCTGCTCCCCTGCTCACACCCATCCTACCCTCCGTGCCCTGCTGCGAGGAGAGCAGGCAGGGCATGAGGCATGTCACCGCACGAAATCACAGGACGGGATGGTTCTGGACAATGCAGACGTGATGTGCCGTCTGTGTCTCCTAGATGCTATCAAACCACAATGGCAAGTGTATGCACACGGCTTCTCTTTCCAAGTACGTCTGGGTAAGGGAAAGCAGCCCCTTGCTGGGAATCACTGTGATCAAGTCCCATCAGGCCCAGCATTCTTTGCTGTGTCCCCAACACACGAAACAGACCTGGGCATGTGGTGGAGGTCCACACTTACTGAGTAGATCGTTACTTCCCAACGACAAAATCTAGAAGGTGGCTGGGGGTCAGTGAGGAGAAGCAAGACAGGAACCCAGTTCATGGAGAGCCTCAGACACCAGAGAGGGCCCAGGTGTTACTCCAGGTTCGGAGGAAGCTGATGGAACATTTCCAGTGGGAGAGCTTTATTATCTGATTTATTTAAAAATAAAAACATCGCGGTGGAACGTGACGCGGCCGCGGTGGAACGTGATACTGCGGGAACGCAGATCACAGGGACCAAAAGCAAAGCAGAGGCAGCTGCGAGCAGGGGCGGCTGAGCCGACCTGGGGCAAGGGGGGAGAGGGGGCACAGGGAGGGCGGCTGTGCTTGAACCTGGGGTTTGAAGTGGAACCAGCTGGGCCTGAGAGGGCTGGAACCTGGGACCAGGAATGAGAGGAAGTCCTGCACTGAGCAGCAGCAGGGATGAGGATGTTGGTGGCCACTGTGGACAGTATCAGGGTAGGACGAGGGATGTGTGTGGGTCTAGGATCAGAAGTCGAGAGTTCTAGTTTAATCGGACTCAACCTGAGATGCCTGTGAAGCTTTCAGGTGAACTTCAGCTCAGAAAGTGGTAGCTGGCTGTGTACGTGTGGGAGTTCAGTCCCAACTGGGTGCCGTTAAAGCTGGGTGGAGACGTGCAGGGAGAGACGTGAAGGTGGCTCAGATCCACCAGAAAGAAAACCAAGGTGAGAGGCTGGAGGGCATTTTGTCACTCTCCGGACTCTGCTGCCCTACACTAAAACCCCGTGAAGGGGAAGAAGGGATAGAGCGGAAGAGGACCTTGCAGTGGGTCCTGCTGACCCTCTTACGCAGACCTCCTCTCCGACTGCATGTGTCTGTTGTATCTCTGAAGAACCCTGAAAGCCCCTCTCTTTCCTTTAATCATAAAACTCTTCTTGAGAAAGCAGCGCACCCTCGCTGTCTCCACATGTCAATCATCTGTCACCGCTTGGCATTCCGTCCTCTCCCTACCCGATCCCACCCGTGGCTCTCTGTAGTGGCCCCAGTATGCTGCCTTTTGTTCTGATGACATTTAAAATAGCAGCAGGAACCTGCTGGGAGACAGCAACTTTCGTGAAAGGAAGGTTGACCATGGAGGAAAATAAAACCAAACTGTTTTTGAGTCCTGGATCTGCAGTTCTCTAGTTTCTTGATCATGCACATTTTATTTTCTTTGTCTGCATAAGTAAACATGATTTTCTTCACCTGTCAGAGAATTCTTCCAGTTCTTCTCTCACACACAGAGCAGGATATATGGAGAATGCTGGCAACCTCAGTTTTTCTGGGCCCTTTCTCTTTCCGGATACATAAGAGCATTTGTCTCCCCTGCCCTGAGAGTGACGATGGTCCTGGAACTTGACTCGGCCACTGAAACGTGGGCAGAAGTGATGTATGCTGTTTGCAGGAAGACGCACTTACACATCAATGCAGGTCCTGCACGGCACTGGCCCTTTGGGAAAGGACAGCACAGGCTGAGATGGGGGCCCCAGATCAAAGAAGCCTGGATCTGAGCCCCCCACAGAGGGCGGCTGACCTGGAAAATCACCTTGATCTGCAATGGATTTTGCATGAGTAAAAAATAAACTTTGGTTGCTAAGCAAATGTGATTTAGGCAATTGTTTAAATTGTGGAATGACCCAGCTTATCCTAGAAATTCGTGGGATTAAAGGAGGTAGGGTAATGGAGAGTACTTAATAAATTATGAACTTCTGCCATATAACATGCTTGTTAGCTATCACAGCGGTAAGTCTTTAAATGTAAGTACCTGGTTAATGGGTGGAAATAGCTGCCTAAATTCACTCAATGTTGTCAGCATAGAGGAAGGGACTATCATTTTATTTTTGTGGTTAGCTTTTCATTTATCTTTTCTTTCAACCCAGACTAGCCTGGTTAACACAGGGATTCCTGAAGAAGAGAGGGCAGAAGGCCATTTGCCTGTTTGTTCACCACGTCCCCAGACGTGCATTCATTCAGGTTATGCAGTTTTCTCACCAGGATAGCGGGAAGGGATGCTGTGTTCTGATGGCAACACTCGGCAAAGGTGGGGACTGCAGGCCTCACTGCAGGGTGCTGCTCCCCTCTGGATGTTCCTCAACCTGCTGAGGTGTCCACACCCCACACAGGAGCTCTGCTATGACCACCTGGCATGACCCCCATCCTTCTTGGGCTCTGAGCCCCTGCCCAGCCACCATGGCCCCCAGGCCCCGCCCCACCCAACTTGGCTCCATCTAGTGGATTTTGGAGTGAGAAGCTCAGGAAGGGAAGGGAACCAGAGGAGAGGGAATGACCAGGAGAGAAAGAAGCTGTAGAGGAAATGTTTTTGTCAGATTTTTATCAGCTCAGTTCTATAGCACGTTATTTTAAGTTGATCAGAAGATGGAAATGTATGTAAATATATATATGTATACAGACACACACAACATACACATGCACTTATATAATATTACACTACATATTTATATGCTCTTTTTAATACAAATGGACAATTATTTAGCATGTGCTATTTGTAGACAAATTCTATGGAAGTGTGGTTTCTGAAGGAGCATTATTAATACTGAGACAGAACACAGCATGAAGTCTATTATGGTCTCTGATTCTGTTGGCTTCTCTCTGGACCTTGACTCCAGTGGTCTTATTGACAATGCAAGATTTTTTTGTATTTGAAGTATGGCTTCTACGTCTATATTCAGATGTTAAGATTCCTTTTAAAAATCAAATCCAAGACACACTAATTAGTGATGATATGTTTGAACTGGAAAGAGAATGTACTTGAAAAAATAACCGTGATAGCTCTAAACAAATGTCGTGGGACAAATGAGTACCTACAGAATGTCCCGAAGCACCCTGTGGTCACCATGTTACACACAGACTCCTACACTTGGCCACTTTAAGACAGTTACTGATCTTTCATATTGCTGTTATTTTGGGTGTTTTAAATTAATAATTGGGCTCACCCTGGCAGCCACTGTTTACCTGACCGGGAACTGAGAGGAACCACTTCTCCTGGCGACACCCCTGCCAAAGGAAGCCCATTCACCACTGGGGCTTGGGTAGCCCAAGAGAGGATCTGCTTGATTCTAGGGGGAGAAAAACCACTTCCATCATTTGACAATAAACACACAACCAAGCAAAATGCGTTCAGCTCTGCAGAATGCTGGCAGTTTGATAAAGAGGACAAAGCGTATACTTTGTTCACAATCAGTTATCTCTGACAAACTGAAATCCAAATACTAGAAGACAATTATAACTTTTTTCCAAAGTGAATATAAACTTGTAGCCACCAGTTACCATACATAATGGGACTAAGCTCCCTGAACTGGCATTTCAGCAAAAAGTACAATGTACTTTTAAAGTCAAAATGGCATAATTATTATAAAATACACTTTTGACATGGAAGGAAAATGAAAAACAGATTCCTAAATAATTATCAAATTATTTTCTGACTCTGGCACATTTTTGACAAAGAAGTGTCTGCACAGCTGGTGGGGAGGTGCTGGCCTTTTCCCTGTGCTTGGTGTAAACGTGGCTGTCAACATTTTCATTTAACATTTTTAATGTGATTTTAAACTTAAAAGGACACATTCCTTTGGACTTAAAATGTGATTTTACTTCATAAAATATTTCTTAAAATATGACCACTTTTAAAAAATGGAAAAGTTCCCCACGTCCCTTTAATTTTTAGCAGTGTTTTCATTACACAATTTATTCTTTTCGTAGAAATTCAGTTGTGCGCATTCATCAATCTTTGCCAAAATACTGCTTTTGTCCTGTGTCATTGCAATGTTCTTCTGACCCGAAAGTATAGCTTTAGGAATTCAAAAAAGTCCCGCGCGGTGACAAAAATACTGATCAGCCCTGCTTCCAATATCTTCTAAAATTAGGTTTGTGTTCATACAGCCCACACTATGCCATAAATATTTACAAACGGATTTGGTCATGAGAACCAATGAGGTCTTTTCTTGAGGCAACACAGGTTGGCCTCATTTTAAAGCGAGGTGGCATTTCTCTGTGGCTCCACAGCACAGGGAGCCCTGCCTGGGGCCCTGCTCATGACCTGACCTCTGTGCCTTCCTGGCAGTGATGAGATTCGCCAGAGAAGACCTCCGTGCTTCACCTCCATCCTGCCCAACACAGAGGTCGCCTCTCAGGAGCCACATAGACTCAAGCAAACGTTCCCGCCCTGCGAGGTGCTGACGCTGACACAGAAAAGTTCCCCTGGGGGTCAGGAGGCAGGAGGTTCGGGAAAGGGGAGGCAGCGGCGCTGCACGGGGCCCGCAGGTGGCTTCCCATCTGTCAAGGCTGCTGCCGCGTTTTGGATGAACACAGGCGTGGAGGGAAAAGCAGAATGCAGGGAGCACCCCAGGGTCTCGGGGCTCATTCACCCCGACGAGGGAGAAGCCCCCACCCAGAAACAGCCGCCGCCCCGCTCAGCTTCACGCCGTCTTTCCTTAGGAAGGCTTCTGTCTCGGGGGTCCCCTGAGACCCCACATTTCATCAATTGTTTAAACTTGGCACAGAACCCAATACAATATTTGTAAATGAATAGTGCTGAGAGGAATAAAAATAGCGCCTCATATCCCTGCGGGAGAAACAGCATCCTGTGAGGGGGTCAGGAGGCCCTGGGCAGCATGGTCCCTGCGATTTCCTCCCAGCTCCACACCCTCTCCTGGTTCCTACTCCACCTTGTTCTGCACAGCTGACCGCACGTTCATTCACTAGGAATTCAAATCAGGGCATAGAAGCAACACGATGTCCATAATGCATAAGGAATTCAAATCAGGGCATAGAAGCAACACGATGTCCATGATGCATGCTGGCTGTTAGTAATTTTCAAAGTAGAAAATATGAAGTTAAAATAAAGATGGAAAGTAACACTTACTGTAAAGCTCCCGTGTGCCAAGGCCCTCCCTGAATAGCAACAGGAGAGCGTGGTGCTGATTCAGACACTAGGTGAAGGTCACCTGGCTGGTGGTGATGTGTCACAGAAGCACTAGGAAGTGGCAATCAGGTGAACAGCAGGTGATTAGATTTCCTTGGAAGATGCTCGGTTGTTTTAGTCTGCATCATTTTAAGACATGAATGTGCCCATTTCGCAGAAGTAGAACAGACGACAACGTGTTGCCTTCGTCTCCAATACCTGTTTCCATTCCATGTCGTTCTTGCAGAGATTTCACAATGATGAGAACGTCATGAATAGAAACCACACGGTCTCTTCTGCTCGTGGGCTCCTTTCCTTAAATGACATGGACATAAAACCTCTCTGGGCTCCAGGGCAGGAGGAAGAGAGGATGTGGCAATGTTTATACTTCCACTGGCTCACCTGTTGACTGACGGTCCTCTGACCTCCCCTGTGGTGCTGCTGTTGGTGAAATCCAGCACCAAGTGAGGACCCTGGAGAATACGTGTGTTCGCGGCGTTCCCGCTAAAACCAGAAAAAAAAAAAAAAAGGAGATGAAGAAGATGGAGCCTGGGGCAAGGGAGCTTGCTTGGAGAATATTTTCCATGGAAGCCAAGGGAGCATCCCTCTCCCTTTTGGAGGCACGTCGAGGCCAATTGACTTGACGATGATTTGCTGTTTGGCGATGGCTCCCTCACTCCCGAGCGTGAGTGATGGCTGGGGACAGCTGTCAGAGAGCAGCAGCTCGCCCGCCCAGGCCCTTAAAGTAAAAATGAAAAAAAGGAACTGTTTTTAAAATAATGGAGCTCCCTGGGAAAAATATGCTTCATGATCTGCTTTGTGGGAAGTATTTATTTCTCTCTGTTTGTGAAAGGGGTTTATCAAGCCCAGTGCATTTCTCCACACTAAAACAATAACCTCAAAACCTATACAGAGAAAAAACCTCTGCTGAAATATAGGCACTATGTATATATCACATGTACAGAGGGAGAAAAAGGATGTGAGAGTCTATCTGTCAACCCTTCCCCACGTCCATCTCTCTACTTCTGTCTGTGTCCATGTGAAGCTGAAACCGACGACAGGTGTGAGTGTCCACAGGCTTTGCAGACCTAAGCCTTAAACAGACCCTCTCCCCTGGGCCTGACTCTAACGTCCACAGAGGCCACTATGAACAGAGCTGGCGTGCTGTCCTGCTCCCCCATCTTTTTGCAAGGATGCAGGAGGAAAGCCACGGGCAGGAGGGCTGGAGAGGCCTGGAGGCCGGAGCCCAGCTTCACTCACTTGGGGAGCTCCAGGAAACTTTTCCTGTGATGGGTGTGACTGAGGGAAGGGATCTGTGTTTGCTAATTGCCTGTTAGACCAGGCGTGGAGAAGGGTTGCTGCTTTCTCTTCTAAACATGAAGCATCTGAGGTTCATAGAGGTTAGGGATGCCTGAGGTCATCCGATACTCTCTAGAACTTGGGGAACAGATGAGCAGCTGCAGTGTGCAGGACACCAGGTGTGGGACGGAACGTGGGTGCTCACAGGCCACCCCCAGGAGGCTGGGGCACGGGTGTGGAGCAAGGCAGGTTGGGGAGTGAATCTCAGCTCCAGCTTTCCCTTCCTGAGGGATGTCAGGAGCATCAATTTCCAACTGTGCACCTCACAGGACTGTATTAAATGATAGAAAGTCAAAAATAGAATGTGGGAAAATGTGTGGCCTACATCAAACACTGAGCACGTGCATTGCACTTCACACATGTGTGTACACACGTGACTCTGCAGGTGCTCTGCGTGTCCCAAAATTGTGTACACACGTGACTCTGCAGGTGCTCTGCGTGTCCCACACTTGTGTACACACATGACTCTGCAGGTGCTCTGCATTTGTGTCACACTCGTGCATACAGGTGAATGTGTGGGTGCTCTGAGTGTCCCACACTTGTGTACCTGCCTGACTCTGCAGGTGCTCTGCCTGTCCCACACTTGTGTACCTGCGTGACTCTGCAGCTGCTCTGCGTGTCCCACACTTGTGTACCTGCCTGACTCTGCAGGTGCTCTGCGTGTCCCACACTTGTATACCTGCCTGACTCTGCAGGTGCTCTACATGTCCCACACTTGTGTACCTGCGTGACTCTGCAGGTGCTCTGCCTGTCCCACACTTGTGTACCTGCCTGACTCTGCAGGTGCTCTGCCTGTCCCACACTTGTGTACCTGGGTGACTCTGCAGCTGCTCTGCTTGTCCCACACTTGTGTACCTGCGTGACTCTGCAGCTGCTCTGCGTGTCCCACACTTGTGTACCTGCCTGACTCTGCAGCTGCTCTGCGTGTCCCACACTTGTCCACACGGGTGACTCTGCAGGTGCTCTGCATGTCCCACACTTGTCCACATGGGTGAACGTGCAGGTCCTCTGCATGTCCCAAGCTTGTGCACCACACACCTGTGCACATTTAATCTCATCAAGAGCTGGACTCCTCCCACGTAGTAAAATCCCTCTTTGAAGACACAGAGAGCTCTGAACACGTCAGTCTTCTTAGTAGCAAACCTCACACTCTGAACTGTTCAGGTGGAAAAGTAATTTTGTGAAAGGATATACAGTAGCAAGATTCAGAAACGCACCAGAGGTCACAGGGCTGCGGCAGAGCTCACTGCAGCGCTCCCGGGCCTGCTCCTCCACAGGCAGGTCCTGAATCCACGAGGCCACCACGCTGGTTGGGAGGCAGACCCAGCAGTGCTGCTCAGGATGGAACCCGAGGGCGTCCAGTCCAGGACAAAGGTGGGCAGCTCTCACTGCAAAGATCCAGGCAGTAAGATTCCAGGCTCTGCAGCTGCAGGGCCTCAGCCACTGCTGCCTGACTCCACCCCAGAGCAGAGCCAAAGCAGCCACAGCTGGAGTCGCTACGTACCAAGAAAACCTTTTTGACGGGCACCGACATTTGGATTCTGTGTAATTGTCATATGCCATGAAATAGCCTTTTGCTTAACTCTAACCATTTTAAAATTGTAAACATCATTCTCACCTTGTGATTCATGCAAACACAGGGCTTGGCTGGATTTGGCTCACGGGTTACCAGCCTGGTCCTGGCTGCAAGGACGGTTAAGGAAGGGTTTTATCCAGAATTAACTTTAGAGCAGCACAAGGACCAAAATGTCCAGATACTGGAGTCACACTCAGAAACGCTGTGGAAATAAAACACGGGTGCTTGCCTTATTAGCAGAGAAGCCAACTCTTATTTAATCCAACCTATGCCAAACTCCTTTTATGATTTTGTGGAAAAGGCCATGGAACCTATGGCACTTTTACAAGAGAGGTGTGTGTGTGTGTGTGTGTACATGTGTGTATGTGTGTATGTATGTGTGTGCATGTGTGTGTATATGTATGTGTGTGTGCCTGAGCGAGAGAACGCACTTAAACCTGGGACACGGCAGGAGCCGGATACAGGACAGCTCTCCCATATTCAGAGACAATTTTAGCTGGGGTTTTCTTCCTTTGCTCCACCCGTCTTGCAGTGGGAGAGAAGGAGCAGGCTGTGAAAACTCAAGCTTTTCTTGTCGAATCCCTGGTTTTACAGGCGGGGAGATGAGAGAAGAATCACCCTTTCCACCATGCACAGATATTACAACATGGGTTCCACATGATTGGGGAATGAATGGAAATGTCGTGACTTGGTGAGATCGCCAAGAAGTGATCTAGGTAAATAATTACCTCCAGCGGTGAGAGTTCCTCCGTGCCTGGGCTACCCGCTGTCTTGGGAGGACGTATTCCACTACAGAAACATGGTGGAAGTCACACTCTGCACTGCGCGTTTATATGTGATACGGGCATGATTTATGGAACATTAATTTTTGCCAGGCCCTCTGTTAACCTCTTAGCCCTTATTACTGCATACCATTTCCTACGTAACCCCAGGATTAAATATATGTGTCTCCAAACTAGGGCTTAGGTGGGTTTGGTGACTTGCCAACAGTTACACGGCTGGTAGCAGGCCTGGGAGCCAAAGTCAATTCTACCCTCTGTTGAAACTCACTGATTCCAACAGCATTGATTTTCTATTTTCTGTCTGAGGATGACAGGATTTTTCCCATCCAGCATCTTTAGCCTCGTTGGTAAACTTTTAAATTGTGTCATTGGCACTTTTGCTTCAAGTTGATAGAGCAAACAGTCATTTATCTCTTCTGCTTCCCAAAGCCCCTATTAAAATAGTAGGGAAAAAATGAAGGAGCCTTTACCAGCAAGCATGAAGAGGCCATACATTAGTCTGTTTTCATCCTGCTGATAAAGACATAGCCAAGACGGGGCAATTTTCAAAATAAAGAAGTTTAATTGGACAGTTCCACAGGGCCGGTAAGGCCTCACAATCATGGCAGAAGGCAAGGAGGAGCAAGTCCCGTCTTACATGGATGGCAGCAGAGAGAGAAAGAGAGAGAGATTGACAGAGAGATTGTGCAGGAGATCTCCTCTTTGTAAAACCAACGGATCTCATGAGGCTTTTCCACCATCACCAGAACAGCACAGGAAAGACCCATCATTATGATTTAATTACCACCCCAGATCCCCTCCCACAAAACATGGGAATTTAATTACCACCCCAGATCCCTCCCACAAAACATGGGCATTCAAGATGAGATTTGGGTAGGGACACAGCCAGACCCTATTAGGCCAGGAGAGCAAAGAGTTGAAAAGAGTTTCCAAGCTATTCCAGGAGGACAGGGTGTAGACAGCAGAAGCGGACGGTCAAGGCAGGACAGTGGGAAGTGCAGCCAAGGGGGTGTGAGAAGGGGCTGAGCCAGCAGTGTGTGGGACCGCTCCAGACCCCAGAGGGAGTTCTGGACTCCAAAAGTCGAGGAGATGGAGCATCTGCAGGTAGAACTGATTTCTGGAATCCACCTCCCGTTCTCAGGCCAGGGTTTCAGGTATTGATTGCTGCCTTAACAAATGGAAGGTGATAGCTCGGCTGGTCTCTATGCCCCAGGTCCCACAGGGCTCCAGTCCAGGTGTCTGCCCGGCTGGGCTCCTACCTGGAGGCCCCGGGGAAGAATCGGCTTCCCAGATCATTCGGGGTATCGGCAGATCCTGTCCGGTGCAGTGTAGGGTGGAGGCTCCCGTCTCCCCACTGCTGTCGGCTAAGGGTGTCCTCACCTGCACTCCTTCGCCCGGTGTCCCTTCACAGTGAAGGCCGCCGCGGCAGGCTGAGTCCTTCTCCAGCTGGAATCTCTCCCCACTCCCCTGCCTCCTCTTCCTCCTCTGCTTCCCTCTGCCACTTCTAGAGGCTCCGGGGAGCACACGGGGAACACTTGGGTCATTGAGGAAAATCTCTCCATCTCAAAGTCAACAACCTCAGGCCCCCCGTGAAGTCCCTAAACCACGCCTTGTGACACATTCGCAGGTTCTGGGATCAGGGACTCAGGGCACCCACTGGGCAGCTGGACATTTACTCCTCGGTGGGTAAATCTCTTTACGTGAGTGGACCAAATCCCCCCTAGAACAGCTGTAAATCACAGAGCCCTGAAACCACGCCTTCCCACATGACCATTGCAAGTCCCAAAGCATCGCAGTGAGGCGTGCCAGAGGCCAAGTCCGGCACACACACGCCGCTCAGTTCTTCACTTGCTCGGTTTTCATGATGAGCAGGCAAGGAAAGGACAGCCAGGCAACTGAGGAGATAGCAGGGAAGGAAGGAAATCATCACGAACGGTGGGGAGAACTGCTCACAGCTGATGTGTGTGTCTTTATTTTCAAAGCGGCTGCTGAGTGTCTGGCCCAGTACATGTAAAAGAAACAAGTGATTATAATATTTTGAAATGTCAGTAAAAGGAGAGATTCCAAAATCTTCCCAAGAAAAAATAAATAAATTGTTATCTCCAAAGAAATGAATCAGGCCATTAGTAGATTTCTCATCAAAACCAAAATCCTTGGGTCACTGTTTCCACAGTCCTAGAGGGGACAGGCTTTTACCGAGAATTCCACGCCCCACCAAGCTGACCAGCGTAAGGCACCGTCTCTGGGAGACGATGACCTCTGTGCACATCTTCACTCCAGTCGAATGACGCAAGACACTCAGGAAGAGAACCCAAGAGGGGCTCCCGGGAAGGGTGGCTCTGGGCATCAGAGGCCTGGAGAGCAAGCAGGCTCCATACTCCAGAGAAACAAAGCTACAGAGAGACAGACGCCTGGGGCCACCACAGGCAGGAGCAGGTGATGTCCATGATACAGCAAAGACTGTGGAAAGAAAAAGAGGGAAAAGAGGCTCTAATGGAAATAAAAAGCAAATAAAAAAGAAGGAAGCCGATTAAAGAGAATCGCATTACTACAGGGAGTATGAGTCCCACAGCAGTTGTGTACACAGTGTGCCCTGGAGTTGCGCAGCTCATTGCCTGAGCCGCCGCACAGTCAGCTTTGCAGATAACAGGTCCTGGAAAGCCAGATGATCTGGGAGATAAACACACCGCAGCCTACCACGTGGTCCCTCAGAGAACACCTTCATATTCACAGTAGCATGAAAACTTCCTCCTGACTGTCAACTTTCAGAATCTATTAATTGACAAAGCTTAGAAAACTTAAAAGCAATTGAGGGGAAAAGTAAAAAAGGGTTGTCAAATTTGCCAACTTAAACATAAAGGTTCCAGAGGATGGAAGTTAGGAAGCAGAGTGGGGGAGGTGACATAAGCAAGCCCAGGAGGCCCCCCTCTTCCGAAACAGCCAGTTAAACATCCAGGATGGCAAAAGCAGGAAATGGGTGAAGGCGTGCCCTGGGCAAGGTTTCCAAGGAGGTGCTGGAGCTCCGGGTCGGGAGTAAACCAGCCAGATCCTGTCACAGCAGAAAAGCCACCACAAGGTCTAAAAGGAGCTGTTGGCAGGTGATTGCATATGATAAATATTAAAATCCTAACATGAGATTCAGAGTGGTCAGGGACATTTGTTTCATTGTGAATTCTACACACCACTTAATCCACTTAATCTACCAAACCAGGTGCCGATATTAGTGTGATATAATTAAACAACATATACATTGTAAAATCCATAAATCTTTTATTATGGATTCACTTTAATTTTTAAAATGAAAGTAAGTCTGTATGTTGTTTTAAGTTGGAAGTCACTTTTGACTGCTTCTGCAAAATGAAGATCATTTAGACAAATCAAAAATATAAAATATGACTTTTTTTCTTTTTTGGCGCCAGTTGAAATTCATTTTCTCTCTCTCCCTTTCTCTCCTCACATCCAGCCCCAGCTCCCTAACACACATTCACGCACACATATGTATGCACACACACACACACACACACACACACACACATTTTTTTTAAAAGAAATCAGTTGTCATCTGGCACATGAATTCAATAAGGAGATGTAAAACTGACAGCTCTTATTATCACCCAAGGCAAAATGAGGCAGACCTACATTTGGAGATCTGCTTAAGTTAACATATCAAATATTAGTGTCAAATGGAAATAAGGGCAGATAATTTTAGAGAGTTGTTATTACATGACATTCAAAATCATATGCTATGTTCTGCAACACTCAAAGAAAGATAAAAATGAAAAATGAAGTTAATGAAAAGTTATTGCCTTACTGAAGACTGCAGAATCAGGCACTTTACATTAAAATAAAATCTTTTTAGAACACTAAAGCTTACAGAAAATAATAATTTAAGAGTGAATCGCCCTAATGGAATACTCTCAATCTCATGTCCACAAATAGTCTTCCCAGCTGAATCTGAACGCTCTATTTTTATCATCACACATGATTTATAAATATGACTTTTTGGAAGCACTGTCAGGCGCCCACAGAGGAAGGTGGGCACTGCCTGCACGTTGGGCTCTTTATTTACACGTCTTTGCCGGAGCAAGAGAAGTGTTTGCTTTGAGACCCGCAAGCTTGTTCGCCACCATCGTCCACACCTTGCGTGATTGATCCAGGCCAGCTGCACCCCACGTGCAGTACACATGCAGTGCCTTCATGCGGGACGCTGTGTCAGTACGAAACACAACTTTCTGTTTCCTCTTTGTATAACTGGGATTTTACCACGGCGATTGGCAGTTTGCTGGTTTTCTGAGTGTTACCGCGCTGGTGTGCGTGAAGATGAACTAGGTAACTCAGACCTCTGGGATATATGTCACCTTTCCTTGAAGCTGGAATGTGGAGTCTGCAGTGTGGCGTGCCGGGTGCTCCCTGAGCACTCATGAAATACGGTGCACATCCACAGCTGTCTTTCTAGAGCCTTCTACCTCGGATGCTCCATGGCCTCTTAATTGGTGTCTCTGTCAGTCTTGACATTGGTATCTAGCTTCTGGCAGTGAAGACCCTTTCATCTCAAACCCTTCATTTTCAAAGGCAATTTCCTTGCTTACAGAATGCACTCCGGATTCAGCCTCTCCGTGGAGTCAGGTTCAGCCCCCACCTAACTCCTCTTCCTCAGAATGATGGTCAAATAATTCCGGCCTCACTCCAACCTTCTGTCTGCTCAACGCTTCCCCTATAGCATCGGTTTTCTAATCTCCAGTATCTCAATTCTCACCATTTTAGGACAGAAAAACAAGTTTGTATTTTACTGCTGTCATTCAGACGGACTGAGTCCCTTCCTTACTGCCACGGTTATGACGAGAGATGAGCCCAGGTCCCCATGATGGTGGGCAACGTCTTGCTGAGCCCGGGAGGCCCCCGCACACACTGAATGACGAGAGATGAGCCCAGGTCCCCATGATGGTGGGCAACGTCTTGCTGAGCCCGGGAGGCCCCCGCACACACTGAATGACGAGAGATGAGCCCAGGTCCCCATGATGGTGGGCAACGTCTTGCTGAGCCCGGGAGGCCCCCGCACACACTGAATGACGAGAGATGAGCCCAGGTCCCCATGATGGTGGGCAACGTCTTGCTGAGCCTGGGAGGCCCCCGCACACACTGAATGACGAGAGATGAGCCCAGGTCCCCATGATGGTGGGCAACGTCTTGCTGAGCCCGGGAGGCCCCCACACACACTGAGCTGCAGCTTTTCTGAAGTCTCCAGTCACAGAATCCCACTGCGTCCTCTGATGCCAGCAGCACTGGGCTCAGCTGTCCCCTGATGGCAGGAGATTCCAGCTGTAGCCACCACTCGGGCCTCAGATGGTGGTCATTGTCCTCCTTAGCCACTCTGTACCAGAACGCCCTAGACCCTGTTCCCAGCATCGCAGAGCACAGATGTCACCAAGGCAGGGGGTACTTGGTGAAAGGCCCAAAGGGAGAACCTGGCAGGGAGGAGCAGGCACCGGTGCTGAGCACATGCCCTGCCTCTCTGGGTGCCTCTGGGCTCCTCTCCTCTGCCCACCATGGGGCAGGTGTCAGCCTCTCTGCCCAGCCCCAGCCTGTGGACAGAAAGCCTCGGCACAGGACTGTGAGGGCTAGGATGAGACGGCACGTCGGCCTGAGACTATCCCAGGTCTCAAAGTCCAGATCACACACTTTTCAACAAGCCTCCTGTGGAAGTTCCACCACAGGCCATTCTGGGGCGTCCTCACGCCAGCCCCTGGGTCCCTCTCACCCACAGTCACTTTCTTCCACGGAGATCCTGCCTGGTCCCTCAGGACAGCCTCGAAGCATCCATGGCTCCTCCCTCTCCACCCACCTCACACCACCCCCTGCCCAGTTCTCTTTGAAAGGTCATGGATGGTGGGGATGATTCTCATGAAAGAGCACAGCAGAGGCAGCTGGGTCCCTGAGGCCACCTCTCCTCTCCCTGCCCTGGTGACGGCAGGACCCTGATAGCGGAGTCCCCAGCTGTGCACCCTAACAGCAACACATTGTGTGGTGAGGCGTTTTACACACTAAGTGGCAAGTCCATGTCTCTAGGGCTTACTGGTGTAGACACGGGCAAGGTCAGGGCAGTCCCAGGACCCCTCTGCTGCTCCTCTCAAGCATGTGCTCTATTTTACCTTGCCTTCCCTGCCTTCTCTGGATTCCAGGGGCACTTCTTTTCTGTCAGCTTTATGGAGGTCTAATTTTCATGCAATCAGGTCCACCGACTTAAGAGTAAAATCTGGCGAGTTCTGGCAGATGTGAACAGCCGTGCAGTCCTCACTCAGCCGAGATGCAGAATCATTCCAACAACCAAAGGCCCCTGCTGACATCTGCATTCAGTCCTGGGGCCTTGGCTGCTGCTATCCACTGTCTGTCACTGTGGCTCCATCTTCACTAAAATTGTATATCTTGTGCAGTCTTGCTGGCTTCTTAAATTTAGCATAATGCACTTTGGGCGACTGAGGTGGGCAGATCACTTGAGGTCAGCAGTTCAAGATCAGCCTGGCCAACATGGTAAAAGTCCATCTCTACTAAAACTACAAAAATTACCTGGGCATGGTGATGCATGCCTATAATCCCAGCTACATGGAAGGCTGAGGCAGGGGAATTGCTTGAACCCAGGAGGCGGAAGTTGCAGCGAGCTGAGATCAGGCCACTACACTCTAGCCTGGGCATCAGAGGGAGACTTTCAAAACAAAACAAAACAAAAAAAGAAAATTACCGTAATGACTTTTGCAGTTCATCCACATTGTTGTTTATATCAGAGGGTTTTTTCTCCTTTTATAGCCAAATTTATTTCATTGTATGTATAGCTCACAATTTGTTTATTCATTCTCTAGCAAATGAGCATTTGGGTTTTACCAGTCTGAGCCAAATGTTTGTATTTCTCTTGAGTAAATACCTAAGGATAACTTCTCTGGGTCAGATGGTAAATATATATTTAAATTAACAATAAACTGCTGCACTGCTTTCTAAAATGGCACTTTTTTTGGCATCACTGTCATCAAAGCCCGAGAGCTCCAGTCACTGTGCATCCTGGACAGCTCTTGGTGTGCCCACACTCGTGACCATTCAAGTCAGGCAAGTGGCTGTGTGGTGGCATCACTGTGTCTTCATCTGCATTTGCCTACTGTGTGACAGGGCTGAGCACCTCCTCCTATGCTCATCTGCGTTCCTGTATTGTGTTGAGTGAAGAATCTTTTAAATCGTTTACCCGTGTTTTCTCGGGTATCTTGTTTTCTTATTATTGAGTTGTAAGAGTTCTTTTCACAGTTCTAGGTAAGAGTGCTTTGTTAATACATGTTTACAGATACTTTCTTCTAGATTTTGAATTGCTTTACATGTCCTTGTTTTTTTTTTTTTTTTGAAAAGATTTAATTTTCATAAAATCCAATTAATTATTTTTTAAATATTTTCTGAATTCTGTGTCTTCTTAGGAAATTTTTGTCTAATCAAACTTTAAGATTTTCAGGCCAGGCATGGTGGCTCACTCCTGTAATCCCAGCACTTCCGGAGGCCAAGGCGGGCAGATCACCTGAGGCCAGGAGTTCAAGACCACCCTGGCCAACATGGTGAAACTCCATCTATACTAAAAATACAAAAATTAGCTGGGCGTGGTGGCAGGCACCTGTAATCCTACCTATTCAGGAGGCTGAGGTAGGAGAATTACTTGAAGCCAGGAGGCACAGGTTTCAGTGAGCCGAGATCACACCACTGCACTCCAGCCTGGGCGACAGAGCAAGACTCCATCTCAAAAAATATCTATATATTTTTTTCCATTTTTTCTAAAAGTTTACAGTCTTAGCTTTAATACTAGGTTCATGTATGATGTATTTTGAGTTTACTTTTGTATGAGATGAGGTAAAGATAAAATGTGTGTGTGTGGACAAATATACATTTGTATAAAGATATCCAATTGTTTCAGCACCATTTATTGAAAAGATTATCCTTATTTATTGAATTGACTTTCTGCATTTGGCAAAGTTCAGTTGGGCCTTTACATATCAGTGTATTCTGGAATATTCTGTTCTACTCACCTATATTCCTATCTTTATGCCTGTATCATACTGTCTTGATTAAGGTAGCTTTATAATAAGCCTCAAATCTTATCATAAGGTGGTATAAGTCCTCTGACTTTGTTCTTATTTTTTAAAATGAGTTTGATTACTCTGGCCCATCTATATTTTTATACAAATTTAAACATCAGCCTTTTTACCCAAAAAAACCCCACAAATAAACCTTAGGATTTATATTGAGATTGCATTGAATGTATACATTGATTTAGGGAGAACTGACATCTAAATAACATTGAATAATCGAATCATGTTGATGACACTTTCTCCATTTATTTAGGTTTTTTTTACACTCTATCAGAAATATTTTATGGTTTTCAGTACAAAAGTTTTATATGTAGCTTGTTAAATTTCCCCTTAAATATCTTGCACTACTTAAATATCTTGATGCTACTGTAAATGGCATTTTTAAGATGAATTTATAACTGTTTATTGCTGACATAAAGAAATACAACTCACTTTTGAGTATGTTGACCTCATATCCCATAACCTTGCAAAACTCATATATATTAGCTGTTTTAAGTGGATTCCTTAGAACTTTCTACAGAAAATCTCCTGTCTTCTTCACAGAAAGACAGTTTTACTACCACTTTTCAATATATGCCTTCCATTTTTCTTCCTTGCTTTGTTTCTGGCTAAAACATCAAGTGGGATGTTTAGTAGCAGTGGTGAGAATGGACATCCTAGCCTTTGTCTCATGCTTAGGGAGAAAGCATGATTACACATGACGTTAGCTGTAGCATTCCATGGATACTCTTATTTGGTTAAAAATGTTACAACCTAATCCTAAAATGTGGAAACTTAGTGTTTTCATAGGTGTTGCCTTTTACCAGATACTTTTCAGCCATATTGACATCATCATGTATTTTCTTTTTTAGTCTCTTGATATGGTGACTGCATTGGTTGATCCTTAAGTATTAAACCAAACTTGCATTCCTATAACCCCACAAAAAAAGACATATTATCTTCTTTCAATCCAATCGCTTTGAAACAGCTTTGGCTGAGATGAGCAAGGCATGCTGCTAGACCCACAGAACCTCTGCAGCCCTGCTCCTAGCTGACCTGTTGGCAATGCAGTCATGGCTCTCCCTTTACTCACACCCTCTCATCTCCTGGCATGAGCAGTTCTGAAACCTCCTCATGTCCCTCTGACTTCTCCCTTTCCCATCAGCCTCCTTTGTTGCTTTCCTATTCTGCCTCCTACACCAAAATCCATGAGGTGTCCCCAAAGCTTGCTGCTGAGTTGGCTTCTCCTTTCTCTTTGGACCTCTCCACTGAGGATCTCTGACAGTGTCTGTGTGTTATCAATATCATATGTGTGTGATAAGGAGATAGAGATGTATATCTCAAAAGTTAAATCTTCGGCTTAACCGAATCCAAACATCCACCACAATTATTGTTTGTCTTCCAAACATCTGTGTTCCCAGAAATCCAACACTCTCCCTTTCCTCACTCCACCGTGCACCTGTCCTCTCCCAGGCCACCCAGGAGCCATATTCCATCATGATCCACCAAGACTCCTCCATAGCCCCCAGGTAGGTTTTCCATATCCAGGCAGGACAGCTACTGTGTGACAATTGTGTTCTGGGATCTGTGTGGGGGTGAATAAGAACAAAGACTCTCCTTCACCATCTGCACCTCCCTTCATCCTTTCTGTAGGGATGGCCCCATGCTGGCAACCTTATGTGCACCTGCACTGGCCTCCTTGGTGCAGGCTGATCTGAGCAAGGGTGGTGCACCTGTGGCCCTCTATGGTGTGAGAAGCTGGAGCCATCTCCCACTAAGCCCCCATTAGCCTGGGAAGCTGTCAGGAGACAGAGTCTCATCACTTCCTGTGTTCTGATGAGACACGGGGCTTTCTGCCACAGCCGCTCAGAGCTGCTGCATGGAAACCCCTGCCACAGTCAGCTGGACTTGCTCCTCTGCCACAGTGTGGACCCCAGGTCACCCTGTGGTCATCTGGCCCTGTTTGTTTCACTATTGCCCTTTCTGCTGTGTGGACAAGGGCCTAAGAGCTGGCACCTTTCAATTTATTTGGGAGTCATAAGCTCTTAGAACCTAAAAGTGGCTTACTGTGTCTGTGCCAGCCGATCTTTCAGGCCTTAGCCAGGCCTTGTCTCATGTTTGGCCATGTCCATTGGTGCTGCTTCAGGCTTGGTGACAACTTTCACAGGTGACTTGTGATGTAGGTGTAAGAAATGGCCTTTACCCACTGGAGGTCAGTGAGACTCCCAATTTCCACCTCATCCCAGAGCAAGACGTGCCTGGCCAGGACAGCTGCTAGGCATACAGGGACAGCCTGGGTGCCACGTGTCTCCCTCCACAGTCCTGCAGACCCCACAGCGGGTAGAGAGGGGGCCAGCCAGTGGGCGGGTCATCACATCTGGGTAACTGGCACCCAAGTATGCTGTCCCTTCCTCTCAGTCACCTCCAGCTGATGCTTCTCTTGTCCCGTATTTTTCATTTTCTATCTTAATTTTTAACCCATAAGTTGGGTATCATTAGGATGTCACCCTGGCCAATGTCCACTTGGACACCTCTGCACATTTACCATTTTCTTTACCTACAATCTCTTCTCTACCTCAGACCGTTCTCCTGGCATTATTTTCTTTCTTCCTGGGCTTCATTTACTAAGAGTTCTTTTTGTGATTATCTGATAGTAGTAAAAGATTTCAGTTTTCATTCTTCTGAAAACATAATTGTTTCATGATGTTTTCTTGAAAGACAGAATTGTAGGATGGTTCTCTTCCCTTGGAACTTTGAAGGAAGCCTTGCACTGCCTTTGTCTTCCATGGCCGCAGGGCAGCAGTTAGTTGCAAGTCTAATAGTTATTTCTCAATCGGCTGACGTTCTTTTCTCCGGGCTGCTTTTTAAAGCCTCTCTTCATCACTGGGACCTGCAGTTGGATGAGGATACAGTGAGGAGATGGTTAAGGGCATGAATTTGCTCACAAGTCCTGCCTGAGATTCACTGGACCTCTTGAATTGGATGGCTGGGGTCTCATTAATTCAGAGAAATTTTTACCCTGTCTCCTGCCTCTCCTTCATTTTCTCTATCTTCCTGGAACTCTGACCAGGCTTATATTAGATGTTTGCATTCTATAATCCATGTTTTTGATTTGTCTTTTGTATTGTCCATCTTTTCTTTTCTCCCTTTCTGTTGCATTTGGCTTCATCTTTTGACTCATCTCCTCTCTTTAGCTTTGATTAATCACGGTTAAATCCTATCAGCATGCTTTTAATTTAAGTTATATTCTGTAAGTTCTATTTGACTTTTTTCAAACCTAGTCCACTTAAATGCCTCTTGTTACTTTTTTTTTTTTGTACCCAATTTTATTTCTTTAAACATGCATGCGCTGTGTGTTATATATGTGATCTTTTAATGCCTGCATTCCGGATGGGTCCTGGTCACTTTATGGTCTCAGCCAGTTGATGATCGTGGTGGAGTTTCTTGATATATGTAGTGACTTTGGTTTCAAATTTGTGTTTCTCAGAACTACTCCGTACAAGGTTGTTGAAACCTAGGTTCAAATTTGTTAATGCAGCATGTTTGCCAAATCGCCAACCCTCATAATTAATAATTATTACACATTTGAACTTACCAATTAATTGTAGCAAATTCACCCTCCTCAGTATTGTTGGCAATAGATTGGATCTTTCTACTTTTCCAAACATTTAGGACATAGCTGAGGAATTACACATTTTTACTAATAAAACATGTCTTCTATTTGTTTATCATATTCTGGTTTTCTGTAAGACTTTAAGACTTTATTTTTTTTTAATTTAGATGTTAAAAAGAACATTTTTTAAAATACGCGATTCTTGGGGAACAACCTACCTTAAAATGCATTTTGGGAAGTAGATGACTGTATGGACTGATGATAATCTGCTTCCTGCATCGAGAACATGATTCTGGCTGAAATAAATTCCAATGACTCTTGCACATAAATAAAAAATTCAGCTGAATATTTTTTAGAAATATGTTTAGTTAGACAAGGCTCTAGAAGACAGAACATTGTCTTTGCAGATTCTAGAACAAATCAGTTTGATCATCAGAATTACCTATGAATTCTTTTTTATGTTTCTTTGTGTGGCTGTTCTGCTGCAGACAGCCCAAGGGCCAATATTTGAGAGGCACTTTACAAGCAGAAAAAGCACATTTTCTATAACCCAGTGAGATAAAATGCAATTTTATTGAATAAAATAAAAGCCTGTCCTATGATACTGCCCTTTACATTAAGTGTATTTTTGCCAACACCATGCAAGTATGCATTTGGAAGGTGTCCTCTTTGTAGAAGCCCAGGTTGGCGTGTGGGCTGCAGGGGGCGGTCTGGCTGAGGCCACGCAAGAAGCTGGAGGGCTGCGCTTCAGGAGAACTGCCAGCCTTTTTTGCGGCAGGGAAGATGTTGCTAAGTGCAACCAGCTAATTTTAATGTAAAGGGAGCATGGCTCTAAGTTAATTTAATTAATCAAGCCTCTACTGCAAGAAACAATTGGGTGCTATGGACAGAGCCATGACAAGACAATTCCACTACCCTAATATGACGGCTGCGGTTGAGATTTTAGTTAGATATTTACCATGGTGATTTTAAGAAGTGATGTCTTGGAATTACAGTAGATATTTATATGTATATGTATAAATATATATAAATACATACATATATACATATATATGTGTGTATGTTACCTGAATTCCAAAAATATGACTATTGCTTAGTGCTTAAATCTTATTAAGGTATTAAACCTTCACCACTCTACTTAAACATCATGGCTTCCAACATGAATTAGGACTCTAATAAGCATTAAGAAATAATCATATTTTTGGAAATCAGGTAATTTATAAGGTTTTGGTTTGGTTGGTTGGGTGGCCGGGTGGGTGGGTTTTTGGTGGGTTTTTTTTGATAATTTCTTATCTAACTAGCTAAATTATTATTTATTGTGGATATTTTGGTAATATAAGGTCTAAATTTCAATTTAAGACATAGTCATTCACATGTTTGATTTGCAGCGCCTCTCAACTGCTTCTATTCATTTGTAGCAACTAGCCATACCTAATTGAGAGTGATGAAGCTAGCCAAGAATTTGCTAAAAAATAAATAGGTGCCAACTGCATTCATATCATAAAAGAAGTGCATATTCAACTGTCTTCATGGTCAGTCTAAAAGTTAGCCTGGCTTCTCTGTCATTTTTAATTGTGACAGTTCATTCATTTCCAGTCCACAGATGGGGATACTGTGGGTGGTTGTAAAATGACTCAAGTCTTGGAAGTATATTATTCTTTAGATGAATAGCTGTTGTTTTGATTTGCTTATGTTTATTCTATGTTTCTTGAAGGAAGTTGGTTTTGGTTTTGTAGTTGCTGTTGTTTGCTTTTTTTTTTTTTTTTTTGAGACAGAGTCACCCTGTGACACCCAGGCTGGAGTGCAGTGGTGCAATCTCAGCTCACTGCAACCTCCGTCTCCCGGGTTTAAGCGATTCTCTCGCCTCAGCCTACCGAGGAGCTGGGACTACAAGTGTGTGCACCACCACACCCAGCTAATTTTTGTATTTTTAGTAGAAATGGGGTTCCACCGTATTGGCCAGGTTGGTCTCGAACTCCTGACCTCAAGTGATCCACCCGGCTCGCCCTCTCAAAGTGCTGGGATGACAGGTGTGAGCTACCACACCCAGCCTGAAGGAAGTTATAAAAATTGACTTGATCCCCTGGTGTGCATACATCTGAGTGTTTTCCTCTGAAGATCTCCTGTAGCTTCCTGGTTGAGACCCCGCTTAGCAATTCCCGTGCCGAGGTTAACCATTTAGTGAGGAACGTGGGAACTCTGAGCCTGACTTTGGCCCCTGAGTGCCCTGCTGGAGTTGCACAGTGGCAGAGTCGAGTCCAAGGGTGCCGGAGCCTCAGCCAGTGGCATCTTTGTGACAACTAGGTCAGCACAAAGGAGCAGGGGGATTAGAAAGCTATTTGGAAAAGGAGAGACCTGGCCCTTGCTTGTTAAAATGTAGAAACCTATGTAGCACTCATTTATTGTAGAATTTATTTCGGTTCTCTGTGATGTTAATGAGATATGAAAAGCCTTTTCTCTGTTTGCAAGGTATCAGCGCAGTAACATTAGTGACACAGAATCAGCTCCAGTGAATGGGAGAGAAAGTTCACCTGCACTACAATTTATAATTGGCCTACTCAGGGGACCTAAGTCTTTTTGCAAGAAAACTAGAGCAGTTTGTGCTTTCAAATATGTTCCTTTCAAGCTTGCATTGTCACAGAGAAGGTCTGAAAGAATCCGATTGCATTTAATTCAGACTTCAGTATTCTAGTCTGAAAAGACTCAAAGAAGAAAAGAAAGAAGAAGAAAAAAAAAATCCCTCAAGCTTCTATAAGGCCGGCGTGTGACATCAGGATTGTTGGCATAAAAGCGCCCTTGTGACAGACATCATTATATCATTGCAGGAAGGAAAAGAATGAATAGGTCCCCCAAATATTTCTGGCCAAGTTCCAAATGTATGCAGTTTATGGCGACTCCTACGAAAATCTCTCTGCTTTCTGGGGTAATGCAGGACTAAAGTGGGGGCCCATTGGGGAGCACTTTATTTTAAGCTTCCATCAATGGGTGCTTAACTACTACTAATTTGGAACAGTGGCTTGGGGAACTATATTTGTGAGTCACATACATATCAAATGATTCCACTGTGATTGGTTTTATTGCAATGAATGCTGGGGAGGCGTTATTGATGGGAAGAGGAAAGAAGTGGGCTGTGCTTGTGTCGCTCTGCTGAGCTGAGCCACTTTGAGGCTAGAGAGAGCCCGGGGGGTCCCTCCCACAGGCCCTGGAGAAAACCGACGGTGATAAAGGAAGCCGCCTCGATTGCACTCCTTTGCTTCACGCCAGAGAAACCAGAAACAAACAGCCTTGACCTAAATATTGGCATTGATCACTGCATTTCTTTTCTTTTCTGACTAATTTTAGGAAGCTGGGAATCTATGTGAGCGACGCTCAAGTGCCACAACAGTGGGATTTCAAATGCAATGTTGTGGCTCCGTACCAGCACGGAGTCATTTTCTGCCTAAATCCTCCTGGGAACGCCCCACTCTGCCCCCATGTTCTCCCTCACCTGGACTTTGGAATTCCATGCTGGGGCCGTCTCCAGCCTCCCCATCACCAGCCCCCCCAGAAAACCTAGCAGAGCCAAACCCAGACTATCGCTCCCCTCCAAGCTCCAAGTTTCTCCTCCACCTGGAAAGCAGCCCTTCGCCAGCTGGTGACATTTGCCAGAAACCGGGGACCCTTCCCTGGCCCTCCTCATGCAACTGTCCCCTGTCCTGTGGGTTTTTGCTCCAGATTGTGTCCCGAAACCAGTTGTTTCCTTATCTCCACTACCACTGGATTCATTCCCACTTCTCGCGGTCTCCAATCCGTGGTCTTCTAAGAAGGTAAATAATGTCAGGCTGCCGGTGCTCAAAACCATTCTCACCTCTTACAGAGGAGCTCCAAGGTCCCCGAGCAACTGTGTGTCCTCTGGGTCTGATCCTCCCTCCCTGGGCTGTCTCGTCTCTGCTGCTGCACTCTACCCCATCCCTCTGGCAGACCTGCAGTCCCCAACACACCGGCTCCCCTGCCAGCCACACTCATCCCACCCACCAACTTCAATGCCACGGCTGCTGACATGAACCAGGACGCACGCTCCAGGCTTTCTTGCCACCCCATGCTTCTCCTTTCCAGCATTTTCATGATGTATTTTATATCTTATCTACCATGCAAGAGTTGTTATGAGGATTGGGAGAAAATACACAGAAATGGTTAAGTATGTTGAAGGTGTTTGTGACCAATTATTTCATATGAAATTACTAGTAAATGTAACTGCATCCAGGGCTCCTTTGAATGTTGGGGCAGAACTATTAGCTTGTCATGACTTTGGGGTCTTCTCATCACGACATGAGAAGTTGAGGCACAGCAGCCCGTACCAGGAGGGCCGTGTTCTGGGGGAGTTTCGGAGGCAGCACCCCTGTCTCTGTGCCACGGCCCTGGTCCTAGCGGCACCCACCCCCGTCCCCCGGCACTCTTGCTACATGGCCCACCCCATGGATCCATCATCCACATCCACTCACCTCACACTTCCTACCCTGAAAGGTTCACTCAACAGGGAAAACAGGAGCCAGAAAACGCCCCTCAGAGGGGACCTGCGGGCGGAGGCAAAACCCCTAGGTTTCCAGCCTACTTCCTAGACAGTGAGTCTTTCACGCATCCTCCCCCAACTCTGTGAGACCACTGCTTCCGCAGCCGCAGGGAGGAGCTCCTTCTAGTTTCGTGCCTTTCTTCCCATGGCCTTTTCCTCAGGCCCGTAGTCTGCTCTTGCTTCTTTCCTTCCTAGCTACCACTCCTCCTAAATACAGCAAGGATGCACTCCGTTCTCACCCTCCTAACCACCATGGCCCCCCAACCTCAGTGATCACAGACACATGGCAGGAATGGTGTTATGTATGGCACCAACGCTCAGCTACAGCCTTTCAGAACTGGACTCACATCATTCACGGGGAGCTCCTGCAACCACCTGTTCTGAGAAAGCCCCACATCTGTGTGGTGGTGCTGGACTCCCCACACCTGTGCTACTGGTCCTAAGCCTCCTCACACCTGTGCTAGTGGTCCTGGCCTCCCCACACCTGTGCTAGTGGTCCTGGCCTCCCCACACCTGTGCTAGTGGTCCTGGGCCCCCCACACCTGTGCTAGTGGTCCTGGGTCCCCCCACACCTGTGCTAGTAGTCCTAGTCCCCACACACACCTGTGCTAGTGGTCCTGGGCCCCCTACACATGTGCTACTGGTCCTGGGCCACCCCACACCTGTGCTGTTGGTCCTAACCCCCCCATACCTCTGCTGGTGGTCTGTGCTAGCAGGACTATGCTAGCAGTCCTGGGCCCCTTGTGTCCACTCAGGGCACCATTAGTGTGTGCCCACTGTGTGCCAGGCCACCTAGCCCTGAGGTCCCCAAGGCTGGCCCTGCTCCAGCCCACCCACCAGCTTCAGGAGAGCACCACGGGCAGCCAATGGCTGTGGATGGGCACCAGGAGGACTCTGACAGTGCTGGACAGGGTGCTGGGGTTAAGCGAAGACCCAACTGGTGGGTGGAGGGTTGGGGCTCTGGGGCTGTCACTACTGGAGCGGGAGGGTACACAAGCTGCGGCAAAGTAATCCCTGCAGTCCTGGATCAAGGTTGGTGATGCCAGTGTGAACAGCTGCATGGTGACCATGGATACAGGCGGAGGCCTGCTGTAACACAGACACCTGCACCACGCAGGCATTGCACTCACATGCATCCTCTTTGCCAGCGCTGAGAGGGCCGGGAAGCAAGGACACCCCAGGAGCAACACACATACTTGAACCAGGTTTGCTTAGAGAAATGGCTGCTTCCAGAACCAGGCAGGGCAGACTCATGGTGAGCCTGGAGCATCTTGCAGTGCCACAAAATAAGAAAGTGCTCAAGCAAGCAAACAAAAAGAAACAAAATGCACAGTAATGGGAACGTGTCACAGGAATGCAGGAGCCAGCTGAAGGAGCTCCCAATGGCCAAAGCTGGAGAAATTTGAGCAAGAAAATGAATAAAATAATGTTGGATTACAACCCAAAGGACAAGGATCCATGAGTCTATACTGATTTTAAACAACACCACCACCAACGAATGAATGAACGAATAAATGAAAAAGAGACAAATCTCCTGTGCAGAAGAATTTCCAAAGGATTAATGTGGAGATCCACCCCCAGGAGGTGGGGCACAGCTCCCCAGGCCCGAAGCGTGGGTGACTCATGCTGCCTTCCTTCCAGAGACACAGCTTGGAGAGCCACAACCCCAGCTGGGGGACGAGGCCGGCTGCAGAGGGAGGCTGTGCTGACCCACGTCCCAGTCTAACCATGAGAAGAACATCAGACAGATCCCAATAGAGGGACATTCTACAAAACTTCTGAACAGTAACCCCTCCAAACTGTCAAGGTCACCCAAAATAAAGGAAGTCTGAGAAACTGCCACAGCCAAGAGCAGCCTGAGGAGGCCTGCGGACTCAGCCTTGTGGTGTCCCAGCTGGGATCCTTCCTGGGGCAGAAAGAGCGCATTAGGGAAAAAATAAAAGTGAAGAAAGTAGAGTCTTCTGTTCATAATAATGCATCGATATTGATCCCTTAATTGTAAGCAGATGTGCCATATGAATGTAAGATGTTAATAACAGGCAAAACTGGGTGTCCAGAGTGTGGAAGCTCTATGCCATCCCAACATGTTTCTATAAAGCTAAAACTGCTCTAAAAAACAAAGTTATTTATTAAAAAGTTGGCTGGGAGAAACACCGAGGGCTTCCTGTAGTAGGTAAAATGGATTGCACAGTAGGGATTTTGAACAGAGTGACTTGATGAAAATAACCCTTGATGTAGCCTGGACTACCATATACAGGGTGGGCTTGGGGGTGGGTAGCCCTGGGGGAGGGCCCCCCTGCTATTGCTGCTGCTGCCGCCACCACACTGTGGGGTCTTGAGCCAGGCCAGCAAGGAGGAGGGGCTTGCCATGGGCTTGGCTGAAGTCCCACACTCCCACGATCCCAATCTCCATGAACAGGATGAAGAATAATTTAGAGGAAAACCATTCAGATACATATGCACCTTCCTTTATGTCAGTACAACTTAAACTTGACCTCAATGTGTTGAAAAATGAAGAGATATGAATTCACCAAACAAAAATTTAAACCTTCAAAATAAATTATTGAATGTCTTCAAGAAGACGTGGTTTTATGAATGTTGGAGGCAAGGCAATCCCAGAAGCCGTTTCTCACTGTTTTTACTGAAGGCTCCTAAAGCAGGGAGCTGAAGCCAGCTTAGACCCCACTAGGTCAAACCCTGGACTTCACAGGTGGGAGGATGGGAGGAAGCTGTTTGCTTCAGGTCACTTGCCAAGCCATGGGGGCTGAGGGCCAGGCGTCTTTCCTCTCTGCCTCCCTCTTGTCATATAATCTAACATCGTGGAAACCCCTGGCTCTTCTTCAACCTCCTTCACAAATCACTCGTAATTTTAAATGGCATTGGAATACCAATGTTCGAGAAAATACAGAAACCATCATCTTCTTTTTGCAGAGTCCCACCTCCTCCATGAACTTGTTAGTGAAAATAAAACATCTGTGTAACTGGTTTCAAAAAGCATGCCTTGCTTTCTACTGTCAATGTCATCCACCACCCGCCTTTGGAACCCTGAAGGAAATAGATACGGCTTTTTGTTCAGAAGGTACAAAGTCTTCAGCGGGACCTGGGAACATTCCAAAGCCGAGATGGAGAAGCTGGTGCATTCAGCGGTGTCTGCGAAATCCCTCGGAAGCCCTTTCGGTGCAAACACAAGCAGCTCCTCTCTCCAGGGGCACATACGGCCCTCTGCACAGAGCCTATGCCCGCTGCGAACTCAGCTTTGTATACTTCCGGGTGTGATTTCCCAGCCAAATTTGGAAAAAAGAAACTGGAATCTGATTGCTAAATATATAGACACTTGGAAAAAATGAACTTGGTTCTTAGTTTTATGGCCCAAATAATTTTTAGCTGAAGAAAATAATAGAAATAAACAACAGACATAAAACTTTAGCCTGTGTAAATTAAATGGTTCTGCCACATTAACTTCATAAAACCATAATCCTCTCCTCCATAAACTATTACATGCACTGCAACATATCTGATTTATGGGGTGTGGAATCAATGGGAAAAAATTAATGCTTGAAAAACATATTAGAGACATTATTGAACAGATTTTAATTGAGATTTGATTTCAATGCCCCTTATCCACATGATTAATGGGTCCTACCCCTCGACTCCAGCAGGATGAAAAGAGTCTTTAATATGACAATTAAGTATCTGTCTTTAGGTTTTATGTAGCTCTCCCCACTACAATCACTTCATCAGTACAGTCTGGCTTTTGTGCAGATTAAATTGAGACTCAATTTTCTCTATTTTCCAGCACTTACTTATGTTTTATGACAAGCACTAAATCAATTTTATGCTATTATTGATTTTTTCTTAAATGGACACAAACCATTTCGCCTTTTGCCCTTCTCTCCTACCTTCCTTTCCTCTCCCTCTCAGTGTGCGCTTGATATACGGCCTGAGGAGGAAATTCCCGAGACTTCCCGAGACTTCCACAGGTCCTTCCAGTTCATTCCGTTTTTACAACATCAGAACTGACAAACTTAACCTGGAATTCTATCAAAACTTATATATTGCTGTAAAGTGACAAGGTGGTGAGTTGTTGGGGTATTTTTATCTTTTCCTTCTGAAACAAAAGAAAGCCTCAAGGTTAATTCACTTCCTTGTAAGTTTGGGCCAAGATTTCTTCTATAATATTGCCTAAATTTTTTGAGCAGAAGCTTAAGCTGTAATTTTTCTAACATCCTTGAAGTCTAATTAATACAGCAATAGAGGGAGAATCTATTTCATGGCTCACAGGGAAAAGGCATTATCTGCAAGGTGCAATAACTCCTTCGAGGTGCCTGATGACAGCCAGTTGTGTGCAATGCAATTAAGAAGCTCCCAGATCTTTGGGGCTTTATCCTCTATGACCTATGGCAAAAATTAACAGCTGCCTTGGGCAAAAGAAGTAAGAATAGGTACATAATTTGTAATCAGATAGCATTTTTTTGTGAGTGAAGAATTATACATGAAGAAAAACAGCTAGCAATACCGGCTGCTAGAAAGGTCTCTCATTTATTTGGTGATGCCACTGCCTGTCTTTGAAAATATCGGCATATGTAAGCATAAATACCTGTTTGCTTTTTATGCCATGACCATTATGACACTCCATTTTGTAGTGAACATTTTATGTAGTTTATTCAAAATGTTAACAGCTAAGCTGGACATAAGCATGAAGATAACATGCTTTTTCTTTACTATCTATAAGAAGTATACATTACCTTGGATAAGTAGTACAGTACTGCATGCAACACAATTTGAAAACAGTAAAATTTGCCATTCAAATAACATAGAAATGAAGCGCTTGCTTTTATTATGTTTCTGTAATGTAATATGAGTTTATCTGTTAACTTTGGAGGAGAAAGAAAAAGAGAATACAGGGTAACAGGAAGCGCATTTTCTTGAATTCATCTGGTTCTTTTTGTTCTGTCTCAAAATAGTCTCAAAAATATGATTGTAAACTAATGCAAAATGTTCTCTAGTTTATTTTAAGGCAATATGCCAGGGTAATGCTTATTAATATCTAGGTTATAAATACATACTTTTTAAATGTTTTCCATGGAAGGAGACCCCAGAATGATTTCTGGTGTTTGGCCACCCGAACGATACTCTCCTGTGGAAAACGCTGAGACGCTGGAGATCTAGGTTTGCTCTGCAATGATGCTGCCTGCACGCCCTGCAGCCACTCGGGGCAGGCCAGGATGCGGGGTTCCCCCCATCCCCCCCAACCCCCCACAGGTGCTTCCTTATGGAAGGTGGGATGAGATAGCAGCCCCGGGGGTCTACAGGCCCTGTCATATGGGCTTCCCCTTCCCTTTCCTCATGCATTCAAGATAACGGGAGTTCCCAGAGTCGGCGTTCTCCCTGCCGCCTTCACTCCGCCAGGCTTGCTGAGCAGTCTTCCTGGGCAGGCAGGCAGGCTCTCGCATCTGCGGGCCGCGGGGAGAATATTGGTGGGAAATGTGGCCAAGGACTTCACGTGCAAAGTCCGCATATAAATTGATAAGACCAGCACAGGCAGATAAACATGGACAACAGATCATAAAACATAATGCACAGAAAGAAAACTGTAAACACAAGGTGACTACGAAAACAGTTTAAAGACTTGAGGATCTGCTCTGATGTTGCTGAAATGCCAACAGCAACTTGATTGACTAAGTTTCTTCCAGGAGATTTTTCTTTGCTAATTAGATTTCTCTTTCTATCTAGCAAGATTTCTGGATCTTGGCTCTACTGACATTTTAGGGAGCCAGTCTGTGCGTTGCAGGAAGTTGAGCAGCTTTTCTGACCTTCACCCACTACATTCCAGACGCACTCCCGCTCCGGTTAAGATAACCAAGAATGTTCCAGCAACTGCCAGTGTTCTCTGGGATGGGTAGGGGGGAGGGTGCAGGAATTGTCCCAATAAGAACCCATGCTACACAGCCTAGCTTGGGGATTGTATTCATTCAGAGCCCAAGTCGTCTAAAATCCACTCCCCTGTCCCCCAAGGCAACAAGGAAAATGGCAATGGAGTGTACAGGTCTCCAGTTAGACAGCGTCTTCCCTAACTTTCATTCCATGCTCACATTCATGATTTAGCTTAAACTTTATCAATTCAAAATAAATATGATTGAGCAATGCACTATTGGCTTGCCTTCATTGATCCAACATACATGTTACAGAACCTTTCAAAGGAGAACATCCATTTACTCAATGATTATGAAATTGTCGTAACGGAAGCAGTCCACGCTGACCACAGTAGCCCTTCGTGACAGTCCCCTGGATGTTGAGAGGCATCCCATCAAACCATCCAGCAAACCTCAAACACTGTCAGAGGCCCAGGGCTCTCCAGCTTCACCTCATTTTTTCAGCACAGTGGCCACGGGTCCCAGATTAGGGCCGCGTGAATGGAGGGAAACAGTACAAGTGCTTTGCAACCGAGTCATTGAGTAGTCAGCGCCAGGTCGTAAGAGACACCTGGACTCAGAGCTGAAGAGCTGTCAGTACGAACACCCAGCACCGACTCTGCCTCCAAAACTTCAGAACAGAGATTAAATTCCCTGGGCCTCCAACCCCTGGCTATAAAACTAAAGTTTCCATTATTTGTTCTCTTTCCACCATACAGTTATACAACTCTATGGACATACACAGTAAAGAACAGCAAAGAACTAGCACTCTTACCCAAAAGGTTTTTAAAAGTATTTTTTTGTTTTGTTTTTCGTTTTTGATACGGAGTCTTGCTCTGTCACCCAGGCTGGAGTGCAGTGGTGCGATCTCAGCTCACTGCAAGTTCCGCCTCCTGGGTTCACGCCATTCTCCTCCCTCAGCCTCAGCTGGGACTACAGGTGCCCGCCACCACAGCCAGCTAATTTTTTATATTTTTAGTAGAGATGTGGTTTCACCATGTTAGCCAGGATGGTCTCAATCTCCTGACCTCGTGATCCGCCCGCCTCGGCCTCCCAAAGTGTTAGGATTACAGGCTTGAGCCACTGCACCAGGCCATGTATTTTAATAGAACTACGGTTAGAATAATTGATGGGGGGAGTTATTTAGCAACGATAACATCTAACACCAAACCAAGTTTCCCTTGCACAAACCAAAATACAAGATCATATTAAGTAAGTAGGTACTTAAATGTAGAGATTCATGCATCTAGTCTCAAATATGTGGCAGGTGTCTAGATTGCATAATGAAAACATAGGCAAAAATCACCTGTCTTCATGCTGCTTAAATTCAGGTGAGATAAATGATAAATAATGAAAATATTCACATTATTAGATGATGAAAACACTGTGTAGGGAAAACCTAACCAGGAAAGGGAACTAAAACTTAAGTGGAGGTTGTCACATAAGGTTTTCTTTAAAAAAATCAAATCCTAAATAAAAAGTCTAATTAAAAAAACTCTTCTGTTAAAGAAAATACACACTATTGAAATATATTTGAAATATGCACCCATTTATAATAGCACTTAACAAAATTGGTCTGAAGACTGAAGCTGGTGATGAAGGAGCCACAGAACGCACATAATTCTTCCATCAATGACCTTTTTTTTTTTTTTTTTAGATAGGGTCTGGTTCTGTTGCCCAGGCTGGAGCACAGCAGTATGATTTCAGCTCACTGCAACCTCTGCCACCTGGGTTCAAGCAATTTTCTGGCCTCAGCCTCCCAAGTAACTGGGATGACAGGCGCATACCACCACTACTGGCTAATTTTTGTATTTTTAGTAGAGATAGGGTTTTGCCATGTTGACCAAGTTGGTCTCGAACTCTTGACCTCAAGGGATCCACCCACCTCAGCCTTCCCAAAGCATCGGGATTACAGGCCTGAGCCACTGTGCGGGGCCAATGAGCTCATATTTTAACAATATTCTTCATGTAACCAGGGGTGTCCAACCTTGTGGTTTCCCTGGGCCACACTGGAAGAAGAATTGTCTTGGGCCACACATAAAATATACTGACACTAATAATAGCTGATGAGCTAAAAAATAAAAAGCTCCATGCATAATTTTCTTGATATTCGCCACCACAGATAAGCAAAGAAAGTCCTTGCATTTAAACGGCTGGTCATGGCTGATGTAAACCAAGGTTATTGCCACTTTAAACCAACAAAGCTTGGGTCTCCATTTTCTCCATAGTTTCAATTAATAAGCTAATTAAGGGGAGACAGTGTATTATTCCTGAATGAATTAGGTCCTTGCTGCTCCGTAGAAGGAGCAAAACGTTGGTGTCACACTGGAGAAAAGCCTGCAGGACTTGGAGGAGTCACCAAAGAGCCCTCTTTCTCCAGGGTGCAGCTCCCAGGGCCGCACAGCAGGCCTCGGGAACCGGATTCAGTCTCCAGGGTGCAGCTCCCAGGGTCGCACAGCAGGCCTCGGGAGCGGGATTCAGGGCCGGGGTCAGGGCCCTTCCCAGCATTCCTGCACCACCCGCGACCTGGCATCTGCAGGGGGAAGGCACCCACGCCCACGCAGCCCTCCCCACTGGCCTCTGCCCTCCTCCTCCCTCCCCAGCACTGGCCTCCTCTCCTCCTTCTCCTCATCCCAGCCTCTCCCATCTGCTCTGTGACCCAGGCCTTCAGCCTCAGTGTGAACCCATCTGAACGTCCTCCTCTGGTCAGGGAGAAAGCTCGGTGACATTCCCAGTCCCAAGGACAGCACTGGGGTCAGGGATGCTCGTGGGACCCATGACATTCCCAGTCCCAAGGACAGCACTGGGGTCAGGGATGCTCGTGGGACCCATGACATTCCCAGTCCCAAGGACAGCACTGGGGTCAGGGATGCTCGTGGGACCCATGACGCAGAGAGGCAGGTCCCTACCCACCGGGCCGTGGGCCGCTGAGCACAGAGCGTGGAGCCCTGCGGCGGGGTCGTTCCTGGGCCCCGCGTGCCATCCTGGGGTTGTGCATGGTGGCGGCGAAGGCACCCAGCGCTGGGACCCCAGCGAGGCGACCCGGGGCCACCGGGCAGGCCCAAGAGCTCCCTGTCTGCGGGCCCCTTGCTTTCCGCAGCAGCCGGCCTGTCGGTCCTCGGCGGGAGCCTCTCGTTCCCCAGCCACGGGGCCTTCCCGGGGTGCGGCCGAGTCAGGCGGAGACCCCCTGGGGTGGGTGGCGGGAGCGGGGCCGCAGCAACAGGGCGGCGTGGAGGGGGAGAAACACCTTACCCAGCCGGCGGCCCCCTCCAGCGTGCAGCTGGAACGGGAAGCTGTCTGCTCAGCCGTCAGAAGGATGCGAGAAATTACCTAGCTCCCCGCAGAGGCCTCCAGCAGCCCTCCCAGCCCAGCCCTCCGCGCGGCGATAATATGCTCCTATCAGCTGTAACAGCCCCGTGCTGGATTCAGGAGGTATTATGGATTGTACAGCAAGCATATTGCCATTAAATTAAATTTTCAGAACATTCCCCAGCTCATCACAAATACCACAGAGAGTCATCATAATCGGTTCTCAACACATGTGTAATTGCCTTCAGCTGGTGTCTCTTACAGTTGACATTGTTCGGCAGTGATAAGGTGACTGGCGATTTCAATACACAGCTTGTTTCATAGCTGCCGTAATTGAAATATGGTATGTGTGAATGGAAGATTACATTAAGACCTGGGATAATCACCTGACATGAGAGTAATTGAGTCTACAATCTGCCACTGGGTCTCTCAGGGAGGGCTGAAATGAAAAGAAGCCATTAGCAGATTACACCACTGCTGGCTGCGCCGCCGTGCCAGGCTGGCATTCCGGAGCGCGGGCGCCGCGCCACGCTGTCGAGGGCACCGTAAATGACGAGGAGAGAGGGCGAAGCCAAACACTGGAGAGGAAAAGTTGAGCTCGTCTCCCCGGGGAGAGCCGGGCAGGTTCTAGAACAAACACTCGCGCTGTATGGAAGCCCTTTGCTGCCATCTCCGCCTGGCCGTGGCATCTGTGAGCGTGGCAGAGAGGGGCTGGGCTGGCACGGCTCTCCCGCCCTTCCTCCCTCCGCCTCTCACTTTATTCCCCCCATCTCTCTCTGCCTGTGTCTGTCTCTGTCTCTCCCCCTCTCTCTCCCATTTTCTCCCTCCATCTCTCTCTGCCTGTGTCTGTCTCTGTCTCCCCCTCTCTCTCTTTATTCCCCCCATCTCTCTCTGCCTGTGTCTGTCTCTGTCTCTCCCCCTCTCTCTCTTTATTCCCCCCATCTCTCTCTGCCTGTGTCTGTCTCTGTCTCCCCCTCTCTCTCTCATTGTCTCCCTCCATCTCTCTCTGCCTGTGTCTGTCTCTGTCTCCCCCCCTCTCTCTCTCATTTTCTCCCTCCATCTCTCTCTGCCTGTGTCTGTCTCTGTCTCCCCCTCTCTCTCTTTATTCCCCCATCTCTCTCTGCCTGTGTCTGTCTCTGTCTCCCCCTCTCTCTCCCATTTTCTCCCTCCATCTCTCTCTGCCTGTGTCTGTCTCTGTCTCCCCCCCTCTCTCTCCCATTTTCTCCCTCCATCTCTCTCTGCCTATGTCTGTCTCTGTCTCCCCCCCACCTCTCATTTTCTCCCCCCATCTCTCTTTGTCTCTCTTTTCTCTGTGCCCTTCCTCTCCTCCCACCCCCAAGTCCTCTCCATCCCTTTGTCTCTGTCTGTCTCTCTCCCCCTCCTTCTCTCCCAGGGACTCTGCCTCCATCCACCCACCACCCCTGGGAGGTGCTGAGAGCCCCACCTGGAAGACTCTGAGCAAACAAACAACCCCGCCCCAGAGTCACCGGGAGCTTCCCACACAAAGTCGACTCCGAGAGAATGGAAGCCAAATCCCACTGCTTTCCAGACCTAGAGGCAAAAACCGCGTTTTCCACAGACTGTGGCGGCAACACAGGGCTGGCGTCACTGCCTCCTGGTGGAGATGCTGCTGCCAGCCTGGGCACTACTGAATGGCGGGAATGTGATGCAACCCAGCTCTAACCCCTCCTCTCAGAGCGCCTGAGGCACAAAGACCCGCTCAAAATGAACACCTGTAAGGATTGTTAGTATTTCCAACTCACCCTCAGGGTCAGCGGAGAGGAGCTACTTTTCACTGGCTCAGAGCATTCAGTTCTGCCTCAGTTACTCCAAAGACAAAGAAAGCGGCTTCCCCTTCCCCTTCTTCACGTGAGCACGACTTTGAGTCCACCCACAGGTTACAAGCTATCGAGTACCGATCAGGGCATCCCACAGGCCCACTCTAAGGACACCACACTGGTGGGCTTGGAAATCAGAAGGGGAACTGTCCACAGTTGGCCACGTTGAGGTTTTATGATCGTCTTGGGGTTAACATCATTCCTGCTAGTACAGCGTGGACACCCCGAGGACTCAGACCTGGACACGTACCCCTGCCCGGCTAGTGATTAGCCACGTGGTAGTGAGTACCCCCCTCCCCGTTTAAGGCTGTTTCTTCAACTCCAAAAATGGAGACCATCACGCCTGCCTTGTCTTCCTCCCACATGTGGTGGGAAGCGGTTAGAACACACGTACAGTCATGTGAAATCCCCCAGGAAACTCTGCACAACAGCGTGACTCCAGGACACTCATGTTTGCGATGGTTGTCACAACTGTGCTTCACTTGGTACGTGTATGTGTTTCCTTAGACCAGTCTGTTCAAGTTCACTAATTGGCACAAAATCATAGTTAATAAAAGGGACTACTTGTATTGATAAACAAACGCACGCTGACTTTGAGAGGCCCCTCCGGCCCTCTCTGGATTTTTCCCGCTTCAATCAGCATACAAGGTGGTCCTGGGGGATTCTTGACCTTGGAGAGAAGACTCGAGAGCCCTCGTCGACCCAAGACGAAAGTATTGTTGGGAAAATCCCAGGAGGACTTGAAAAGCTATTTCTCCTCCTCGAATCAGAAGTCAACAGGGCTTTCCAGTAGCCTTTGTCAAGCTGAAGATAGTAATATATCTGACCGTCCAAGCAGATTGAGTAACTCATTAACTCAGACCTCACGTGGAATACAAGGCATCATGGAAGCCCCTCAGAATACGCCCTCCTTAGCCTGGAGCTGAGGATGCTGGGACACCGCCTCAGCCGCCACCTTGGTGTTTATTGTGAGCTGCATGGGTGACGACCCAGACAAATTCTGCATCCAGGAGGAAACATAAAAATAAAAGCTTGGGTTACTCCTCTTTTTTTATGGAATTTTCTCTTCTGTATATCACTCTCTTAAGTGCGTTCTTCAAAACTTGAAAGGCCCTAGTGTTTTTTTCTGAGGAGCTGACAGTCACAACTTTAGTTTGTTTGACCATAAAGTAGCAAAGTTTTACAACATACAAAAAATACAGTAGTACCATATGACACTGTCAATATCATTTATAGCACAATTTTACACACAGGCACGAGTGTCATAAAAGAGAAATAACTTCTATCAACTGCCCTAAAATGACTTATGTCATAAATAAGTTGGATTTCTGAAAGAAAACCAATAAAGTCCTAGCAAATACAATTTTTCCCACTAAATAATCACCCTGACCTCTTCCTGTTGTATTAGCCCCCTAAAAAAACACGGGTCTTGGGAAGAAACAGTAAAATGAGTCCATTCTTGATAAGGTAAACCTCAGTCTCTTTTCTCAAAAGGGATTGGGAAAAACGATTGTCAACATGGATCCGTTGTTAGAGACTTAAATGACGGAAGCTCATTAGAATGGTGATTTTTTAATTCTTTCTATAATTAGGCATCCACAAAACACTGAGCCAGCTGCATTTTCGTCTCTTCTCCACAAGCTGATGGAGGGTCCTCACCCTGCACCCAGCCGAGCCCCTGTGTTCACTTGTCCTGGTTCACAAACACGCACACACAGGCACACACATGCAAGCACATCAGCCTTCAGACCCCCTTTCCCTGCCCAGTTGCTGGGTGACTGAGAAGTCGCTGAAGCTGAGTTCTTCCTCAGGGACCCGGTCTGGCTGTGTGGTCATTGCATGTGATGGCAGGGTCTGGACTGGTCCATGAGTAGCTGCCCCCTGACACCTGGGAGGCACCTGCCAGTGACGAGGGAGGCTGGGGCTCTTCCTGGATCCTCCAACGCTTTGATGGTGAGTGTGTTGTCTACGTGCATTCAGGCACAAAAATGCGAAGGAGTCATGCTGGTAGCCTCGCCCACAGGCCTCCTAAATCAATATTAACCATGACCAGCCAAGCATCATGCTGTTTCTATAATTCTCCTACGATAATCCAGTGCCAGTACATATGTGAATTTGAAGTTATATCTTATATACGTATATAATGTGTCATATGGGAAATATTTGAAAATGCAATAATTATTAGAAAAATTGACAAAAACTTCCAGAATTAGTGATTGATATGCATTTCCTTACAAGAGAAACATAAAACCCCTCATTTCTTCATTCAAGATGTGTTAACTTGTTAAGATGTGTGAATGCATGTTAATTTGTTAAGTTAAGAAGTTATCAACAGTGTAAAGAGATAGCCTACAGAACGGGAGAAAATATTTACAAACTATGTATCCAATGAATGTCTAATATCCAGAATCGATGAGGAACTTAAGCAGAAAACAAACAACTCCATTACAAAAATGGGCAAAGGACATGAACATGTACATCTCAAAGAAGACATCCACATGGCCAATAAGCATATGAGAAAGATGCTCAATCTCCCTAATCATTAGATAAATGCAAATCAAAACTACAACAACATACCTTCTCACACCGGTCAGAATGGCTATTATTACAAAGCCAAAAAATAGCATATACTGGCAAGATTGCAGAGAAAAGGGAACACCTATCCACTGCTGGTGGGAATGCAAATTAGCTCAGCGACTGTGGAAAGCAGTTTGGAGATTTCTCAAAGAACCTAAAATAGAGCTGCTGTTCGACCCAGCCATTTCATTACTGGGCATATAACCAAAGGAATATAAATTATTCTGCCACAAAGACACGTGCACACATATGTTCATCACAGCACTATTCACAAAAGGAAAGACAGGGAATCAACCTACATGCCCATCAATGATGGACTGGATACAGAAAATGTGGTACAATACACCCTGGAATACTATGCAGCCATAAAAAATGAGATCATGGCCTTTGCAGCAACATGAATAAAACTGGAGGCCATTATCCTAAGTGAATCAGCACAGAAACAGAAAACCACATACAACATATTCTCATTTATCTGTGGGAGCTAGACATTGAGTACACATGGACACAGAGAAAGGAACAACAGACATGGGGGCCTGTTTGAGGGTGACAGGTGGAAGAAGGCTGAGGATTGAAAAACTACCTGCTGCATATTCTACTAACTACCTGAGTGACAAAACCATCTGTACACCAAATCCCCACAGCATGCAATGTAGTCATGGAACAAACTTGAAGCTATGCCCTGAACCTAAAATAAAAGTTAGAAAAAAAAAAGAAAATTAACTGGATTGATGCTTAGAGCCAGAACATTTTTTTAAAAAAGAAATTAAATTAGATTTCTTAATTTAAGACGTGAATATCACATATTTCTATTGTCCTGGTCTGGACAAGTGTGGGAAAGATGGGTTTAAAGAGAATCACCCTGCTAAGTCAGTTATATTTTGTATTTATTTTTAAATCTATTTTATGTTTGATTTTATAAGAACTATTTTTGTTAGACTTTTTTATTATGAAAAGTGTCTGTTTCATTAAGTATAAAACATGAATAAGAGCCCGGGAATGCGCACTGAGGTCTTGTATCTTCCTCCAACTTGCTACACTTTGTCTTTATCCACAATAACAAATGTAATAATAAAAGTGTGATAAGGTTCACAGAGGTAAGGATATAAAGGTGTGAGTATATGTTGTTTTATATTCGCCAGCTTAGTTTACTTCTCAGATCACTTTTTAGTTCAAATGTATAAATATTGAGAGAAGAGATTCTTGGAGATTTTACTTCAGGGTCTCCTGCCTTACGAGGAAAGGTCTCAAAAGCATACGCCTCCCATCTTAACTCCTGAATTCAGAGAGTGCAGAGGGAACTCCAAGCCAACTTCCATCATGTTGGGGGATCATGACTTTAGAAGATCCTTGCAACATTATGAGAAATTCACTAACAGGATTGGAAGAGGCATTTCATGTTAAATTTAAAATCACAGCTTTTGTTGTCAACACTTGGCCTACATTTGAAAACATGGAAACTGCCCTGCTGAGCGGAGACCATTTGACATCCTCAAGCAGGGCACTGGGGGTCACTGAGTGAGTGTAACCTCTTCGTCCTTCCTGTCCACAGTGGGCACGTGGGAAATGGCTACCAAATAAACGCATGAACTGGGATAAAAGTCTTAGGAATATTTTCTCTTACTTGAAATAAATCGTTTTTAGCATTGAGAAAACCAAGCAACTTCAGGATGAAAAAAATAAATACTAAACTCAGCAGGCCTGTGTGTCACTCTGGTAGGCTGGCAATTTAAATACTGCACATCAATCCAGCCATCAGTGTGCAGCTCTACTTTGAAAGTGATGGCGTTTGTCAATGCAGCCATCAATGTGCCGCTCTACTTTGAAAGTGATGGCGTTTGTGATGGCTGGTTTTGTCCGTGAAAGAGAGAGTGAGCACGTTTTGGCAAAGCTTCCTGAAGGTTTCTGCTGTGGGTTTGCCTTGGCACCACAAAGCAAACGTTACATCTTTCCTGCTTATTTACCTGCAGCTGAATGAAAAGGAGCACTAAAGTACAACATCCCCCAAAAGAAAGGATCCTGTGATTTGGGATAAGGTAATATATTTTTCTTGAATCTGCATTTGTGTACACACAGTTAATTTTGTAATTTTTTTATTTACTTATGTATTTCACAAAGCAAAGATGACCAGAAACCATATTCTCATCCTGCTGAATTTTAAAGATTTCACATAATTTTGTTTTTTTTTGTTTGTTTTTTGTTTTGAGACTGAGTCTCGCATTTGTCACCCAGCCTGGAGTGAAATGGTGCAATCTCAGCTCACTGCAACCTCTGCCTCCTGGGTTCTAGCAATTCTCCTGCCTCAGCCTCCTGAGTAGCTGGGATTACAGGTGTGCACCACCCCATCTGGCTAATTTTTGTATTTGTAGTAGAGATGGGGTTTCACCATGTTGGCCAAGCTTGTCTGGCACTCCTGACCTCAGGCGATCCACCCACCTCAGGCTCCCAAAGTGCTGGGATTACAGGCGTAAGCCACCTCGCCCGGCCATAATTTCACATAGTTTAAGTCATCAAATTAAAGTTAACAGTTATGTTGACAAGCCACTCTCAGATTCTTCTCTGGGCAGTATTGTCAAACTGCCATGAGAGCAGTGGTGTGAGTGTCTTCACCGCAGTAACGAGAGCAGTGGTGTGAGTGTCTTCAGAGCAGTAACGAGAGCAGTGGTGTGAGTGTCTACACAGCAGTAACGAGAGCAGTGGTGTGAGTGTCTTCACAGCAGTAAGGAGAGCAGTGGTGTGAGTGTCTTCACACCAGTAACGAGAGCAGTGGTGTGAGTGTCTACACAGCAGTAACGAGAGCAGTGGTGTGAGTGTCTACACAGCAGTAACGAGAGCAGTGGTGTGAATGTCTTCAGAGCAGTAACGAGAGCAGTGGTGTGAGTGTCTTCACAGCAGTAAGGAGAGCAGTGGTGTGAGTGTCTTCACAGCAGTAAGGAGAGCAGTGGTGTGAGTGTCTTCACAGCAGTAAGGAGAGCAGTGGTGTGAGTGTCTTCACAGCAGTAACGAGAGCAGTGGTGTGAGTGTCTTCACAGCAGTAACGAGAGCAGTGGTGTGAGTGTCTTCAGAGCAGTAACGAGAGCAGTGGTGTGAGTGTCTTCACAGCAGTAACGAGAGCAGTGGTGTGAGTGTCTTCACAGCAGTAACGAGAGCAGTGGTGTGAGTGTCTTCACACCAGTAACGAGAGCAGTGGTGTGAGTGTCTTCAGAGCAGTAACGAGAGCAGTGGTGTGAGTGTCTTCACAGCAGTAACGAGAGCAGTGGTGTGAGTGTCTTCACAGCAGTAACGAGAGCAGTGGTGTGAGTGTCTTCACAGCAGTAACGAGAGCAGTGGTGTGAGTGTCTTCACAGCAGTAACGAGAGCAGTGGTGTGAGTGTCTTCACAGCAGTAACGAGAGCAGTGGTGTGAGTGTCTTCAGAGCAGTAACGAGAGCAGTGGTGTGAGTGTCTTCACAGCAGTAACGAGAGCAGTGGTGTGAGTGTCTTCACAGCAGTAACGAGAGCAGTGGTGTGAGTGTCTTCACACCAGTAACGAGAGCAGTGGTGTGAGTGTCTACACAGCAGTAACGAGAGCAGTGGTGTGAGTGTCTTCACAGCAGTAACGAGAGCAGTGGTGTGAGTGTCTTCACAGCAGTAACGAGAGCAGTGGTGTGAGTGTCTACACAGCAGTAACGAGAGCAGTGGTGTGAGTGTCTTCAGAGCAGTAACGAGAGCAGTGGTGTGAGTGTCTTCACAGCAGTAACGAGAGCAGTGGTGTGAGTGTCTTCACAGCAGTAAGGAGAGCAGTGGTGTGAGTGTCTTCACACCAGTAACGAGAGCAGTGGTGTGTCTTCACACCAGTAACGAGAGCAGTGGTGTGAGTGTCTTCACAGCAGCAACGACAGCAGTGGCGTGTGTGTCTTCACGGCAGCCTGCTGCTCACGTGCTTGCGGCAGTGTCGGCCACTGAAATGATTGTTCATCCTGTCTGTCACGTGATGCCTTGCTTTGAAGGGTATCAGCACTGTCGAATTTACATTGTGTCCTCACGGTGTTTCCCTCTGGCATTACACAATTCTGTGCATACTGAAAAGACCCGCATGCCTATTGCTATGCTTACACAGTTTGCTTCAACTTTATTATACATTGTCAGATAACACAGAAATGGATATGTAGTATTTCACGGTCTAAAAAAATGATTAACAACTGGGAGGACATTTATTGCCATCAAAAGTAAACCTCCTTGGCTAGAAAAAAGAAAAGAAATGGACTCTCCTTTGATGTCTCCAGGTGACTTTGCGTAAGTGTTTTCAGCACAGGACTTTCCTCTCATCTGCTACCCAGGCTGAATCAGACGTGGACTTCCACCTGCCACCATGTGGACGTAAGTTAATGTAAGGACGCTCCCACTGCAAACCTCATACACACTGGATAGAGCAGCACCAACACACTTTCAACAAGCGATGCCATGTGCGTAAAACAGGGCGAGTGTCGAGAAATAAACTGGCTGTTGAAATCCTGCACGGGGAGCTTGTGAGTTAGCTCTGCACCGGTCCTGGGGAGGGTATGAGAGGTTGCCCAGAGAAGCTGGGAGATGCTGACCTGAGCACTCACGAGTCAAGGAAGTGGAACGGGGGCCCCAAAGAAACAAGAAATAAAACCTGTCTGTTCAGTACAGGGAGAGAACATTTTGGGGGATTGGTAACCACAGTCTGAACCACACGTAGCTTTGGGGGTCAAGTTTGTAACACACGTAGTCTGAACCCCCCACCCCATGTTAATGAGTTGACACAAATCATGGTGCCTGGCTGATTCAACGATCTGAGCACTTGGAGAGACTCTCTGAATCCGAGTCTCACGCATGACCCACAGCTCATATGTCGTGGAAGAAGAGCTCATTGTCAAATACTGTGAGGCTCCAGAGGAAGCGGTCTAGGAAGAATGAAGTCAGCTGACTCAATCACTGGAAGGGTTACAGCCTCCTCCCCGACAACCCGTGAGAATGGATAGAAATGAAGGAGTCATATGAATATTGAGGAAATAGCGAGGCAGTAGTCAATATTTCCACAGAGGAGCTTGATGCCCAGCTCTACAAGAAGGAACAGCTGAGGAGGCCCACTTACTGCCACCCTTAGGGCCAGGACAAAGGGAAGAGGGTGGGGTCATCAGAGCCTCAGAGTTTGGAGGAGGGACCACGTGGAGCAACCCTCAGGCCTGCGTCCAATCTGTCTGTCCAACACAGGACTGTTGGGCCATGCACTCTGGCACCGGCCCAGCAGTGCAAAGCCCAGGTGACTTTGAGTAAGTGTTTTCAGCAGTTTGAGTAAGGTTTGTAGTGGGAGCATCCTTCATTACCTTACGTCCACGTGGTGGCAGGTGGAAGTCAGCGTCTGATTCAGCCTGTGCAGCAGATGAAAGTCCTGTGCTGAAAACATTTACTCAAAGTCACCTGGGCTTTGAGCTGCTGGGCCCATGCCGGAGTGCATGGGTCTGGCCTGGGAAGGCTGGGAGGGCTAGAGGCTGGGCAAGCGGCTGGAGCCACCCTGGAAGCCACAGCTTGCAGATGGAGGAGCACGCCCACCCCTCCTGCAGCTCCTCAATCTCTCCAGGGTTCCTGCCGGAAGACTGCTGCCACAGAAGATGTAACTTTAAACTCTAGCGTCCCAGAGTAGAATATAAAGAGTGGGTTGGAGCTGAGATACCATAGGTATGTGTCTCACACATCATGAACGAGACAGTGGGAAACAGGGATAGAATAAAAATGCCCAATGAACAAAGCATGTGATTTCTAGAAAAGAAGATGAGAGACCCCAGAAGAGACACTATTTAAAATAAGATGAAGGCTAAGAATGCATTTTGAAATGATGAAAGACAGCAAATCCCTTCATCACAAGCAGAACAAACAAAAATAAATCTACTCTTAGACATGTCTGTCACATGGATGCCACAGAACTCCAGAGACAGAGAAGGTCCTTAAAAGCAGCATGAGAGAAAAGGTGATTTCCAGGAAGGGAACAGTATTTAACAGGAAGCTGACTTCTCAAAAGCAACGGCTGAAGCCGGAGACAGGTTATTAGTATTTCCAAAGTGGTAAGGAAAATTCACCCCGAGCCTGGAATAGGCTACTCAGCTAAATTATTATTAACAGGTGAGGGTGAAAAATTGTATTTCCAGGAAACAGCAATGACCATATAAGTAGCCGACATTCCCAAAGCACTCCGTATGCACAGATTCTGCTCCAGATGTTTACATGGAGCACGCCTTCCATTCACAGGAAAGGAACCACTCTCATCCCCACTTTACGGATGACAAAATCTAAGTATAAAAGCCTAAATAATTTTCCAAAGTTTACGGATCTAATAGGACTAAGATGTTTACTACTAACACCCAATGAAGACAACTCCCAAAGGATTTATCATAGAGAAGGAAACTGATTTCAGAGAAATAAAATAGGATGATAAAGAAAGGAATAATGATCAAGAAAATGTGCAAGTAGATGAGTTCATCTTGGTAAGCTCTAACTACATAAAACAATGTTGGTAACAATGATGATGACTGTTTGGAGAGTATAAACACAGGTAGAACTCAAATACTAGATAATAAGATTTAGTACAAGAGAACGATCAGAATTAGAGAATTTGGAGGTTAAGTATTGAGAGAGGAGGTGGAGCTATTGCTTATATTTAAACCTGGTTGGGTCAAGAATATTTTTAAATATTTAAGGTAAACCACTAGACAAATAAAGATATAATGTATAACTACATTATACATGGAATAGTAGGTAAGAAATTCTAATTATATAAAAAGCTTGTGAGCTATTTCAATATTACACAATAGACCTCAATATTAAAAATGGTTACTATTGAATGATAAATGGAACACTTCACTAAGAAGATATAATCATTCTAGTTTCCTTTACCTTGTAATAGCTTCTAATACATAAAGAAAAGTAACAGATACAAAGAAACATTGAAACCTCTATAATCACAGTAGTATAATTTATCATTCTTTTGTTGATAACTGATAGGTGTAATAGACCCAAAAAATGGTGTATCTAGAGGAGACTTCAACAAAACATTTATCAGACTTGATTTAATGGACATGCCTAAAGCATTGTACTCAACAATTGAAAAAATGCACAATCTTTTCAGGCATACATAGAATATTTATAAAATTGATTATGTACTTGGCCAAAGAATTGATAAAATACAAAGCACATTCTACCAAACAATCTAATAAATCAAAAATTAAAAATGTCATTTATTTGGAATTTAAAAATTCACTTGTAAGTAACTTAGAAGCACCACAGCAATAAGAAAGATCATGGTGGAAATTAGAAAACACTTAGAATAGAATGACAGTGAACATTTAACCAAAACTTTTTATATGTACCTAAAGCAGTACTGAAAGGGAAACGTAGCTATGGAAGTTTATTTCAGGAGTCTGTAGCCCAGTGTACAACTCAAGCCATAGAAACCTCATCACAGGAAAAATAAAGGCAAAGAAAGTGGAAGGTAAGCAGTACGGTAGCTCAGAATAAAACTCAGTGAAATGGAAAACAAACAAAAATCAAGAATGATAAATTTATCCTTTGCATCATTAAATTATCACACCTCGTAAAAGATTGATCAAGGTTCTGGATATTAGACCTTTGTCAGATGGTAGATTGCAAAAGTTTTCTCCCATTCTGCAGGTTGCCTGTTCACTCTGATGATAGTTTCTTTTGCTATGCAGATGCTCTTTAGTTTAATTAGATCCCATTTGTCAATTTTGGCTTTTGTTGACATTGCTTTTGGCATTTTCGTCTATGCCTATGTCCTGAGTGGTATTGCCTAGGTTTTATTCTAGGGTTTTCATAATTTTGGGTTTCACATTGAAGTCTTTAATTCATCTTGAGTTAATTTTTGTATAAGGTGTAAGGAACTTAAACAAATTTACAAGAAAAAACAAACAACCCCATTTGAAAGGGGGCAAAGTATATGAAAAGACGCTTCTCAAAAGAAGACATTTACATGGCCAACAAACATATGCAAAAAAGCTCAACATGACTGATCATTAGAGAAATGCAAATCAAAACCACAACAAGATAACATCTCACGTGAGTTAGAATGGTGGTTATTAAAAAGTCAAGAACCAATAGATGCTGGTGAGGCTGTAGAGAAATAGGAATGCTTTTACACTGTTGGTGGGAATGTAAATTACTTCAATCATTGTGGAAGACACTGTGACAATTCCTCAAGGATCTAAAACCCAAATACCATTTGACCCAGCAATCCCATTACTGAGTGTATACCCAAAGGAACATAAATCATTCTACTATAAAGACACATGCACAGCTATGTTTATTGCAGCACTAATTGCAATAGCAAAGAGATGGAACCAACCCAAATGCCCATTAATGATAGACTGGATACAGAAAATGTGGTACATATACACCATGGAATACTATGCAGCCATAAAAAAGAATGAGATCATGTCCTTTGCAGGGACATGGATAAAGCTGGAAGGCATCATTCCCAGAAAACTAACACAGTAACAGAAAACCAAACACCACATGTTCTCACTCATAAGTGGGAATTGAACAATGAGAACACATGGACAAAGGGAGGGGAACAACACACACTCGGGCCTGTCATGGGGTTGGGGGAGAGGGGAGGGATGGCACCATGACAAATAGCTAATGCATATGGGGCCGAAACCTAGATGACTGGTTGATAGATGCAGCAAACCACCATGGCACATGTATACCTATGTAACAAACCTGCACGTTCTGTGCATGTATCCTAGAACTTAAAGTAAAAAAAAAAAAAGATATTTTTAATAAGAAAAAAAAAAAAAAAAGATTGATCAAGGAAGAAAAGAAAGCATAGAAAAACCACTGTTAGGTATGAAACACAGACACACACACATACACACACACACGCGCTGACAGCAGAGGTTTGATCCATTATAAGGGAATAAAATACATACTTGTATGTCAAGAAATCTGAAAGTTTAGATTAAAAAGGCAATACCTAATAAATCTGTAACTTCGTACACAATTGAGAACAATTACAAAATTTAATTGGATTTAAAAATCATTACAAAAATAACATTTTCTATTAAAAATCTACCACCAAAACAACAAAACCCCCAATAAAATAAACACACACATAGCAAAAACCAACCAGCTACTCAGAAAGTCTTACAGAGGACTTCTACCAAATATTCAAGATACAGATTATGCAAATCTACATCTCTCTGTCTCAGAGAATGGGAAAGGGGGATTCCTTAGCTCATTTTATGCAGTCAGTGTAACCTTTATGCCAAACTCATTCAAAAACAGGATGACAGAGGGAAACTATAGGCCAATGTTGATTAATAAACATAGATGCAGACATCCTAATTAAAATATCAATACATCCAGCTTGTTTTCTTTTAAAAAGTTACATCATGACCAAATTAGGTCCATTCCAGAGATGCAAGAATGGCTTAATATAAATAATCTACTAATATAATTCACAACTCTGATAAATTAAAGGAGAAAAATCTAAAATTACCTATTGAGTTATACAAATAATTGTTAAAATTTAAACTTTGATCAAATTAATCATGCAAAAAATAATGAAATATACAGAACTAGAGGAAAAATCCTCAGCCTAATAAATGTTAACTACCAACTTTAGTTAACTACCCTACACCAAGATTGCAATAAAGTTTTGGTAGTTAACATTTATTAGTTAATAAATGTAATTAGTTAATAGAGAAATATTTTCAGCATTCTCTTTAAAATCATACAAAATGAGATTAGTCATTATTATGACTTCAGTATGTGCTGGAGAAGGAAACCTGCTCACTAAGTAAAACAAAGAAAAGGTTTATGCACTGGAAAGAATGAAAAAAAGTGTTATTTTGAGGTGATATGACACTCTAGGGTCAAGAGATTCTACAAACAAGTTATTAGAAATAAGTCAGGTGCAGTGGCTCATGCTTGTAATCCCAGCACTTTGGGAGGAGGCTGAGGTGAGCAGATCACTTGGGTCCAGGAGTTCAAGTCCAGCCTGGGCAACATGGTGAGATCCCCATCTCTACAAAAAATACAAAAAAGAAAAAGAAAAGTTAGTCAGGCATGGTGACACATGCCTGTAGTCCCAGGTACTCAGGGGTGCTGAGTCAGGAGGATTGCTTGAGCCTAGGACGTCGAGGCTTCAGTGAGCTATGATCATACCACTGCACTCCAACCTGGGTAACAAAGCGAGACTCTGTCTCGAATTTTTTTTACAAAAAGAAATAATAAGACAGTTCTGGAACTGTAGTGCTATAAACCATCTATAAACAATTAAGAGGTCAACTTTAAAAGTCTAATTTACAGTAACATTATAATTAGGAAATAACTAAGAATAAATCAAAAATAGCTTTTTTAAGTAAAGCATTATTTGAAACATTACAATATCTGAACAAATGAAGAGACGCACGATGCTTCTTCATGGTGCCATATAGTGTATGTACATGTGCTGGAACCCCTAAAAAATATTCAGCAATATTCACTGCAGACCCATTATGTCCTGGTGTTCCAGGTGACGAAAATGCAGCTACAATCTATATCTTTTAGGAAAAACACCCCACATGTGCAACAGTCACCCCTACAAAATTATGCATAACATTATTTGCGATTATTTTTTAAGTACATTTCTATCAAAAGCAGAATCAATCAATGCTGTTAGATTTGTATGATGATGTACTACATAGGATTAAAAAGCAGTGAGTTCCAGCGCTACCTGCATCGACCTGGACAATTATCAGAAGTACTGTAAAAACAGAACGTGGGTGAACTAATCACATTTATAAAAAATTTACAAACACTTAAAATCTTACTACATCATTAAGGGATATATAGATGTGTAGTGCAAAATTTATATTGTAGTTGGGACTCAGAATCACCGAAGTTCAGGAGAGGCTACTCTGGGGTGAAAGAATTAAAATTGAGGATGAGAACACACAGATATGCAATTATCTGTTTTATTATCTGAAAAGTAAAAATAAAGATGGAAAGGAAAATATCACAAGAAAATATAGCAGAATATTATATTTAACAAAGCTGGAGTTGATTATGTCCTATTATTTACTATACTTTTTTGTAAACTTGAAACAATGTTTAATAAGGAGAAGGAAGGAAGGGAATGGAGATGAAGGGAAAGAGGAGTCATGGGGAGGGGGCCAAGGATGAGACTGAAGAGATAAAGTCAGGAACCAGATGGTACAATGACCCTCAGCACATGGTTCAGAAAGAAGAGTGTTTTATACTGCAGTTGATCCAGTGCTGAAAACCTCTCCATCACAGTGACTTGGGTTGCATTTTAGATTTTCTTAGTCATTTTCTTCTTCTACTTTACACCCATAAAGATCGGAGGCTTCTTTGAGGAGAGAACATTCATTTAAACTAGGCCTTCTTTATTCAACAAATATTCAGCGTGCTACTATGTGACAGGCTCTGGTCTAGCCAGCAAGGTCAGGGCTGAGCAAGGAGACCAGAGTTCCCGCCAGCAAGCGAGCTCCGCAATAGACGAGAAAACCGTGGTTTCACAAGTCAGCTGCAGAGAGCGCCAGCCACGTGCAGCCGCCGGACTGTGGTGATGCTACTAAGAATACAAGGTAGGCAGCTGGGAAAGACTTCTCCAAGAAGTTGACACTTGGCCTTGATCCTGAAGATAAGAATCGGCCATAAAAGTTACTAGGGAAGATCATCCAAGCCAAAGAAAAGGAAAATGCCAGCCCCTTGAGAGGATGTGAGCCACAGCCGAGTCGGCCTAAGAAAGGGGCTGAAGGCCAGGAAGGCTCCCCAGGAGCAAGCAGGGAAGAGCACTGTGGGAGAGAGGCCAGCAGGCAAGTAAAGAGGTGATGGGGGACCCGGGAGCAACAGTGAGGAGTTCCACCTGAGTTGTAACAGCAGTAAGCAGCCTTGAAGGTCTTCATAGTTGAGAAAGAGTTCCATAGGTAGAGATGGGAGAAAAGAAAGGACCAAAGAATGAGAATGGCAGGAACCCCCGTGGGGAGCTGGCCAGAGCCCATGGTCCTGCCTGGCTAGAGCCTGGGCAGTCAGCAGAGATGCAGAGAAAAGGCATTTGCAAAACAGGCGGGGTCCAGACATCATGTACCATAACCCGCATGCCTAATTAAAAATGCAATATGAAAATGGGATTAAACTTTAATTAGGCGGATTCGTTGAGCTGTTTTTGAAAATCTTAGAAAATTTTAATTCTGGAGGGTATTGCACAACCACCTCATTTTTCAAATGGAGAAACAAGAGCATAAAGAGGACAGTGATTCACACACACACAAAGATGATTTTGGATCAGTGAGGGAGATTCTAAGACATATAGTCACCACGCACCCAGCACTTGTCACCACGCACCCAGCACTTGCTCCCGCTCAGCACTGTTCTGTCTTCATCTCTGTTAAGCAGCTCGGGCCTCACGGCGACCAGGTGAAGGAGACGCTGCTTTGCTTGCCATTTTTGCAGATGGGGAAACTCAGGTCCCAGAGGACTGGGTCAAAGTCTCCTAGGTGGCAAGTGATAAATCTAGGTAGATGGGAGGCGCTTAGCCATTAGTCTTCTCACATGAGTTATTTCCTTCTTCTTTTATGAAAATAAATACCCTGGAATGTATTTTCAGGAGCAAAGACTGAATCTAAAAGGCCAACATCATGTATTTACTTGATCAGTTCACCAAACGTCCCACTTAAATTAAAAATCAGGCATTTTTTGGCATTGTGCAGTCTAACAAAAAAAAAAGACTAGACTGAAGTTTTAACTGGTTGTGAAAGTAATGTAGACGTAGCCTGGCACACACAGAGAAAAGTGTTCACATAGAATTTATCCTCAGCGCCATCTGGGAAACCTCAGTGAGATTTATTTCAGAGTTATAAAAAGATACAGGAACATAATGGATCTTTGCCAAACTCAAAAAATGAGCTTTGCTTTCATAGTTACTCTCCCACTGGGTGTCTTCCTCCATATCAGGGCACATTCTTTATTCTGGTAGGACCTTCAGGTAGCATTTACCAGGCGAACTCAGTAACAGCTGCTGGGAGAAGGGTCTTCCCATCCTTAAACAATGATGTTTCCTAAACATCACATCAGTCAAGAGGCTAATCCCGATGTGGGGTCCACTGTAGCCAAACCCCATACCAGCCTACAAAGGCAGAGCTAACAGTATGCAGCTGCTTCTCCCAATTCCAGAAACAGCAGATATGACATATATAACATTTTAAGAAAACGTGTGTGTGACTGCTTTTTACAACAGAGAGTAAGGATCTGTCCACTTTCCATTTTGATATCAGTTACATCTTGCTGGATGACTTCTAATCTGGAGACAACCAAGTTATTTCAGAAATCTGAATCTGACCCCGTGACAATTGGGGCAGCTGTGTGTAACATGAGTAAATCAGGTGTACAATATGCCCAAGAAAATGGGTGGCTGCAAAACTGCTTGCATATTTAAATTATTTATCAGTAGCAGTGATAAAGCAAATAATAATAGTAATAATGCCTTATTAGCCTGAGAAACAAAGACAAGGGATATAACACATGGGGTTTTTTTGCCACAGTGCAAATGACTGCAAGAGAAAAACGAGGGTTACTGAGCAGGCAAAAAAGATGCTGACGCTCAGGGTCAGGAGAGCTGGCACCCCTGCACCTGCTGCTGGAGACACTGCCACACTCAGCTCTTTGTCCCCAGGGCAGGGTAGCTTCCAGCCAGTGGGCCAATAAAACGATAGTGCTGACTCCGCCACCCAAACTGTCTCAGTCTGGATCCCTAACACCCCTGCTGCTGCCAAGCCAACCACCAGCACCTGTCCACAAGGCGGCAGCAGAGCAGGAAGTGTCTCCCCTCCTGCCTTTCCATCTTCCTATTGGCAGATCCTAACAAGGGCCAACTGGCAAGGGAGCCAGTGATAGGAAGTGCTGACCCCACCCAGCAGTAGAGAGCAGAGCCCCCAGGGCAGGGGTTTCAGGGACAGCAGGTAAATGGGCAGCAGACAAACCCAATGTGTTCACCACTCACTGTGTGGCACACACCACATGGGCTCTAATTCATTCAGTCCTCCAAGCTGTTCTGTGCTGGGCGCTGCTGTTACTCCCATTCTAAAGTCGAGAAAGTTAAGTCAGAGGAAAATCCATTTTCCCAAGTCCCCACAGCTAGTCAGTGACTGAAGCAGAACCAGACGCATAGTGCTCAAGTCCAGCACCAGCCTGCCTGGTCTTAATGTCTGTTCCTATTTTCTCAATTAAAACTTAATTATTCTCTTGGCACCCAAATCATGGTTTCTAATAGGATTCTCCAATAAAAGAAAGAGGGGCTCTCTGGAGAAATGGCTGATTGTAGGGCTTCAGCAGCAAAGATGAGCCTGGAGTATCTTATGATGCCAGAAAGCAGGGAAGTGCTAAGCACACACACAAAACCACACACACACAGCCATACACAACCACAAACACACAACCATGCATAACCGTACACAACCCCACACAACCATACACAAAGCCGCACAATCATACAAAGCACACACAACTACACATACAACCATACACAACCATATACACAACCACTCACACACAATCATATACAACCATACACAACCCCACACACAACCCCACACTATCATACACAACCCCCCCACACTATCCCACATCATACAAAACACACACAATCACACACACAACCATACACAACCATATACACAAAACCACTCACAACCACACACAACCATGCACAAGCCCACACACACAACCTCATGCAATCATACAAATCACACTCAACCACACACACAACCATGCACAACCAGACACAGCCACACACAACCATACACCACCATAGATACAAAACCACTCACACACAAACACACAACCCCACACAACCATACACAATCCCACACACAACCCCACACAATAATACAAATCACACACAACCACACACACAACCATACACAACCCCACACACACACTAACCCAATCATACAAATTACACACAACTACACACACAAACATACACACCCAGCCACACACAATCATACACAACCAGATATGCAAAATCACACACACCATACACAACCCCACACACACAATCCACCACAACCATATGACACACAACCCCACACACAATGACAAACAACCACACACAACCCTACACAAGCGCACACAATGACAACCACACACAACCACTCACACACAACCACAGACATACAACAGCATGCAACCACACACAACCATACACACAAAACCATACCCAACCACACACAACCATGCACACACAACCATTCCCACACAACCACACCCAACCATACACAAACACACACAGATAACCATACACAACTTCACACACGCACAGCCACACACAACTACACGCACATAAGTGACTATTGATGGGGACATGCCAAGGGGACACAGAGGCCAACTGGATGGGCTGGGACAGTTTGAAGAGGGGACAAATCAAGAAGCATCAGATCGTCACCCTTGTAGACAATAAATACCCTTGATTCCACACACAGAGAAGTCAATGATGGAGTAGGCAGGTGAACGGGAGAACAGACACACCTCCCAGGTAGAAGAATTCCAAAAGTGAGTGCTGCCCTCTGTCCTCAGGGAGCTGACTCATCACTCCCCACCCTTTAAATGCCTTCCCTTCAAATCGTCCCATGTGGAACAGGGTCGGGGGCGGCTGCACCTGACACACCCCACCTGAGCAAGTGAGTAAGGTCAGCAGAGATACGACACATTGCTAGACGCAGCCTCCGCAGGATGTGATGAGAACGGCGCCTCAGCTCCGTGGTCTTCCTCCCCCAGCACATGACCCCGATCTACTCATGAGGAAATCATCAGACAAACTCAAATAGAGGGACAGTCTACAAAATACCCAACCAGTACATCTCAAAACTGTCAAGGTCATCGAAAACAAGACAAGACTGGACACTGTCACCCTGAGAGGTGCCCAGGGGGAGGGGTTAACTGCACAGTGATGTCCTGGTTGGGACCCTGGGACAGAAGGAGGGCTTCAGGAAAAAACTAAGGAAATGCGATGTTAATCATGCTGTATCAATACTGGTGTATTAACCCCAGCAGATGTGCCACACTAATGCAAGATGGTAATATTAGGAAAACTCTTTACTCTGCAATTTTTTCTGTAAATTTAAAAATATTCTAAAAGTAAACATTTATTTTTAAAAACTTAAATACTGAAATTTTACCCTAAAGCAATGGATGCTGCACATTTCCCACGACATTTTAACTGGTAATGGAGAAAGAGATAAATTTACCACTTATTAATTTTACCTAAAAAACACCTGCTTATGTGTCATAAAACACAGGACACAAACCTGCCTACGTCACATACACAAAGCCTGTTACTCGCCTGCACACAGCCACACCTATGCCTGCGGCGTATGAGCCTCCCCTGCAAGACGGCCTTCATGTGTTGGCCCAGCGTGGGACTGGCCAGGTGACACCGTGGGCAGCCCTGGAACCACTCCGCTTCCTTCCCAACCAACAGCACATATGTCTGTGACTCAATCCCACCCCACCCACCCAGTCAGCTCCCTCAATTCCTCTCCTTCCAGGGGGTGTGGTCACAGACGAGGGACCTGCAGTCCCTGACTCCCCATCGTAGGGCTGTCTGATAAAAGGAGGAGTTTTATGACAAATAATCATTATCTCTCAAAAAGTATTCTCCTTAGAAATACGACATAGACCGTTCCCTGCGCTACATGCTCTTTTTTTTTTTTTTTTGAGATGGAGTCTCCCACTGTCACCCAGACTGGAGTGCAGTGGCACGGGCTTGGCTCACTGCAACCTCCACCTCCCGGGTTCAAGCGATTCTCCTGTCTCAGCCTCCTGAGTAGCTAGGATCACAGGCACCTGCCACCACACCCAGCTAATTTTTGTGTTTTTAGTAGAGACGGAGTTTCAGCACTTTGGCCAGGCTGGTCTCAAACTCCTGACCTCGTGATCTGCCCACCTTGGCCTCCCAAAGTGCTGGGATTACAGGCTTGAGCCACCACGCCCTGCTCGCCACGTGCTTTTAAGACGTTATTTCTCACTGTCCCCACGGATGCTGGCTATGAAGTGTGCGTGGGGTGCAGCTTTATGGAACACAACGGCATCAGTGTAGACAACAGCAGGTCATTTTGTGTCCACTTGTTTTGAAAGAATGAGACTGAGGAATGTGAAGAGGTTACAAAAGCTTTTGAAATAGAGACATTTACATTTCAAACAAAAGTTTTTAAAAGAAGAGAGGAAACTGGAACAATATAGCCATTCTTGTTGCCTGAGACCATCACCTGAGAAGTGAAACTCAGGACAAATATCCGAGTTTGTTTTTAATTATATTTGTTTCTGTGGTAACAACCTCTTTGACTTTTATTCCTCTTCATATTGATTGGCCATTTCGGTATAACGCAGACATAGCTGACATCTTCCCCAAACCTGCCTCTCAAAGTTATAATACACGCCGGATCCTGTCCCGGTCCAGTTACCCAATGTCACGCCGAGTAAATTATTCATTGCTACAGAACTGATGAAACGCAGAGCTCAGGCAGCCTCAACTTGAGAAGTTTTGTGGGGTGTAGGTTTTCAGCTAAGAACCCTGCCCCCGCAGTCCTGATCAGTTCAACACACATTGACCATTTTGCCCACCCCAGAACCGGATGTCATTACTTTGCTCGGTGTGAACGCTAATCCTTACCATTAAATAAGATGCACTTACTCTTCTCCAACATTAGCTTCACCGCGTCCCCTTAAATAAGAAGAGACTAAAGATCCCAAAATGCCCCAAAGTTATTCTCCGAAGACAATGTTGTGCATGACTTATCCTAGATCAATCACCATTGAAGGTCGCCTGTCCTATTTGGCAATATTTGCTCAGTAACTAATAAAGATCAGCCTGCAGTTATTTATATTAGGTTATCATCTCTCCAGGGTGAAGCTTAATCCATTTTGCAATGTTTTTCCCAACAAGACAACATGAGTTTCTTCGTCTGAAAATGAATTAAGTGCATGCTTTCTAAATATGGGATCTGACATTGTTCTTGTTACAAAAAGCAATTTATTCCCCAAAAGGCTTACACTTCAAAGGTTATATAAAAAGGTTCAAATATCAATGCTATCCATTTTTCAATTACTGGGCTTCCTAACACCACTAGCTTTCGGACAGATAAGCAGTGGTATCAGTTTTCTTATTCACCATCTTATAGGTTTCCAATTCCACAGCACAGAGAAAGCAAATTTATTGTAATACATTTAGCCGCTTTGGAAACAGGAGTATCCGGACTGTTTCCTCCAAGACTATAGAAGGTATCAAATAGCATCTTAAAGGGATATTTATGAAGTGCTAGATACTAATGATTGCAATTGCAGATAGAGCCTTAAGTGTCTACCTATAAACAGACTCATATACAGAAGGGTAAGGTGGCTGGAGGAAAACTCCTTTCATCGTATGAAAATGAAGGAGCCGTGAAAACCATCCAGACCCTCCTAAGAGAGAGTCCACAGACATGTGTGTTTTCCTATGAGGAAAAAAAACATCCTTTCCTCTTCTGTTGTGCTATCAGATAAGATGAAATTATGTTGTGCATATTTTCTTTCTGACAATTAAAAAGAAATCTTCCAGCACTTTGGGAGGCCGAGGCGGGTGGATCATGAGGTCAGGAGATCGAGACCATCCTGGCTAACAAGGTGAAACCCCGTCTCTACTAAAAATACAAAAAATTAGCCGGGCGCGGTGGCGGGCGCCTGTAGTCCCAGCTACTCGGGAGGCTGAGGCAGGAGAATGGCGTGAACCCGGGAAGCGGAGCTTGCAGTGAGCCGAGATTGCGCCACTGCAGTCCGCAGTCCGGCCTGGGCGACAGAGCGAGACTCCGTCTCAAAAAAAAAAAAAAAAAAAAAAAAAAAAAAAAAAAAAAAGAAATCTTAGGATAATGCGTGAAGAATTATTTTGGTATAAAGAAACAATGCTCCAATACCCAGAAAAAGATACATTTTCATTGCCAATCCAGATGTATCATACAAGCTTTTTCATGATTGAGTTACAAAGATAGAAAATTCTAATTCATGTATTTGTGTTAATGCTTCTCAGTAACAAAATAGGACTCCTTTTAAAACTTAAAAAACATTGTCCTCTTAGGAGATAATACTGATAATACGGCATTGTAATAGCTGGAGTCTGGAGGTCAGTGCTGGGCTGGAATGAGTTCCACCAGCAGGAGAGCATGCAGGCAGGGGGCAGTTCTGTCCACAGCCAGGTGTGTGGTAGATCTTCTAGGGGGTCAAACGTCTGCTGTTGAGCACGAGGCACCGTGCATGCCAGGCCCTCAGCTCATGGGAGGAAGACCACACGCCACCTTCCCAGGCAGCCCCCAGGGGAGGAGAGCATCGCAAAAATAAATCAGCACATAGTTACATGGATTTATGAGTTGAGTTGATTCAATGAGATGAATCCAGGCAGAGTGCAGACTGGGCACTGCACATGTGCCTGACCGTGGCCCGTCCACTGGCTGGGGAAGTGGTCAATTTGGAATGCCGTTGCGCAGTTTCCATAAAACCCCTGCAATTTAAACTGTCAACGAGGACTGGCAATACCTTCTAATTTAATACCCACCCACCCCCGCCCCCAACTATTAGCTTGAACAAATTGCTCAGGAAACAAGAATTTATAAACATGCTACATATATATTATTAATTGCTTCTTTTTTAAGCCCACAACACACCTGTCAGTTTCTATGTACCACTGCAGTTGAGGCACAACGAAGCAAGAATTACAAAATTACTAAAGGAAGCATAAGACTTGGGTCCAAAAGTCTGGAAAAGTCAAGAGAAAAACTGCTTACATGCTGAGTCCTTACGGAGGACAGCTGGACAGCCGCCTCTCCTTAGCCTCTGCGCATTCTCCCTGCCAACAAGTCCTCTGTCTCGCCGCAAGTTGACCTTTCCCTTCACAGACATTGTTCGGGAAATCCTGTCACCCAGGACCCACAGGAGCACAACCACAGACCCTCGAGTTCCCTGAATCCCTTTCCGACATTTCAGCTCAATGACCTCTCAGCTCTGATGCAATATTCACTAATGGGCATTTTTCTTCTGTGCTGTATTGAGTCTTCAAAAACAACTGTCTTTGTATTAGTTATTGATTGGGCACTCCAAAGAGATTGATGATGAAAAAATACAACACACTTCGATGAACATTTTGATGGAAAAAAAGGCAAATTTCTACAGATGGGAGTACGAAGACAGCTGTGTGTGTGTTCCAAGCTATATTCTGTCTGCAGGATGACAGTTCTGGTGGCGATGATTACTGTTATCTAGATAACACTGTGTCATACATTACTTGTTTTCAGGCATTAATTCATACGATTCTTACAATTTTCTTATGGAGTCTATGGAGAAGAATGCTTACTCTCATTTTGTAGGTAAGAAAAATAAACCAATGGGAAGACTCTTTGATACATAATCAGTTTACCTAATGTATCTGAGGGAATTATAAATAATGTGGTATGCATCCTTTATGTTATTTGAGAAATTTCTAAAGAACATAAAATATACAGATTAATTTCTTGTGCATGGGGGCATGAGGATGGGGCATCTTTGGGAGTTAGTTCTTGGAGAGTTGGCCTGGCTTGAAATC